>NC_000005.10:119503746-119806776 GCF_000001405.40 Homo sapiens
TTTTTTTTTGGTTTTATATAAACTTTATTATTTTAAAAAAGAATTTTAACTTTTATTTTAGATTCAGGAGGTACCTGTGCAGATTTATTACGTGGGTGTATTGTGTGATGCTAAACTTTGGGATATGAATGATCCCATCACTCAGGTAGTGAGCATAGTACCCAATAGGTAGTTTTTCAGTTCTTGCTCTCCCTACTCTAGTAGTCCCCATTGTCTGTTGTTCCCATCTTTATGTCCACGTGTACCCAGAGTTCAGCTCCCACTTGTAAGTGAAAACACACAGTATTTGGTTTTTTGTTCCTGCATTAATTCACTTAGGATAATGACGTCCAACTGTATCCATGTTGCTGCGGAGCACATGATTTTGTTCTTTTTCATGGCTGCGTAGTATTCCATGGTATATATGTACCACATTTTCTTTATCCATTTCACCATTGATGGGCACCTAGATTGATTCCATGTCTTTGCTATTGTGAATAGTGCTGCAGTGAGCATATGAGTGCATATGTCTTTTTGGTGGAATGATTTCTTTTCCTTTGGGTATATATCCAGTAATGAGATTGCTGGGTCAAATGGTAGTTCTGTTTTAAGTTCTTTGAGAAATCTCCAGACTGCTTTTCATGGTAGCTGTACTAATTTACATTCCCTCCAACAGTGTATAAATGTTCTGTTTTATCTGCAGCCTCACCAGCATCTGTTATTTTTTTGACTTTTTAGTAATAGCCATTCTGACTGATGTGACATGGTATCTCATTGTGGTTTTGATTTGCATTTCTCTGATGATTAGTGTTATGAAGCATTTTTTTTATGTTTGTTGGCCACTTGTGTGTCTTCTTTTGAGAAGTGTCTGTTATGTCCTTTGCCCATTTCTTAATGGGATTATTTGTTTTTTGCTTGTTGAACTACGTTCCTCATAGATTCTAGACATTAGACCTCTATTGGATACATAGTGTGAGAATATTTTCTCCCATTCTTTAGGTTGTCTGTTTACTCTGTTCATAGTTTAATTAGGTCCTACTTGTTAATCTTTGTTTTGATCGTAATTGCTTTTGAGGACTTAGCCATAAATTATTTCCTAAGGCTGATGTCCAGGATGGTATTTCCTATGTTTTATTCTAGAATTTTAATACTTTGAGGTCTTACATCTAAATATTTAATCCATCTTGAGTTAATTTTTGTATATGATGAAAGGTGGGAGTCTAGTTTCATTTTTCTGCATATGGCTAGCCAGTTATCTCAGCACCGTTTATTGAATAGGGAGTCCTTTCCCCATTCCCTATATTTGTCAACTTTGTCAAAGATCAGATGGTTGTAGGTGTGTGGGTTTACTTCTGGGTTCTCTGTTCTTTTCCATTGGTCTTTTCTTGTACCAGTGCCATGCTGTTTTGGTTACTGTAGTTTTATAGTATAGTTTCAAGTCAGTTAATATGATACTTCCAGCTTTGTTTTTTTTTTTTACTTGGGATTGCTTTGACTATTCTGGCTCTTTCTGGTACCATATGAGTTTTAGAATAGTTTTTTCTAATTCTGTAAAAAATGACATTGGTGGTTTCATAGGAACAGCATTGAATCTGCAGATTGCTTTGAGTAGTACGACCATTTTAACAATATTGATTCTTCCAACCCATGAGTATGGAATGTTTTTTCCATTTGTTTGTGTTATCTGATTTCTTTCAGCAGTGTTTTATAGTTCTCCTTGTAGAGACCTTACACCACCTTGATTAGATGTATTCCTAGATATTTTATTTTTTTGTGCTATTGTAAATGAGATTGCATTCTTAATTTGGCTCTCAGCTTGAATATTGTTGGTGTATGGAAATGCTACTCTTTTTTGTTCATTGATTTTGTATCCTGAAACTTTTACTTGACTCATTATCAGTTCTAGGAGCCTTTTGGTAGATGGAGTCTTTAGTGTTCTCTAGGTATAGAATGATATCATTGGTGAAGAGAGATAATTTGACTTCTTTTCCTGTTTGGATGTCTTAACATTTTTTTTTTTTTATTGCCAGATTGCTCTGGGTAGGAGTTGCAGTATTGTGTTGAATAGGAGTAGAAATTTAAGAAAGAATGGGGTAAACAGTATTGGTTGTATGCTCAACAAATGTTTGTTGAATAACAGGGTCAAAAGACACCAAGAGGAGTCCTTGACATTGCCAATGGTTATTTAAAAAAATCTAATGTATCAAATATTGATGTTTGAAATTTAGCGATTCCGGTATTCTGACTGCTTTTACTGTTGAATTATTTTTTCTAGTGAGTTCAGGAACATTATTATTATTTTTTATTATACTTTAAGTTCTGGGGTACATGTGCACAATGTGCAGTTTTGTTACATAGGTATACACGTGCCATGGTGGTTTGCTGCACACATCAACCCGTCACCTATATTAGGTATTTCTCCTAATGTTATCCCTCCCCTTGTCCTGCACACCTTGACAGGCCCCGGTGTGTGATGTTCCCCTCCCTGTGTCCATGTGTTCTCGTTGTTCAACTCCCACTTATGAGTGAGAACGTGCGTTGTTTGATTTTCTGATCTTGTGATAGTTTGCTGAGAATGATGGTTTCCAGCTTCATCCATGTCCCTGCAAAGGACATGAACTCATCCTTTTTTATGGCTGCATAGTATTCCATGGTGTATATGTGCCACATTTTCTTTATCCAGTCTATTATTGATGGACATTTGGGTTGGTTCCAAGCCTTTGCTATTGTGAATAGTGCCACAATAAATATACGTGTGCATGTGTCTTTGTAGTAGAATGATTTATAATCCTTTGGGTACATACCCAGTAATGGGATTGCTGGGTCAAATGGTATTTCTAGTTCTAGATCCTTGAGGAATCGCCACACTGTCTTCCACAGTGGTTGAACTAATTTACACTCCCACCAACAGTGTAAAAGCGTTCTTATTTCTCCACATCCTCTGCAGCATCTGTTGTTCAGGAACACTATTTCAAACCATAGTTTTTTAGTTTTGCTGAGCTTACAGTGGAAATGCTATTAAATTCTTTCACATCTTATTATAGTAATCTTTGGTTTTTAAGACACTGTATTTCTTTTACTTTTCTTTCTAGGAAAATTAAAATGTGAAGCAGTTGTTGCTGATGTCCTAGATAAAGGATCCGGTGTAGTGATTATTATGGATGGTAATTTATTTACAATTCTTATAATAATATTGTTAGATTGATAGGCTTTGTGTATGACATAATACTTCACCATAGAAGTTGATTAATAAGTTAGTATTTGTCTTCCAATTTGTTAGAAAACAAGATAAGCATTTTTAAACTCTTTAAGAAAAATAAAGAAGGAGGGGGAGAAGCATTTATTTCTGGGCTTAGGCTGGGAAGGGTGAGGCATTTCATTGGATTTAAGACAACATAACCAAAGCACAAAGGTGATAAATGTGGCTTGTATTGATAATGTAGAGGAGAATTAAGCTTGCTGGAGTATGTTTTTGGCAGGAAGGAATATTAGATAGTCCTCACTTGACAATTAGGCTGTGTTTTAGGTATTCTTTAATGTGTTAGCTATTTGGAACTTGGAACATATTTGAACACTAAATTATTCTTATAAGTGGTAGTTAGGCTCCTAGACTTGTGCTTTTATAAGTTTCTAGACTTGAACTTATGATGTGGTTTAAACACCACAGCCACATTTTATTTGCAGTGGGAAAAAAGATTGTAGTAGTTTAATAAATGTTGAAATACTAGTAATTAAACATAAGGTGAAGATATGATGCTTAAAATTTGTAAATTTTACGCTGGGTGCGGTGGCTCACGCCTGTAATCCTAGCACTTTGGGAGGCTGAGGCGGGCGGATCATGAGGTCAGGAGATCGAGATCATCCTGGCTAACACGGTGAAACCCCGTCTCTACTTAAAATACAAAAAAAAAAGCCGGGCATGGTGGCGGGCGCCTGTAGTCCCGGCTACTTGGGAGGCTGAGGCAGGAGAATGGCGTGAACCCTGGAGGCAGAGCATGCAGTGAGCTGAGATTGTGCCACTGCACTCCAGCCTGGGTGACTGAGCAAGACTCTGTACCAAAAAAAAAAAAAAATTTGTACATTTTATAAATTAAATTTTAAAAATTAAATTTAAATTTAAGTTTAAATTTGTAAGTTTTAAAGTTTAAGAACAAAAAAGTAGATATTTGTTGTCAGTGATTTTGGAACCCAAGAACAGTATAAAGTTTGACATTATTTAATATTTGGAATATAAGTTTATCATTTTTCTTGTAAATACATAGGAGGTTATACTATATATGCTGTTTTGGAACTTGCTTTATTTTTGCTTAATAATCAATTGAGAACATTTTTGATGCTCTTAAATATTATGTATGTTCTTTATCTTCCTTCTCCTCCTTTTCCTCTTCCTTTCTCTTCTCTTTTTAGGTTTTCATACTTGTCATTCCAGATGTTGGCCAACACTTGGCTACTATTCTCCCAGTTCTCTTTTAGTCTTCTCACCATTGAACCAAATGTAACATACCAAAAAAAAAAAGTCCTGCCGAAACCTTTCTTTAATTTTTACTGTTCTCTCTTGATCTGCTCCATTTATTGAAATACAACTTGGTAATGGTCCTTAGTATATTAGAATTTGTAGACAAAGTGAAATTGGTTATTCAGTTGCCTATGTGATAAAAATAAAAATCTTATTTGAACTACATTGGCATGCCTTTCCTTATTTTTGTTTATAATTAGATTTTTCTTTAGTATGCAATTTAAAATCATATTTCTAGTTTTGCAGAGCTAGATATGAAACAGATAATAATCTGTCCCTAGTAAGTTAGTAAATAGAGGGACAGCTGTCTTATTCATTACTTGCTCACTTATTTGCTAACTTGCTCACTCATATCATTTATTCACTGATTTATTAATTAATAAACACTTATTAGGTGCCTTTTTTTCTGTACAGGAACTATTCTAGTTGATGGGAAAATAAGAGTGAGCAGAACAGCCATGATCCTGCCCTCATGTGGCTTATACCTTCATTCCCACTTATTTCCTCTCCATGCTCTTCTTGACTGCTTTGGCAGAATGTTTGAAAGTTCGAGTGTGGTTACCTGTACTTTCTAGTGGGATTATTTGAAATGTTTAAGGTGGAAATAATTGGGATCTGAATAGCAGTTGGAGAGCCTTAAGAAAAGTGAAAGAACTGCTATTTCATAGTTAAGAAAGGATTTTTGAAGCTCCTCTTCTCTCTGCCTTTCAGATTCTGGTATGAATGGATTAAAATGAATGCTTTGTAATCCAAACTTGGACACCTTTACATGTTAGAACTCTTTCAGTAATTGGATTTTGTTTTTGAAACCTTGACAGGAATTGTTGAACCTATCTTGGTTAACTAGTTATGCCTTTTGGTGGTAACTTCTTTTATTTTTTCTTTTATTTACTTTTCAGTCTATTCTTATTCTGAGAAGGAACTTATATGCCACAATCAGTTCTCTCTCTTTCTTGTTGGCTCTGGAGGCTTTGGTGGAAAACGGACATCAGACAAAGTCAAGGTAAGCCATGACTTTGTAAGCAAAATATATGTGTAGTTAAGGATTCTTACCTATACAATTGAGACTTGAACAGCATGAGTTTGAACTGCATGAGCCCACTTATAGGCAAATTTTCTTATACATCTGCCACCCCTGGGACACCAAGACCAGTCCCTCTTCTTCCTCCTCCTCTTCCTCCTCCTCAGCCTACCCAATGTGAGGATGATGAGGATGAAGACCTTTATGATGATCTACTTCCACTTACTGAATAGTAAATATTCTTTCATTTTTTATGTTTTTCATGACATTTTATTTTTCCTAGTTTCTTCTTCCTCTTCTTCTTTTTCTCAGAGACAAGTGAATGTTTATTTTTGTGCCTTTCTTCCTATGTGTATGTCAAGTCTTTTTCAAAACAAGGCCCCAGGAAACTCCAGATTCCATTATGTCCCCAGGCTTGGTCGACTGCTGCAGGAGTCTTAGGGAGCCTTGTACAAATGCTCGATTTGCTCATTTACCAACATTAAACCCTTGGATAGACGATGCAGCAAAGCAGGACTCCTTCCTCCATGGAATGTGCTGATTTCAGATGAGGTGGCAGCCAGTGTAGAAAACGTTTCCTAGCTCATTTTATTGTAATAATGCAGAATATAATAACACAAAATATGTATCAATTGATGGTTTATGTTATTGGTAAGGGTTTTGGTTAACAGTAGGCTATCAGTTGTTAAGATTTTAGGGAGTCAAAAGTTATACGTGAATTTTTGACTGCATAGTCAGTGCTCCCAAGCTGCACATTGTTTAAGGGTCAACTGTATATTGATCTTATATTACCATATATGTAATCTTATAGCATAGAGACTTGGTAATACGTACTTTGAAATTGTGTGTGTTCCTTGAATTTGAAGTGCTGTTTATGTTTATATATTCTCTGTACAACATATTTTATATATAGAAAAGCCTTGCTGAGTTAAGTATAATGTATCTGAGATAATTATGGGAATATTTGTTATTTTCTTGTACAATCTTTGCAGACCCCAAAAGTTTTTAGAAAAATTGAACACAAGTGATCCTTGTATAGATTAAAATCTTCATTTATTAAAGGACCTAAGTATTTCTCTTATGCAAGATAATTCTGGTTATTCTTTTGTTCTCAAATTCTAGAAACATATTTTTCCTAAAAATATTTAATTTGGATTTCACGTTAATCTGGCTTTACCTTTAAGTTACTTGTGGTAATAAGATTATACTGTAGTCAATATTCTTCTGTAGTAAATAAAGTATTATTTAAAGCAGTATTGGGAAAAGACTTCTGGAATGGTGACGTAAGAAGCTCCTTGGACTTTCTTGTCAGTGAAACAACCATGACTTGTAAAAAATTATTTTAAAACACAGCTATTTAATGTCTCTGGAAATTGTTCTAAGGGTATAGAGCAAATGAAGAAACATTTATTCAAGAAAATCTATTATATTTTGGTAAGAACAGTGAGACTGTGTGGCATTTGAGTCACAACCCCTCCCTTTGTTCTTCCTCTCCTGGCTGAGCATGACAGAAACTGTACCCCAGGCGTTTGCAGCCAAGAACGTAGGAGCCCTCTGCCATGCTGTCTTCCCAGGATGGGCAGACTATTAACTTTTCTTATCCTTCCCACTAGCTCTGAATTGCAGATGCTCTATTCCAGGTAAAAGTGACTGACTTGTGAGCCTCTATTTCTCCATCCAGCCCCCACTTACAGAGTGGAGACTTTACCCTACCTGTGGCAGGTTGAGAATACTGGGGCCCTGATTGCACTTGCCCTAGCTTTCCCGTAGCGTGGAGGTTCCGTGGTTGGAGAGTCAGCAGAGAAGAACAGAAGCTACTACACCTGCCCTGCTTCCTTCTTGTAAAGCAAGTGTATCATTTGGAAAGAAGTATGTCACTACTCCTGCAGAAATTCTGCCTAGAGGGAGAGGAAGGCTGTAATAACACAAAGTTCTGACCCTCTTCACAAGGAAACAGAGTCTTTTTGTAACTAAGTATTTGGAAGTTCAAGCATAGGGATGCCCTCAAAAACAAGGTGTGACTGTAGTGATAAGCAATTAAGAGAAGGCTGGTAGTTCCGTAACAGCAGGGAGCTAAAGTGTAGCCCAGCTAGACATTTACTAGAAAGAACCAGGGAAAGAGATAGCTAAGAAAAGCCCTCCTGGGATTGTAACAAACCTCAAAGTCTGGCCTCAACGACTACCCTTGCAAAGAGGCTTGAATTTAATTGGATCAGATTGTTGAACAATTTATACCCCAGGACACTGTTGAAAAAAATAGAACAGTAATCTAGCAATTAGTGGAACCTTACAACTGGGTATGATACCAAAAGAGGCAGACAGTTTAACAGAGAGACCAACGAGAGACAGTCAAAGAGAGCCTGCTAAAACCAGTGTCATCGTAGGGTGACTGCACCTACTCAAGGTACACTCTCTGAGGAGCAATATCAGAGGCTGTACACTATTGGGAGAATAGACTCACATGTAAGAGTCTAGCTAAGTTACTAAATAAATAAACAATAACAACAAGCCCTGGAAGGGGTGGGGGATTAGTGTCTAGAGTTGTTATAATCTATTATCTGAAATGCCCAGTTAGCAACAAAAAATTATAAGATATGGAAGAAACAGGAGAGTGTGATGCATAGACGGAAGAAACAAACAGGCAACAGAAACTGCCTTTGAGAGAACTTAGTAGACAGACTTCACAGCAGCTGTTATTTATGTTCAAAGAACTAAAGGAAACCATGCTTAAATGTTACTAAATATATATAAATTATTACAAAGACTCAAATAGGAAATTTGGAGCTGAAAGTATAATAACTGAGATGAAAAATTTACTGTTGAAGGGCCAAATGTAGATTTGACAAAAGAAAGAATCAAAAAAGCTTAAAGATAGATTGATAGTGATTATACAAACTAAAGAACAGAGAGAACCACAGTGAAGAAAAGGAAAAAGAATGAAGAGCCTTAGAGAAAGATGGAGTATCACTAAGCACACTAACATTCATATAATGGGTGTATCAGAGACAGAGAAAGGAACAGAAAAAAATTTTGAGGAAATAATGGCTTCTGATGAAAAACATTATACATCCAAGAAGCTCAGTCAACTCCAAATAGATTATATATCTAAAGAAATCCATATTCTCTTCATTGTAGTAAAAGTGTTGAAAGCCAGAAACGAAAAGGTTGAAAATAATCAGAGAAAAAATGACTCATTACTTACAAAGGAACCCTAATAAGATTAAGAGCTGACCTCTGACTTCTCATCAGAAACAATGGAAGTCAGAAGATAGTGGGCTAATGTATTCAGAGTGCTGAAAGGAAAAAAAAAAAATACCACAAGGTCAACTAAGAATTTTATAACCAGCAAAATGAGCTTTCTAAAATAAATATAAAATAAAGACATTCCTGGACAACAAAAACTGAGAGAATTTGTTGTTAGCAGTCTTGCCTTATAAGAAATCCTAAATAAAGTTCTTCAGATTGATAGCAAGTGACCACATACTGTGTTTATATGAAATACCCAGGTTAGGCAAATCTGTAGAGTCAGAAAGTAGGTTAGATGTTGCCAAGGGCTGGAGGAGAAAGGAGACAAGGGAGAGTGACTGCTGATGGCTATAGGGTTTTCTTTTGGGGACATGAAAATGTGCCTAAGTTGATTCTGGTGATGGTTGGACAACTCTATGAATATACTAAAAATGACTGGATTTTACATTTTAAAGAGGTGAATTATATGTGTATTGTGTCAGTAAAGCTGTTTGAAAAATTAGTATTGATCAATACTATATGAAAACAATGTCCTGGGCCCGCATTTAAAAAAAAGTTGTCCTCACTTATTGCTTGGATGTGAAAAAATTACCTTGACAGGTATTAAATGGGTATTATTTACGTGAAGTTGTATCTATTCACAGGTAGCAAATTATGAGTTATTAAGAACCCTAAGGCAAGTTGTGCAATGCAGAAACATGCAGTGGCATTCTCTGAATGAAAAGCTTGGAAATGTTATATTCACTCTTAAAACATCCAAGCTTTTAGTGAAGATATTATTTTAGAAAGGGTAAAATACAAGTCTGAGGCTATATTAGATGAAGTAAATATAACATGCTATTTGTTTTTCCTTTTTAACTGTATGTTCTTTTTCTTTGTTCTTTTTTCTTTTTGAGATGGAATCTCACTGTATCGCCCAGCCTGGAGTGCAGTGGTGCAATCTCAGCTCACTGCAGCCTCTGCCTCCCAGACTCAGGTGATCCTCCTGCCTCAGCCTCCCAAGTAGCTGGGATTACAGGTGCCCGCCACCACACCTGGCTAATTTTTGTATTTTCAGTAGAGACGGGGTTTCACCATGTTGGCCAGGCTGGTCTCGAAATCCTGACCTCAGGTGTCCCATCCACCTCGTGCTCCCTGTATGTTCTTTTTAATATTGGGCAATAATGAATTACTGTAGACCAGAAAGTAATCTAAACTAGATACCATTCTCTAAGCACTTATCACAAGTATCACTTGTTGCTTTGAGAAAAAAATCAGAGATGATGTCAAGTCATGGTGAAGCCCTGTGCCATAAACGAGTTTCTAGTCTGTTAACAGTAAAACTACCATCGCGGCACTGTCCATCTTAAATGCCCTTTGTATACATGGCATACAATGGATTTTGTGGAATAAAAGGTACTCAGAATTTTTTAATTTTTAATTTTTATTTGTTTATTTTTAATCAGGCAGCCCTCAGAATCAAGACAGGTTCAGAGAACTCTTGGTACTCAGAAATTTTAAAAGACTGCTCGGGACCTATAGATTGAAGTCAGGTCCTCCAAAACCTAGTAGAATGCATTGAAAATGAATTTGTAAATAAAACCTGCAAAATACACTGGATGCAACTGAAACAAAGGAGTGTAATTGATGCAATGATTTTTGAAAAACGGCAGCCTGACTTTTGTTTGCTTTTAGAAGCAGCAACTTCCCTCATGATCTTTTTTTATGTTTTGGGTGTGGCGGGGTTTGTGAGGATAAGTTTGGGAATATATCTAAGTGTGGCATTTTAGTAATGAAAAATCACTAATTTCTTAACTCTCTGAAAGGATAAAAGCTTACTTTGTTGTGGAAAATTTACTTAAATTATTCTATAATAAAATTTTGCCTCTATTATAAATGATTGAGAAGTAGATATTAGCTACTTGAATTTTTTATGTTTACTTTGGTTTAAATCAACCCTAAACTGGCACTCAGATACTTACTTTGTAGATGTTGCAGACTTTTCATCAAAAAGGAATTTTAAGTGTTGGCATTAAGGGATCATAATAATTCAAATATTTTTGGTAACCAACTTTAAAATGTATTATTTTGTTAAGATGGCAAATTAAAATATGCAAGGATTTAAAAGACCAGTTTTAAAGACTGAATCAATTTAGATGTGAATTATATGTCTAATTCTTGTAGTTGTTTTCATCTTTTACATAGGGAGTAACTGTCCTTAACTTTTTCTCCATTGTGGCCTGGAGGATTTATCTGATTACATAATTCTTTACATTTAGAAAGGTCATTTCAGGCAAATCATAGAGTAGATGAAGCTAGGAGTTATGAAATTTTAAATATCATTATTTCCTGAGCATGATTTTTTTTAAACCCTTTTATCCAATTTGCAGAGTTTATTGTATTGAAACATGATTGTGTATCAAATGTGAGTTTGGTTAAAGAGAATAATGATAATTTGTATTTAAGATTTAACATGTAATGTCTTAATTTTAGGTAGCTGTAGCCATACCTAATAGACCTCCTGATGCTGTACTTACAGATACCACCTCTCTTAATCAGGTAAGATTGTATTTTTGAAAAATGATAAATCCACCTGGTTGATGACACTTTTTAATTTATAGCTCTGATACCTTATAACATTATGCATCTAATGCATAATGAATAATATGTTATTATTCAACATAATAAACATACAGACATGTTTCCTGTGATTGCACGTTATTTTTTTAATTTTTAGTTATTAATGTTTTCCCACTAGATACCAAAATAAAATATAAAATGGTTTTTTATTAGTCAATTTAAAAAGCATTGCATGTTGTTGGTAATGGAGTGCTTTCTTTGGAGAGGCCGCCCACTTTAAGAGTGAAGAATTTCATGAAAGCCTCAGAGTAAGTGCAGGATAAAAATTAGGTAAAAGGCAAGTAAGTATTAGTCATCCTTTCCTCTTTGGGAAAGAAAGCAATGCCACACTGCTTGGAAACAGATTATTTTATACCAACTGTAAAGGATAGGCAAATAAAGCATCTTAGAAGCAGTAGGTGATTTAATCTTTTTTGTTTGACATAAAGAATTTGTTTTCTGGTGAAGGAGATAAAATGTCCTGTCAGTTCACAAATTCTGTGACCATAGAAAAATTTGTTTAAGAAACAAAAGGCAACCATAAAAGTGAGAAAAGCAAGTTTATTTTTGAGAGACCTTAAGATTCTTCTCTAAGATGGCTAGTAGACTAACCATGCAGATATAGCATAAAATCCTTAAACCTCTGGAGTAACGCAGTGTGTGTGCATGTAATAACAGCAAATTGTTCAGAAAGGTCACTTTAAAAAAATTTTTGGTTGTATTTTAGAAGAGAACAACACAGTGGGGCCTACTGGAGGGTAGAGGATAGGAGAAGGGAGAGGATCAGGAAAAATAACTAATGGGTAGTAGGTTTAATACCTGGGTGATTAAATAATATGCACAACAAACCCCCATGACACACAATTATCTATGTAACAATCCTGCACATGTACTCCTGGACTTAAAAGTTAAAAAATTTTTTTTGGTATGTTTGATATGAAAACTTCTGCAGGACTTATGTTTCCTAGCAAATAGAATTGTAATCTCATAAGCCAGAGAGAATTAAAGTTGGTACATATGTATTTTTTTTCTGTACCATATAATCAGGTGATGGAGGGAACATTGTTTTATTCTTGCTTTTAAATATTTTTTCCATCCATTACTGTTTCTTATGAATTTCTTAAGAATGTGCTCATATTTATGTTTACATAAGGCTTAATTGAGAAACTAATTCTGTTAGAGTACTAAAAAACAGAAAAGGCTCATGGTTTCATGGTTCAGAAAACCCAAGAAATGCCTCTTTATTATACTGAAATAAAAAATATATCTGCTACAAATAAAAGCTGAATAGTTTCCAAGGTTTGAATTTCTACGCACAGTAAGTAGTGGGGTTTTCTTTCTTTTGTTTTTTTTTCAGATGACTAAAACTTTTTGTTAGTTTTAAGGTAGGTTTTAATATTTTGCTGCGTGACAAAAGACGGTTTTTAAATCAACAATATTTTTGTGTGAATAATGGGCACTCATCATTTGGCAGAGGTTCTTGGCCATTTTGTATTGTATGATAATTAGAGAATATAATGGAGGCTATATACCAGTTCCCTAAAAAACATTTTGCATAAAACTTTGCATAAATTTCAGGGAATTTGTGGGACATTTGAAATTGGATGCATGCTATAAGAAATACAAGTCAATTAGAAGAAGTGTCATCTATTGTCAAGGAAGGGAAGGAACACTTGGATACTCAAGATATAGATGTCTGAGATAACTAGGGCACCTATTCCAAGCAATGAATGTTTAAATACAAGGCTTTGATTTGTAGTATAGGTGTAACAGACAGTCAGAGAAGGGATACTTATTAGGGAATGACATGTAGAAGTGAGAGGTGACAGCGTGCTGGCAGTCCTCACAGCCCTCGCTCGCTCTCGGCGCCTCCTCTGCCTGGGCTCCCACTTTGGCGGCACTTGAGGAGCCCATCAGCCCACCGCTGCACTGTGGGAGCCCCTTTCTGGGCTGGCCAAGGCCAGAGCCGGCTCCCTCAGCTTGCAGGGTGGTGTGGAGGGAGAGGCGCTAGCGGGAACCGGGGCTGCGCGCGGCGCTCGCAGGCCAGCTTGAGTTCTGGGTGGGCGTGGGCTTGGCGGGCCCGGCACTCAGAGCAGCTGGCCGGCCCTGCTGGCCCCGGGCAATGAGGGGCTTAGCACCCAGGCCAGCGGCTGCGGAGGGTGTACTGGGTCCCGCAGCAGTGCCAGCCCACCGGTGCTGTGCTCGATTTCTCGCTGGACCTTAGCTGCCTTCCCGCAGGGCAGGGCTCGGGACCTGCAGCCCGCCATGCCTGAGCCTCCCACCCCCTCCATGGGCTCCTGTGCAGCTCGAGCCTCCCTGAGGAGTGCCACCCCCTGCTCCACGGCGCCCAGTCCCATCGACCACCCAAGGGCTGAGGAGTGCGAGCGTACCGCGCGGGACTGGCAGGCAGCTCCACCTGCAGCCCTGGTGTGGGATCCACTGGGTGAAGCCAGCTGGGCTCCTGAGTCTGGTGGGGACATGGAGAACCTTTATGTCAGGGATTGTAAATACACCAATGGGCACTCTGTATCTAGCTCAAGGTTTGTAAACACACCAGTCAGCACCCTGTGTCTAGCTCAGGGTTTGTGAATGCACCAGTGGACACTCTGTATCTAGCTGCTCTGGTGGGGCCTTGGACAACCTTTATGTCTAGCTCAGGGATTGTAAATGCACCAATCGGCACTCTGTATCTAGCTCAAGGTTTGTAAACAAACCAATCAGCACCCTGTGTCTAGCTCAGGGTTTGTGAATGCACCAATTGATACTCTGTATTTAGCTACTCTGGTGGGGCCTTGGAGAACCTTTGTGTTGATACTCTGTATCTAGCTAATCTGATGGGGACGTGGAGAACCTTTATGTCTAGCTCAGGGATTGTAAACGCACCAATCAGCGCCCTGTCAAAACAGACCACTCAGCTCTACCAATCAGCAGGACGTGGGTGGGGCCAGATAAGAGAATAAAAGCAGGCTGCCCAAGCCAGCAGTGGCAACCCGCTCCGGTCCCCTTCCACACTGTGGAAGCTTTGTTCTTTCACTCTTTGCAATAAATCTTGCTACTGCTCACTCTTTGGGTCCACACTGCTTTTATGAGCTGAAGCCAGCGAGACCATGAGCCCACCGGGAGGAACGAACAACTCCAGACGTGCTGCCTTAAGAGCTGTAACACTCACCGCGAAGGTCTGCAGCTTCACTCCTGAGCCAGCGAGACCACGAACCCACCAGAAGGAAGAAACTCCAAACATCAGAAGGAACAAACTCCAGACGTGCCACCTTAAGAGCTGTAACACTCACTGTGAGGGTCCGCGGCTTCATTCTTGAAGTCAGTGAGACCAAGAACCCACCAATTCCGGACACAGAAGGGTTCGATAGTAAGAATGGGACTTAGTGGAGATGGTATGTGGGTGTTTTCTCTCCGGATATGTAGGGCTTGCAGTGTGTTGAGAAGTAATGATGGAGTGTAAGAGAGGAGAAGAGCATGACGTGTGTATAAGGGGTAAGAATTAGAGCATTCACATTGGAGACTAGTGTAGGATGATTGTGCATGGGCAGATCTTTAAGAGATATGGAAATGAGGAAAAATTATGCCATTATACATAAACTTTATGCTAGGTATTTATATTAACTAAGTAACTTTTCAATCATTAAGAAAACTGGCAATATATATTTTTAACTATACCAGTATCACTTCTGGAATGTCTGTTTATAATGTCTTCAGGAGAGTTTCTTCATCTTGAAACTGGTATGACAGGCCTGCACAGTGGCTCACACCTTAAATCCCAGCACTTTGGGAGGCTGAGGCAGGAGAGTCACTTGAGCTCAGGAGTTTGAGACCAGCCTGGGGCAAGAACTTGTCTCCACTAAAAGTAATAATAATAATAAAAAAATTAGCCGAGCATGGTGGCATACGCCTATTGTCCCAGCTACTCAGGAGGCTGAGGTGGAGGATCACTTGAGCCTGGTAAATCGAGGCTGCAGTGAGCTGTGATTACACCACTGCACTCCAGTCTAGGTAACAGAGCAAGACCCTGTCTCAAAACAAAACAAAACAAAACAAACGAGTATGACAATACAAGTGTACTTTGTAGTTTTTCATAATTATTAATAGACAGACAATTCCACTGCAATAATCTAGACAGACCAAACAGCAAGTAAATATCAGATGTCAGGCTTTGTATTTGAGGAAAATGAGAACAAATATCCATAGTTTCCCCAGATACATATCTTATACTATACATATCCTATTAAGTAAAGTTAATATTTGGCATATCAGTTCTAGTATCCAGTAAAATATAATTCTTTATTACAGTTACTGTCATCTTGAACTGAAAACAGACATAGGCTCAAAAACATGTCTTCTAGTGGGAGATCTTTGCAGATTTAGAACACCCCTTTGTGGGGCCACAAAGCTGTAGAGAAATCATGGATGCTAGTTGGACCATCTGAGTCACTTGCATGTAACTGCCAGAAAGTGCTTACTATCTGATGGGATCATCTAAAGTGAACTGCTGATCAGCCCATGTTTTAGATGCAGAGACTGATTGCATTCCAGATTTTGCAAATATCAAGTCATATTTCCTGGAGTATTCTTTCTCTCATTTTTATTTGGACCTTTAGGACCATAAAGAACTCATGTAAAGTCATTAAGAAAGCAACACAAGCATTCATCTTATCTAGAAGAGTCCCAGCATTTAATTTAGTTTCACTAGAATATTTTCATAATTTTTTATAATTCTGCTTCTACTAAACGATCACAGTATGATACACCAATTGTCAATTTTTAAAAGAAAAAACTTCTTTTACATCCTCTGGTCTCATAATCTGAGATATTACTGACAGCCACGTTCTAGGTCCCACTCGCAGCTCCAGAAAAGACTCCTTTGAACTTTTTCTCTAGGCTACCATAGCACCCATCGCCTTTAGTTTCCAATACGTGTCACCTTCACTTCACTGATTATTTGTGGGTGAAAGTTTCAGATAAATCACTGGGAATCAAAAATAAATCATTGAGAAACCAAAAAAATTACCATACATTTTATAACTACTACCTGTTTTTTTTTTTTTAAACAATGATTTATTATTTTCCAAGACTCTGGGTTGACTGGGTGATCTTTCTGCTACAAATGGTGTAGCTGCTTTTAGATGGCAGCTGGGCAGGGCTGGAAGGTTCCAAGATGGCTTCTTTTGCATATCTGGGGTCTTAGTGCTAGCTGTTGGCTGGGGTGCTTCGAATCTTCCCTACATGGCCTCTTTCTTCATGTGGTGTATCATCTTCCAGGACCTTTTTTTATAGCCCTCAGTGAGACCCCCATTTAGATTTCTGGAGTTATTTTTCTGTGTAACTTCCTCCTCTTCAGTACACACAAATTCAGCTGCATCATACTTTCAGAATTCTAATCTATATTTGTAACTCATTGAGACCACTTTGCTATATTCGAGATTTCTGAATTGCAGTCTGGGAACTGCTGTCAGAAGGAAGCTGTACAATTGTAGAACTCATCTTGTTTGTTTCTTTTCTGTAAAGAATTGTAGTCCTGCATTGCCTGCTGTCCAATGTCTAGGAACAGTGGTAACCCCCACCTTTTTTTTTCTTTATAATTTTTCTAGTTGTTTATGGTAGAAGAATAAGTCCATTCGAGGTCCTTCATTATGGCCAGAAGCAAAAGTCGTGTATACCTTTTTTAATGCCCTTAATGCCTCATTTTCCCATTTAATCCATGACTATCTAGTTTTTTAGTTTTGATTGCTGTTCTTTGGCTTCGTTTCTTGTATAACAGTCAAAAGAGGTTATTTTACTTTTTCCCCTCTTATTGTTCCCATTTTGGGGGATGCATTATTTTTACTGTTTAGAGCATTTAACATTTATGTATTATTTCCACTTTTCTGTATCTTTTAGTTTTAGATTTGCAGTTGAATATGTCAACCCTTTTGCCAAAGCTTCTTAGTCAGCTCTTAGTTGGATGAAGCTCCTTCTGTGGAAGGTTTCCCAAGAACGGCTCCTGTGTATAGTGTTGCCTTGGTTTCTATATCTTTAAAACTATTTACCCTAGATACTTGAAGGGACAGCATTGTTGGATATAAAATCTTATTTCTTAAAAATGGTGCATCATTGTTGTCTTACTTTGTATGTTGCCTTTGAAAAGTCTGATGCCAATCTAATTATCTTCCCCTGTAAGTTACTTGATCTTTACCCTGAGGCCCTCAAGATTATTTTCGTTTTTAAAGTCTAATGGTTTTGCTGGGATATGTCTCAGTCTTGCATGTTGCAGGTCAGTCTTCCTTATATACCTGGTGGGCCTTTTTAATATGTATATTCATGTCTTTTAGTTTTATAGTATTAAAATTTTAAATATTAGTTCTCTTTCACTGTTTTGCTTTTCTTTCTTTGGGTATCCATTTATATGTATGTTGAATCTTTTCATGTCTTTCAACTACTTTTCTTCTGTTCTTTTTTAGTTGCTTCTTGATCTCATTTTCATTCTCATGGTTCATTTCTGCCCTTTCTGCCATCCCCTTATTTAATTTTTATTTGAATGTGTTCTCCTTTGGGTACCTTATAATTTAGTCTTCATTTCTTATATGATTTTGATTTTTTCTTTCCATTTCTTTCTTGAATTTAATCATTACTTATTTATTTCTTCATGTATGTCATCCATTTATTTTCTTAGTTTTTGGATTTTGGATTCAGAGTGTTTGTTTTACATCCCCAAATGCTTGAGTGTTTTGTTACAGTTTTCTTCTGTTTGGCAGTTTGTTTATTTGGAGGGGGGGTGGATTTTATTTACTAAAAGGTTTTGTTTTGCATTTTCAGTTTTGGTTTTTTTTTTTTAAATATATATGTATTTTTATTATACTTTAAGTTCTAGGGTACATGTGCACAATGTGCAGGTTTGTTACATACGTATACATGTGCCATGTTGGTGTGCTGCACCCGTTAACTCGTCATTTACGTTAGGTATATCTCCTAATGATATCCCTCCCTCCTCCCCCACCCCACAACAGGCCCCGGTGTGTGATGTTCCCCTTCCTGTGTCCAAGTGTTCTCATTATTCAATTCCCACGTATGAGTGAGAACATGTGGTGTTTGGTTTTTTGTCCTTGCAATAGTTTTCTGAGAATGATGGTTTCCAGCTTCATCCATGTCCCTACAAAAGACATGAACTCATCCTTTTTTATGACTGCATAGTATTTCATGGTGTATATGTGCTACATTTTTTTAATCCAGTCTATCATTGTTGGACATTTGGGTTGGTTCCAAGTCTTTGCTATTGTGAGTAGTGCTGCAATAAACATACGTGTGCATGTGTCTTTATAGCAGCATGATTATAATCCTTTGGGTATATACCCAGTAATGGGATGGCTGGGTCAAATGGTATTGCTAGTTCTAGATCCCTGAGGAATTGCAATTTTAGTTTTATGTTAGTGTTGTACAGATGAAGAATATTTACCTCTGTGCGTTTTGTGGTTTGGGGTGGTTTCCAAGATTCTTAGTTCAAAATTGCCCTTTCTCTCTGTGTAGCAACATGCAATTTCTTTAGTGGGTGGCTTTAAAGAAGGGGCACTGTGGGGAGGTGTTTTATTTTTAAAAATAAAATAAATTATCTTTCAGGATCATTAATTTCCTCTCTTGCTTCTTTTTTTCTTCATCCAGTCTCCAAAGGTGATATCTTTGTTTTATTCTGTTCTCCCCGAAAGTGATACCTTTCTGGAATTGCCACTGGAAGACTAGTGTACTATTAATTATTTTCATTGTAGTCAGTGCTGTAATCTTCCAGGATTCATTTCAGTATTTTTGCCCTTAAGATGGATTTATCTGGGAGTGATTTTCCTTTTCCCTCTTCCATGCACTGCTTTTGCACCCCCCAAGCCCTGCCACTCTGCAGTAGCTTTCAGAGGGTGCTCAAAAGTTAGCACTGATAGAAAAGTGGTGTTTATTTTGAGACTTACTGGAATTTGAACTCTGCAGTGTTCTCTGTCTTCTAGTTACACTGTAGGCTTGAGATTTGTGTAGTTTTATTTGTTCTCATTATTTGTATTTTTTTTTTCGAGGATATGAGGACTTAAAAAGCACTAGTTTCCTGAGCCTATTTATTTAGCATTTAGTTTAACTTAATGGTACAATTTTAAAAAATCAAATTAAGGAATAGTTTACCTGTATGCAGATTATCCTCCCACCTACTTTTAATATGCAAAATAATATATAGCTATTTTTCTTTTTCTTATTTTTTTGGTGGTTGTTATTTATAATGACTTATTTCCAGGCAGAAATGAAACGAAACAAGAAACTTTTAGCTTTCCTTCTGAAATATGCCATTTCTTCAAAATACGTAGAAGATAAGCTTTGGCAGTGGTCATTATTAATTGAACAATGCTTATTTTGTGTTATGATTGAATGGGTCAAACATCTAGTCAGTTGGCTTTTGTCATTTCTCATAATGAACCTTTTTTGTCTTCGTTTAACTCTGTTATCTATAGAAAGCAATGCTATCATTGAAATAATGTGAGATATTTCATATTAATACGATTTCTTCAGAACACTGTATTCATTTATAGGAATGATATATGTGGGATAAGAATACTAGTACTAATCTTAGAAACTTGGTTGTTTGTATTGTTGCTATAATCTTTAAAAAATAACTAACATTTATTGAGGTATTATTTATCAAAGATAATACCTTGTAAGCTTTATCCCACCTTTTTCCAACTACTCTGTGAGAGTAAGTTCTGTTAGCCTCTAAATGTTTCTAAATGAGCAATTGAGGCTTCGAATGGTGAAGAAACTTGCCCATTAATGGTAGAGCTGGCTTTGAATCTAGATCTGACTAGTACCAAATCCCATGATCTAGCATGTGTTTGATAATTTCCTGTCACAATTTCAGGCCCTGAAATGTGTTTTTCTTTCATTTGTATACATCATGATATATATTTGCTAACATTTTATTATATAAAGTGCTTTTAAAAAATTATCATTTACTTCTCTTAGCATCTCATATGGGACCTTGCAAGTCACCAGTATTCAATAATTGTTTATTTGATTTCATTATATTAAGAAGACATGTAAAGGAAAGAATATTGAGTCATTGGGAAAGTAAATAATCTATAGAACCATTATATGGAGTCATGGGGAAGGAAAAGAGCTTATTGGAATTATACAAAGCATATTAAAAAGAATGATGCTTTCTTATGAATTATAGAATATTTTCTATAAATAAAACTTGTTAAAAATAATCAGTAGTTTAAAAGTAATAAAAGATCAGTAATTTTAAAAAGATATGGCTAGTCTTTACACAGCATTTCAGTAGTCTTTGGAAAACAGCACAGCAATTAATGAGAAAGGGAAGAAGTCTTGAGGCTGACCTAAAAGGGTCGGTCAAGTTTACAGATACATTAAATACACTTACTATTAGCTGTTTGGTGAATTTCTTCCTTTCAGTGCTGGTAAGTGCTTTCTAACTTGGAAGAATGTACCATTTAAACGCCAGAAAGTATGGTGACTTTTTCCCTATTGTTATCCAGGCCACGCTGCTAATCCTACTTTATCTAAGTAAACTAGTGATGTGGAAATCTGGACTCAGCAGAACTTTTATCATAATAGCAAGCTATCAGTTCAGTCAGTTTTCTTGCAGGGTGAGCTAATGTTCAGGATTTAGTGTACCAGCAGAATGAAAGTTAGTGAGAAGTCTTTGATGTTTCTATGTCCGATATTGTCTTAGAAGCTTCAATTTAAAACACCCCAGTAAGAAAGTTGGCATAAATTTTGCTTGCTTAGAGCAGACTATAAACATTTACCTTATCTGTGTATAAATGGGAGTAGATTGACTGACTTCTTTTTGTGAATTTCTCCTTAGGTAGTAGTAACAGTGTTTTACCTAAATATAATTCTTGGCTTCCCTTTCTACATTTTTTTCCCTCCCACTGATTTTAGTGGCAAGTGTTAAAAAAACATTTCATTATAGGTAATCTTTATTGTTAAAAATAATTATTTTTAAAATCAGAGCCTCAGGTACATTATGATACAATGCTTATACCAATAACCAGCCATGTTTCCTATTTTTCATTTAATGTATTCTAACAAAACACTGAGTTCTAGTTATGTTTATGCTTTCTCCACAGGCTGCTTTGTACCGCCTCAGTGGAGACTGGAATCCCTTACACATTGATCCTAACTTTGCTAGTCTAGCAGGTGAGTTGTCTTTAATATGTATCAATGAAAAATATTAGCTATTCGATATTTAATTAAATAATGTAAAGACACTACTACTTATGACTGGTAGTTTGAGTAGCATTTAAAAAAATGTTATTTTATTTATTACATTTATGCAAAGGATATGGAAAGGTAGGAAATGTGTTCAGAAAATAGTGCACTTGAAATTCAGATTATGGTGGAGGGAAGTTCCCGCTAGTGCGAGGTCTAGGATAGGACCACGAGGGTGGGTGTGTGAGTTATCACAAAGGACAAGGTCATTGGAGAGAGAGCAAGGAACTGAAAGGTTAGGGAAGGATCATGTACCTGTGTGGATGTTGAGAGTACCCTGGATGATTTCATGGTTACAACCAAAACTAAACAAAACAATTGTGTTTCCAGATCTCTCACATTCTTTTCCTGTTTTGTTTTTTTTTTTTCTTTCTTTCTTTATTTCATAATTTCCTCCCAGGAAATACTCTTTAAAAAATATCTACTGTGTTTCTTAAAATAGATGGTATAATTCCTGCTAATGCAGTCTAAGGACATTTTTAAAGTCCTGAATTAACTACACTTGATTTTTAAACTTTAAAGGTACCTGTATCTAACTCAGTGTTCTCTCTTTTCCTAGGTTTTGACAAGCCCATATTACATGGATTATGTACATTTGGATTTTCTGCCAGGCGTGTGTTACAGCAGTTTGCAGATAATGATGTGTCAAGATTCAAGGCAATTAAGGTAAATGTGTATTACTACGTAATTTGAATATTACTTCCTTTTTCTATCTTTAGAGAAGAAAAGGGGTTTTAGTGATTTAATTGAAAATAGATATTGTACTACAGCAATGTACATTTTTATTATTTCATTGACCTGGCAATCAGCACACTTTCTTTTTGTAGCTATAAATAGCTCTGTTGCACATGCACCAGGAAGGATGCACAGTTGCAATTTTGACAGATTAACTGGGTTGCTTTATAAATTAATTAGGTGCATATATTATATATATATATATCAGTACGTATGCCTTGAAAACTCAAGATTTGCTTTTTTTAACTGTTTTATCATTTTCATTAATTTAATTAAAAATGTTAAGTGGCTGATTAAGTCCAATAAACATACATCTACAGCAATATAATGACTGCATATTGTTTTAACTCTGTACTTTTTAGTTGATTTCAAATTTTTATCCATTATAAATAACAAGGAAAAATATCCATGCCCATATTATTTTTGTGTATGTTTAAGCCAAAAGATGTACACTTAAAAAAGTTTAAGGGGTTGTCAAATAGCTCCAAAAGCTTTTAATTTATCCTCCATGCAGTAGTGAAAATATATTTTCTGATGCATTGCCTTTGATAACACTAATTACTCTCATGCTTTTCATTTTGTTACAACTATTTTTTATTATCCAGTAATATATACACAGAGAAAATAATATAAAAAATTATGAAATAAAAAGTGGAATTATTTTGCCCTGCATACTCACCCCAGGCCTCATTCCTTAGACTTAATTTGTACCACTTTTAACTGTTTCTTTAAGTTGTTCTGATGTACCTATATAACTCACCTAATATGATTATGGTTTTATTTCTTGATTTGTCAAGATAAAAAACACTATTTTTTGATTCCATACTTTGAAAGACAAAGAATTGGCTTACTTATATTAGTTACATCTTTATTTTACTAATTTTATCATATTATACTTAGGTCTTTTATGAATTTAAATATCTTTAAACCTTGATTTTTTTTTTCTTTTGTGCTCTCTAGTTTCCTTTCCAATTTTTTCCTCCTACAAGTAAAAGAGTTTCCTTTTAAAACATTTTTAACCCCACAATTCTTTTTTAAAGGCTCGTTTTGCAAAACCAGTATATCCAGGACAAACTCTACAAACTGAGATGTGGAAGGAAGGAAACAGAATTCATTTTCAAACCAAGGTATGAATTTTGCTTTTTCACCCTTCTCACATGCTTTATCATTGTGTTCCATCTTACCATTTTTTTTTGGTTAGTACTATGGATAGAAAGTTCTTTTTAAGTAATGGTAAATTTTAATTAAAAATAAGATACAGCTTGTCTGGTGTTTTCAAAATTTTTATTTATCAGGCAACACTTAATAAAATAGAAGTGTTTTGCACCCTGTGTTTTATTTTCTCTTTTATTTTCAACTAAATTGGTAGCTATCTATGTAGCAGTGGCCCAGCTATTCTGAAAACCCAGCCAACCATGTCTTTTTGGCTCAACTAGTCAATCAAGTCATTGTCAAAATATCATCTTAAAAAATTTAAAGGCATGACTCAGACAGATATACAGTGAAAACATGACAGAAATCTATCTGACTCATTAATGAAGGATCTTGCAATATGATAAAACATGTTCGAAAAAAAATTAGAACAACAGTTTATATGGTCCAATAGGAAAGTTATTCTAAAATAATTTTGCAGAGTTAGAGACAAAATTAGTTAATATCCTATAGAACAATAAAATCTTATCCTTTATGAGTTTTCTCTGGACAGAAATCATATGCATCTTGATTACACAAAAAATCCACAAATTAACAAGTTACATCACAGAGTCTGGGCCTAACAAATAGTAAATGAGGTTATTTTGGGGTGAGGCTGTTAGCAATGCTCCAGTAAAATACTAAAAGGACATGCAATCATTGTTTTATTTGCAAGTTATTAAAAGACAGTTTTTGTTAACACAGTTGACCAGGCTAATACTTTTTGGCTTGATCATTTCATGCTATATAGAGCATATTAAACAACTCCAATGATAATAGGAACAGCTTTCATTTATTGAGAACCTATAAACTGGCAATAGTATTTTCTTTAATATGCATAATAAATCTGTATGTAAATATAAGAAAATCTAGGTTCCTAAGAAAATCTAATCTAGGTGTCCTAAATAACTTGCTCATGGTCACACAGCAAGTGGTTGAGCTGGGATAGAAACCCGATCAGCATGGCTTCAAAGCTTTGATTACAGGCCCCAAATGTCTTTTCTGTATCATGTTTTCTTTCACAAATAGATAACTGCAAAATTCTTCTTACATGGTTGCTTTACTCCTAATTCCTTTCTGCTGGTTGCAATATCATTTTCCTGCTTAATTTGTACATATTGTTTATTTTACTTTTCAAATTCCTCCTGTCCTTCAGGCTTAAGTTCAAGCTCCACTTTGCTCTTAGAGACAGTCTCTTACTATTCCCCACTTTCCTACCCATAGATACACTCAAATTGGTGTTCTCTGAAAGCCTTTGCAGCTAATATCTGTGCCACATATTTTGGAGCCCTCACATTTTCTAATTTGTTTTGTATGAGTAAGTTTTGCTTTTTGATTAAGATTATGAACTCTAAAAGTGTTAAGGACCATGACTATATTACAGGTTTTTATTTTCCTGCAATTCTGGTGATGAATAGTATGTAAATAATTTCTATGGATACAAACTTGAAGGGCTGAGAAATGATTAAATGTCTAAATATAATGTATTCTTGCCATTTTGTTAAATTCTAAGCATGCTGTCTTATCTTTTCAGCATATTTGCTATATTTTTCTTCAGTGATTATAGATATTCTTTTTCTATTAGTTTTAGGACTCCTTCTCTCCCTGCCTCCTTTTCTCACTTTCTCCCTCCCTTCCTCCTTTCCTTTCTATTCTTAAGATATAAGAAACATTTTAAACCAGTGTTTTAAAATGATTTGCTTGATTTGGTAACAATAAAGTAATTTACTGAAGTGCATTTTGTTCATTAATTATCTCTTTCCATGCTTTTCAATGTATGTAATTTGAAGTAAAGTGAACAAATTACTTGAAAGATCTTTTTTCCTCCAAAATATGATGAGATGTAGTCAAGAGAATGATCTTCTTGATTGTTAAAAATCAAAGTTTTAATAAACGCTATGTTAAACTTTAGAAACTTATCCTATACATTTGTAGCAATAACAATTTTTATGAAAGAATAGCCATTGGAATAATTTGAAATGAAGGACTGGGAATTAGAATTTGAATTCCTTTAATGACTATTTTGATAAAAGCCTATTTAGACATTTAGTTCATGCTGTGTACACTTCCTCTTGAAATAAGACCTGGAATTACTACTTAAAAAACACTATTATGATTTGTTCCTAGCCAATTTTATTCTATATTAGCAGAACAAATGTACTTTGAGTACCATTACCTCATGTGGCTATTGTGCTATGCCTTTTACTATTTATAAGGATTCAGCATGGACTGAATTCTGTTTATAAGAGTGCATCCCCTGATCCCCACTTCCCCCCCAAAAAATGCCCAAAATACCAAGGCCCAGTCTCTATCAGTGTATTTACATTAGAATTTTGGGGGATGGGACCTCATAGGGTTTCTTTGTTTGTTTGTTTTAAAGGGCTCCAGCTGATTATAAAGCCAGGTTTAGTAACAGTTGTATTAAATCAGAAAGCCTTTATGTTTGTTCATCTTGACATTTACTTTAGCAGCCTTTTATTTTATCTGGATTATTATATTCTTTTTCATATGAGGCAAAAATAATAAATTTTAAACTTTGTACTGTTTCACAGTGAAATTACACTTCCATTGTAATCAGAATAAATCTTTTTTTTTTCTTCTCCTCCTAAGGTCCAAGAAACTGGAGACATTGTCATTTCAAATGCATATGTGGATCTTGCACCAACATCTGGTACTTCAGCTAAGACACCCTCTGAGGTAGGTTATAAAAATTAGTATCCAAGCCACTTCCTCATTTAGGAATTTCAGTTAAGGTGACTTTAAGAGTGGTTAGGCTACGTTAGAAAATTAACAACCATGAAACTATTCTTAATTCTTGAAGTGAAAAACATTAATTCAAAACAGCTTGGAATAGAAGGAATACTCTGGCAATTTATGAACTTTAAAAAACTCGTTTTGCAGGATACTAGGATATCTTTCAAGAGAACATAATTTTCTAGTTTTAGAATAAATAAATCAGTTGTTTAATCAGAATCTTAAGCAAACAGCGTTTTGGAGAAAAATAGATTAAAAAGTTGAATATCCTGTACCTTTTTCTTGATTTAAAGGTTTATATAAAGTTTTGTATGCAAATATATAAACCAGCAGCGTGTATAATTTATTAAAACATTGTATTATTTATTAGCATGCTGAGACTTTTGATAAAAATGTTTATATTCTATCTCTGAAATATTAACTTTGTAATGTTGAGGTTTCGATACCCATGATCTTTAATTGTCTGTCATAAACCATATAACTGACTGAAAATTAAAATCCCTTAAGAATAGTCTAAGAAAAAAAAAAACTTAGAGCGGGCTCGGTGCCTCACGCCTGTAATCCCAGCCCTTTGGGAGGCTGAAGTGGTTAGGTCACTTGAGGTCAGGAGTTCAAGACCAGCCTGGCCAACATGGTGAGACTCCATCTCTACTAAAAATACAAAAATTAGCCAGCCTTGGTGGCAGGCTCCTGTAATCCCAGCTACTCAAGAAGCTGAAGCAGGAGAATCACGGGAACCCGGGAGGTGGAGGTTGCAGTGAGCCAAGATTGCACTACTGCATTCTAGCCTGGGCGACAAGTCTGTCTCAAAAAAAAAAAAAAAAAACAAAAAACAAAAAAAACCCAAAACTTAAGTTTTAGAGCTGTAAAGAAATTCAGACTTCATGTAATTTAGTATTATTTTATAAATAAAAAAAATGAGACCATAGAAGTTGATTAATTTGATCAGGATCTTTCTAAAGTTAGCTAAAACATAGGTTGTCCAGTTCCTATTTTTCTTTTAAAATATTATTTCTGAATTCTAATAAAAGTAAAATCCTGTTATTAAGAGGACTGAGGTTCTGAGTGATGTATACAAATAAGAAAGTATGAAAGACACATTGTATGAAGAAAACTGACTTATGTACAGAGTTTTAAAAAATCTTTTTTTTGCACATGTTTTATAATCACTTTTCTCCATGAGTTATTTTTACAGAACTTTTAAAGTTTATTTTGTTGTCGTTGTTAGGGCGGGAAGCTTCAGAGTACCTTTGTATTTGAGGAAATAGGACGCCGCCTAAAGGATATTGGGCCTGAGGTGGTGAAGAAAGTAAATGCTGTATTTGAGTGGCATATAACCAAAGGCGGAAATATTGGGGCTAAGTGGAGTAAGTTATAGCCCTGATTTTATAATATTCTAAGGTAATTCTTAGTAAATAAAGTATCTTTTTAACAATTAAAGACCTTTGAAGGTAGGTAAATCTTACCTTTTTAGGTAAGTTTTTTTTCTTTTCCCGTGGGAATGAATAGGTTTGGGAATGTCCAAAGGGGGGTGTGTGTGTGTGTGTGTGTGTGTGTGTTTGTGTGTGTGTGTAAGAGATGTAGGGAATCAATTGAAATGAAAATAACCTGTTTTAAGATTTCATTGTAATCCTTGAAAGTAGTTTAAACAGTCATCTTGGCTATATGCATCTTTATCTAATCTTCAGCTTCTTAAACATAAGGCAAATTCATCAAGTCAAAATGAAGTATTTTTAAGTCATGATATTTGACAGTTACAAAATTATTTTATTCATACCAAAACAATAATTTGGATTATCTTAATTATCAATATAAAATCACTATTTTCTAGATATATACAGATTATGGTCAAAGGTGTTTGTTTATCTAATCTAGGGAAATTATCTATTAGAGTGCCATGCACCCAATATAAAACATCTTGCCGCAGAAAGAAAGCAGTCATATTTCTTTTCACTGATGTGGAGGTCCAAAGAGACCCTGGTACCATTTTGTGAAGAAAGAGAAATTAGAGGATAAAAAGAATAAAGAAAAAATATTCTGTCAGATCTTTTGCATCTGCTGTGTAACTCACATCCTTAATCATGGCACACACTTTAATTATGGAATATTCTAACCTCACCTTTATTTTCCTAGAGATTCTTCAATTAGGTTGAAAAGATGAAAATGGATAGGAGGTAGAGCAGTAAGTCCCTGAATTCCCTTTCAGCAGAGTCTGTTGCTTGTCACAGTTATCTTACTGTATTATGGTCATTTATAATTGTATGTTTTCTCTCATTTGACTTTGGGCTTAATCCTGAGAAATGGCTGCAGTTTGTCTATTTCTAGCTTCTAGTATAGTCAATAACACATAATAACTAGCCTGATTCTGTATATGTTGGAATGAGTGCTAAAAGCCATGTAGAAAGCATAGTTTTAGAAAATAGTATGGCTGCCTTTTAAAAAAAAGGTTCTGAAATTGATGCTTTACCTTCTATTAAAATAATGTTTATTGTATGGATAGTGATGTTTATTTTTTGTTTAGTATGAGTGAAATATGTAAGTATAATATGATACTGAGATATTTCATAAATAACTAACATATTTTATAGTATTTATTACTATTAATTTCTAAACCCAGCCAGAAGTTGTTGTAGTAAACCCTTTGAATCCTATTTTATTGTTCTAAGCAACGGTAAAAAATCGGAGGAAATGAAAGATGACATAAAGGCATAAGGGAGATAAAGAATCAGAGGATTTATGTGGCCTACAGAATAGTCTGCTCTTGAAAATTAAAACATAGGTACTCTTATCTGAAACTCCAGAAACCAAAAAGCTCTAAAAATAAACAGTTTTTTTTCTCATGATTCACTGGTGGTGAAGTGTGACTTGAACTTATATGATGCTGTTGATTGTCTTTAACTCAGCTAGTGTGAGTTAGACAAGTATAGAAGTAATATGCACGTTTATAGATTGTTGCACCATTGGGGGCCTTTTGTAATATGGAATACATGTTTTATGTATTATATTTCCTTTCTAAAATCTGATTCCAAATTCCAAAACACATCAGCCTGAAGCAGTTCATTCAGATAAGGACTTGTGGACCTGTACATGTATATAAATAATTCTTGTAGAACACAAGTGATAAGAGACATGGAAAAAAGTGCTCTCTGCTTTCAGAGAATGGGAGGATTGGTTCATTCAATGAACATTTGAGTATTTATATGCCAAGTTCTCTGCTAGGTGGAGACTACAAATATGCATTGACAGGATGCCTTTTTTTTTTTTTAAATCCATAGGGATAATTATTTACAGGCTGTGTGTCAGGAAAGGTGAAATACTGGGGTTGAGGAAACAAAGGTTGTTGCATTGCAGAGTGAAAGGAAGACCTCAATTAAGGAAATAGTAATAATGGAGAGGAGAGGGCCTATGTGGAACTATTGCTAAGATTGAATTGGCTAACTTAGCTACTGATTATGTCTAAAAATCAAGAGGAATGAGAAAGAGTCAAAACTAATACTGTGGTTTTGAGCTTGTGTGCTTGAGGATGTTGACTGCATTACTAGAAGTATGAAACAGGTAGAGGAGGGAGGTTTGGGAGAGAAGAAGGTAAGTTGTGGTACCAACACTGTAGCCAACCAAGATCTGGACTAGATTGTGGGGACTGTGGGCCTGGAATTTAAGAGTAACTTCATAGCTAGAGGCAGAGAGTTGGAAAGCATATTTGAGGAATTAGTAGTTGGAACCAAGAACGTTGGCTTCATTCACCACCTTGCTTCATGACATGCAGGAAGAAAATGGAAGGAAAATCTTTGTTGGTCCTGCTGTTCCTGTTCACTTTATGGAATAATGGTTCTAAAATTTCCATTTGTCTGTAAACAAAATGAATATCATAGAATTTGGCCCACAGGTTTTAAATATGCAATTTGTCAGTATTTTAGGCAAAGACAATCCTATACTTTCAAATAGAAATATATTGTTTGTATGTATCCAATACCTGTAAAATAATATTACTGAAACTTTTTATAAAGATTTATTTCCATGTGTTGAATACAATGTTGCTGAGCAAAATCTGTTTTGTTTTCTTTAGGATGATAGGTTTAAGCTGGTTAGCATTGAGCAGTTTGGTTGTTTTCCTCCTGAATTTAAATTTGGTTTCCTTTCACATGTTTGTAATCATTTCCATTATAGGAACATAAGTGGAATTTACATTTAGTTGGCAAGATACTATGGATTTTTGTTTGAATATTGTTTTTGTTTGAATAAATAATAAAATGAGCCGAGTTTTAAAAGGCACGTACTATAATTAGTTGTGTAGAGTTAAGTCTGCATATCTGGACTAAATCCAAGCCTCCATTATGTACTATATATGTACTGTATGATGATGTGACTGGATGAGGATGTTCTTTGACTGTTAGAGGTTATCTATTTTGAATCTTAGACATTTGCCACAGTATGTAAGAATGTACAGAGGTTTGGGAACTGGCATTCTTTTGATACCAGAATAATTAATTCTTGAGGATACCATGTGATCATTAAAACCTCTGAGCTCCTGGGTTGGTGCTCATCTTCTAGCAGTCAAACCAGATTGCCGCTTAGGATTCTCAACTTGGATATAAACTAAATCTCAAGGGTGTTGGTTCCAAACATTGGATTTGGATTGAAATGAGTGTCTCATGCATTTATAGAAAAGTCTTGAAAGATTTTCCTTGAAAAGGAATATGCTCTCCAGTTAGGAATGGGGGCCTGTTTGTTGGAGGTGTATCTGCCTCAGGGTTACTCTCTATTCCCAAAGCAACAGTGACTGTTTCTTCTCTTACTAACAGCAGCTCCTGACTGCGTGCTCATGTACATTTATCTTCAAAAGTACACACAAGTGCACAAAATCATTTAAAACAATTTCTGACTTTCCATCTTCTCTGTGTTATTCATCTTAATAACATCATTTTGTACTTTTTTTTGTTTGAAACAATTTGAGAATTATAGAAAAGTTGCAAAAATACTAGAGAACTTTTGTCTTTCATCCAGTTTCCTCAAATTGTTAAAATTTGTATCTCATCTTCTTTACTATTTTTTTCCATCATATGTGTTTTTTTCTTCTGAGGCATTTAAGAGTAACTTGCAGACATGATGTCCCTTTATGCCTAAGAGACTATGCTACTAGCATTTTCTAAGAACAAAGACATTCTCTTATCTATTCACACAACAAAGATCAATATCAGGAGATTAACATTGATGCAGTATGTTAGCTAATCTGCAGATCTTGTTAATATTTCAATTGTCCCAATAATGTCCTTTATAGCAAAACAATAATAATTATTATTCATTACTAAAATGAAGAAAGAAAAAGAATTGATCAGGGTCCCATCTGGGATTATACATTACATTTGGTTCTTAGGTCTCTAGTCTGCTTTAATCTGGATGAGTTCCTCAGTCTTTGCTTTTCCCAATTTTGAGATATTTGAAGGCTGGAGACCAATTATTTTATAGCTTGTTTCTTGGTTTGTTTTTAGTTGATGCTTTTTTCATGTTTAGTTTTAGTTTATGAACTTTTGGCAGGAATAACACAAAAGTAATATGCTCTTGGTGTGATTTTTAAAAACTTAATTTTTAACCTGGGTTTTTTTCTTTGTGTTTGTTATTACTAATATATATTTTATATATATATATATATTTTTGGGGGTAGACATCCTTCTTTCATGTGCTTTTCCATTTATCAAATAATTCCTAAGTATTTTCTCTTCAAGGAAGTATAGGGGATACAAAGACAAAACATGTTTGTGCCAGCAAAGACCTAATATTAAGGGAAGGTAGCATAAACAAAAACAGTTCCTTCTTTCTCCTGTAGTGACCCTTTGTGATTTGTAAAGTATATATCTTAATAAGATCCTCAGGGGTCTCCAAGTTTTCAAATGCCATATTCTCATCTGTTACCTCACCCCTCCCTCATTAAATGCTGTGAAGTATGACTGAAATTGTTATGGACTCTTTCAGAAGCTTAGTTATTAATAAATACAGAGCTAAAAATCAACAGTAAGATGCCTGTAATGAATTCTGCCACTAAGAGAAAATGAATACAATCTCTTTCTTCACTTCTGAAATAAGATTAGCTGTGATCTTATAGGTGTCTATAAACTCAAGGTGATGGTGGTGGTTGCAGACCATGACCTGAGCCACTACAGAACTGGAAGTTCCACTTCTTTACCTCAAATTTCTGTATTCTTGTATTTCTATATTTTGCTTTTTTTCTAAATGACAGATAATGTATAATTGATAGATAGAATATGTGTAGAATAAGTGCCACATTAACATGGAAACTATAGAAATGTCTGCATTTTACTTGGTTTATTTTACCCTCATTTTGTTGGAGAGAAAAAGATACACATTGGTTTCTTCCTATTTTTCCCAGCTATTGACCTGAAAAGTGGTTCTGGAAAAGTGTACCAAGGCCCTGCAAAAGGTGCTGCTGATACAACAATCATACTTTCAGATGAAGATTTCATGGAGGTGGTCCTGGGCAAGCTTGACCCTCAGAAGGTAATGTTCTCAAATGTTCATTTATTCATTGTTTTATTGTTTCCTCTTTTGACAATTGCAGTTTTTAAGCTGATGCCCAAATTCTGATTTATAAGCCAGGTTTCTTACAACTCTGAAGATGACACAGTTGCTACTGATACTCTGGTTGACAGGTCATATATTTCTTTTTTAATGGAGTTTCACCTGACACTTTTTAAGACTGAACCCACATCTAGATTTTTTAATATATTCTGTTATGTGTTCAAAGGTGAAAAACCATATGACATTAGTAGGTACTACATAAAATTAGACATTCCCAATAAATAAGATTAAGAAATCATTGAATATTGGAACTAGAAGGATATTTTAACCTAATAGCCCATGTCTTACTTAGGGTGAATCTTAGAGGCATTTCAGTGGAAAATCATGATTAACAGAAGAGTGCCTTCTGTGACGATTATTTAGTTAATATTATTATGAAACTTTTGACCAATCCACAAATATACAAAATTAAAGTAATTGATGTGGCAATTAGAATGGAGGAGAAAAATTTGTTATTTTCAATTTGTGATTATGTAGCTAGAAATTCCAAGGGAACTAACTTATTGATTCTTAGAATGAAGGAGTTCAAACAAATGGCTGAGTGCAGTTATTTAAAAATAGCTTTCACATAGGAGTAATTTGAATAAATGAGGAAATATATGATTTTCCTGTATAGAAAGACTAAAAGGAATTGTAAAGTAGTATAGTAGGTAAAAAGTAGTCTTTGGCATCAGATAAAATCTAAATTTGAATCTTGCCCCTGTCACTTCATCCAAAAACCTTAATTTTCTCATTTGTAAAATGAGTTTAATAATTTTAATGTTTACAAGGCTTATTATAAGAACTAAACCCAATAATATGTATGAAGAGCTTAGTACAGTGCTTGGCAATGCAGTGAACCCTCTGTTAATTTCTTTCCAGGAATTTATTTAGTACCTATTCAGGTTGTAGGTATTGGCTGAATTAAGACAAAACCCTACTGTATGGAGCTTCTTTTAGTGTACTAATGCAAAAGAAATAAAATCTCAAGTTAGAGAAGAGTAAGCCTGAGTATAGTGTTAGAGCAATGACTGGCAAACTTTTTCTGTAAAGGGTTACACAGTAAATATTTTAGGCTTTGTGGGCAAGATGGTCTCTGTTGCAGCTCTTCAGCTTTGCCATTGTAGCCTTAAAGTAGCCATAGAGAATATGTAAACAATGGAGTGTGACTGTGTTCCAATAAAACTTTATTTACAGAAACACACAGCCACTAGATCTGGTTCTCCAGCTGTTGTTTGCCAACCCTTGAGTTAGAATGTGACAGGACAGGGGAACTATTTTAAATAGGTTGTTTAAAATACCTTCTGGGGTTTTCTAAGGTACCTGAAATGCCTGACAGAGATTTGAACAGAGTATCAGAATGAGTCATCAGACTAAGGAAACAACTAATACAAAGGCCTGCCGTGCGAGGAACTTGGCTCCACTTAGTCTTCTCTGAGCTCCACAGTGAGAGAACCATCCCTCTACTTGACCACTCTGATGGGAAACTTTCTGGCATGTCAAACTTACTGTGACCAAAATAGAACTTGTGATTTATTTTTCTCCCCCAGTCTCTTCCTTCTTAATTAGTGGCACCATCATCTATTTACCCAAATTAATAAGCCCAGAAATGTAAAAATTATCTTAGATTCCTTCTGCCCTTCTGTATCCTTTCCTTCCTTACTTCTGTCTGATCTTTCTCCAAAATATATCTTGAATTCATCTTCTCTTCCTCTCTAGGGATATCACTGTGATCCTAGCCTCTGTCATCTCTCACCTGTCTTACTTCTTCCAGTCTTGTCTCTCCCATTCAGTCTGTTGTTCTCCACCCAGGAGCCAGAGTAATCCTTTAAAAATGTAAATCAGATTAGATTATTTATGTATGTTAGTCATTTCTACTACTTTCATTAATTACTGGTTCATATTTATCATCCCATTTGATAAAAAATCTCCAGCATTTCCTTTTGCACGTGTATAAAATCCAAGTTAGCTGTTACCATGTCGTGTATGATGTTTCTTTCCCTTGCTCCTTTTTCAGGCTTCATCCCATGCCACTTGCCCCATCACCTGTAATGCTAATTCTAGTTATTTTGTTGTTATTTTGTCCTTCCTTTCAGTTCCTTCCCATCAGCTTTTACTCCTTCAATGTCTATGCATTTGCCTTTTCTGGAATTTCTCCTCCTAGCTGTTTGCATGGCTGGCTTCATTTCATCCAAAGTAGTTTCTTCCTGTTATATTCTGATAACATCCTGTTTTCTCCTTCATTGTATTTATAACAGGCTTTAATTATTTGTTTACATTTTACTTTTTGACTCCCCTAGTTTAATGTTAGCTCTGTGAGAACAGGGACAGATATTCAGCCTAGCCTAGAATATTGCCTAGTATACTGTAGACATTCATACTCAGGTAGATTAAAGCAAATATAGAAGGAATGAAAGTTCAATGTCAGAAGTTTAGGCTGTATAGAAATTAGAAACTTCTGCATGTCAGACTCTATAGTATATTTCCATAAATCGAGGGAAAAAAATAAAATGATGATACAGAGTATCATTCTAAAAATTCTGGAAAGCACTACAACCTCAATAGAAAAAGTGGACAAAAGTCCATCAATGATAGACTGCATTAAGAAAATGTGGCACATACACACCATAGAATACTATGCAGCCATAGAAATGGATGAGTTCATGTCCTTTGTAGGGACATGGATGAAGCTGGAAACCATCATTCTCAGCAAACTATTGCAAGGACAAAAAACCAAACACCGCATGTTCTCACATGTGGGAATTGAACAATGAGAACACCTGGACAGAGGGTGGGGAACATCACACACGGGGACCTGTCATGGGGTTGGGGGAGGGGGGGAGGGATAGCATTAGGAGATATACCTAATGCTAAATGACGAGTTAACGGGTGCAGCACACCAACATGGCACATGTATACATATGTAACAAACCTGCGCATTGTGCACATGTACCCTAGAACTTAAAGTATAATAATAATAATAAAAAAGAAGAAGTGGACAAAAGGTATGGAACAATAATTAATGAAATAAATAGAAATGACTAACATACAAAAGAAAAAAATTTTTCCCAGTATCCAAAAATACAAATTAAAGCATGTTATTTTTGCCTCATATTTTCAAAGTGTAAGAAAATAGTATTTTTAAGGTTGGGATAAGATAATTTACACACAACTGGAGGGAATATAAAATTGGTATAGGCCAGGGACAATGTCTCGTGCCTGTAGTTCCAGCACTTTGGGAGGCCAAGGCAGGAGGATTGCTTGAGTCCAGGAGTTTGAGCCTGGGTGAGACAGTGAGACCCTGTCTCTACCAAAAAAAAAAAAAAAAAAAAATTAGCCTGGTGTGGTGGCACACACCTGTAGTCCCAGCTACTTGAGAGGCTGAGTTGGGAGGATCACTTGAGCCCAGGAGGCTTAGGCTGCAGTGAGTGTGATCATGCAGCTGTAGCCTGGGTGACAGAGCAAGACCCTGTGTCAATCAATCAGTAGTTGGTATAGCCTTTCTGGAAAGCACAGTGCTTCCAGACCTTCTTCCTTTATGGCAGTTTATAGTCTTACTACTTTTTGCATGGCACTCCTAGGCCAAACCATATACCTAACAGTTTCATTTATGAAGTAGTTCAAAACAATTAGTTTTTTGTGTTCAACCAGTATGACTGTATTTCCCTCCCAAATTAACAGTATTGGGAAAGTGTCCCTGAGAGAGTTTGCTGTGATGTCCGGTGCATGGCAGTGCAGAGTTTGGAAACTGGCAATATGGACGTATGGTTAAGGGCTTTAAGAAATAAGAAAATAGATAGGAGGAAAGATTTATGTACAAAATTCTTCTGCTCAAAAATGTCCAAAATTGATATTTTTACTTCTAGTAATTAGGTGTTCTTGTTTTAGGTTGTAAATCTCTTTCAGAGTTTAGTACATAGCAGGCTGGCCTAAGTACTGACTCCTTCCCTGCATGAGTTGCAGACCATCGTTTTGTTTGTTTGTTTTTTGTAACTGCATAGTGAAAGAAATCTTAGTTTTGAAATTCTGGTCTCCTGTTTGAATGCATTTGATTGTGACTGAATGAGCTCTCTCTGACTATTTCTGGAATAAAAAGTTGTTGCCTTTTCTCCAGTTCACGAGGGTTTGCTTCTGAGACTAAGTGCTGCTCGTTAACAAGTATTGTTAACAAGCATTGCTGAGCAAAGAACACCTGAGTTTAAGCCCTGGCCCTACTTCTTGCTGGCTCTGTAGACTTGAGCAGGTTATTTAATAAGCTCTCTGAAATTCAGTTTCTCATCTGTCAACTGGGGTAAGAACTGCTGATGTGCCCACTTCAAATTGACAGCTGTAATTCTTAAATGAGATTATATTTGTGGAGCTGCTTTGTAATGCTCAGTGTATGTAGGTATCACTATTTTTTCCATTTAGCTAGAAATCTAGAGGCTTTTTCACTTCATATTTTATGTAAGCTATAAAAACTATGATTGATTATTTTTATTTTACTGATAGGGAATTTACACTGAAGGAGAACTTAAGGAACTTGCACCAGTTTCTGTATCAGGTTAGATACAAAACTGCTACAGGAACCCTTCGTTTTTAACACACCAGCTTTTGCTTGGTAATGATGAATTAATACTCTCTTATCACATGTCAAACTACTAAGCTAAGCACTCTACACATTACTTTATTTAACACGCACAACAGAGTTGTGTTATTTAGGGACTGTTGTTATGCCTTTTATAGATGAGGAGATTGAAACTCACAGAGGCCACGTATCTAAGCATTTTCTCAAGCTCACCTTGCTATTAAGGGGCACAGCCTGGATTTTAACTCAGGCATTCTGATGCTACAGCTGTGATCTATTCAACATTGTGTTATATTCTCTAATTTGTCATTTCGTGGCTTTCTAGTTCATGAAACTGTAGTAAATATTTTAAATCTGCTTTTAGAAGTTCTGAATTGAATATTTTTATTAGGAATACAGTGTAGCCTTTTATTAATATGGTCTCAAATTGTAAGAACATAAAGTAAAGCCAGAAACGTAGGTTGAAACAGAACTCCCAGATCCATGAGTTCAGATAAATTATTGTATAGTTTTCTAAAATACACAGGAATGATTTTTCTTTTTTTTAGATGTCTAAAAAAATGTGCTATCTGTAGTTATTAAATTGTCATTGCTAAATAAAGGTTGCCTTTGTTGTCCAGAATTATTAGCTCAATTGTATTCAGTCTGAATAATCTTAAAAAAAAAAAAAAGAAATAAACTATAACATGGTAACAGTTGGCACTCTTTTTCCCTCCTCTCCTTGCAGGCATTCTTTAGTGGCAGGCTGAAGGCCAGAGGGAACATCATGCTGAGCCAGAAACTTCAGATGATTCTTAAAGACTACGCCAAGCTCTGAAGGGCACACTACACTATTAATAAAAATGGAATCATTAAATACTCTCTTCACCCAAATATGCTTGATTATTCTGCAAAAGTGATTAGAACTAAGATGCAGGGGAAATTGCTTAACATTTTCAGATATCAGATAACTGCAGATTTTCATTTTCTACTAATTTTTCATGTATCATTATTTTTACAAGGAACTATATATAAGCTAGCACATAATTATCCTTCTGTTCTTAGATCTGTATCTTCATAATAAAAAATTTTGCCCAAGTCCTGTTTCCTTAGAATTTGTGATAGCATTGATAAGTTGAAAGGAAAATTAAATCAATAAAGGCCTTTGATACCTTTGTTTTTTTGTGATTTTCTGTTTTTTTATTTATTGATACCCCAGTTTTTATGTGAATTTCCATGTATGCACTCATTTTTCATACTTTGTTCTGATAGTATTCTCTTTTAAAGCAAGAGAAAAGTCTTTGTGCTCCCAAATAGTTTTCTTTCTTCTCCCCTCCCCTTTGCTGGAAATTCTTTACTACATATAATGTTTATAAATCTACCAAGTGTAGCTTTCTTGAAGAATCAGCAGTCTCAAAACAGAAAGATAGTCACTAGCAAGTACTGCCACATCACTGTTTTCCTCAGCATTTAGCTCTGATGAAGTGCACTGGGAGATGCTCTTTGGATGAGTTGGCTGCAGAGGTGACCAGCAGCAGGTGGTATGCTAAGCTCAGAGATGGAGTAAATTTCAATCAGGTAACACAGCTGAGGAGAATATGTGTGGGTGGCTAGTATGGGCTGAGTTTCCCAGGAAGCTGACTTTCAGATGGAGATTCATGTGCAGGAAGTTGATTTGGGAGGTGCTTTTATGAGCAGCACCTGCCAGGAGAAGCAAAGGAAGCAGAGCTGGGCAGATGGAGACATTAGGCTGTGGTTGCAGTTACCATAAGGCCTGGACTGATCTTTTGGGGAGCTCTGAAGCTGGGATGGCCATTCAGAATTGTCCTGAGGCAAGTAGTCATTGGTTATGACCTGCCCTGCAAGGGGGCCATGACCTTGGTCAAAGCGGCAGAGCAATTCCTGGAGTTGGCTTGCCCAGCAGTTGGGGGAATATGTCTTTTTTTTTTTCCTTAAAACTTTTAAGTTCAGGGGTACATGTGCAGGATGTACTGGTTTGTTACATAGGTAAACATGTGCCGTGGTGGTTTGCTGCACAGCTCATACCATCACCTAGATATTAAGCCCAGCATCCATTAGCTATTCATGCTGATGCTCTCCCTCCTCCCACCTTCACCCCTGCAACAGGCCCCAGTGTGAGTTGTTCCCCACCATGTGTCCATGTGTTTTCATCATTCAGTTCCCTCTTATAAGTGAAAACATGCGGTGTTTGGTTTTCTGTTCCTGCGTTAGTTTGCTAAGGATAATGGCCTCCAGCTCCATCCATGTCCCTGCAAAGGATATGATCTCACTCCTTTTTATGGCTGCAGAGTATTCCATTGTATATAGCTACCACATTTTCTTTATCCAGTCTATCATTGATGGGCATTTGGGTTGATTCCATGTCTTTGCTGTTGTGAATAGTGCTGCAGTGAACATTTATATGCGTGTACCTTTATAATAGAATAATTTATATTCCTCTGGGTAAATACCCAGTAATGGGATTGCTAGGTCAAATGGTATTTCTGCCTCTAAGTCTTTGAGGAATTGCCACACTGTCTTCCACTATGGTTGAATTAATTTATACTCCCCCCAGCAGTGTAAAAGTGTTCTTATTTATTCACAGCCTCACCAGCATCTATTGTTTCTTGATTTTTTAGTAATCGCCATTCTGACTGGCATGAGATGGTATCTCATTGTGATTTGATTTCTCTAATGATCAGTGATGTTGAACTTTTTTTCATGTTTGTTGGCCACATGTGTGTCTTCTTTTGAGAAGTATCTGTTCATGTCCTTTGCCCACTTTTTAGTTGGGTTGTTTTTTTCCTGTACATTTGTTTAGGTTCCTTGTAGACTATGGGTATTAGACCTTTGTCAGATGGATAGATTGCAAAAATTTTCTCCCATTCTGTAGGTTGTCTGTTCACTCTGATGATAGTTTCTTTTGCTGTGCAGATGCTCTTTAGTTTAATTAGATCTCATTAGCCAGTTTTTGCTTTTATTGCAATTGCTTTTGGCGTTTTTGTCATGAAATCTTTGCCCATGCCTATGCCCTGAATGTTATTGCCTAGATTTTTTTCTAGGGTTTATAGTTTTGGGTTTTTAAATTTAAGTCTGTAACCCATCTTGAGTTGGTTTTTGTATAAGGTGTAAGAAAGGGGTCCAGTTTCAATTTTCTGCATGTGGCTAACCAGCACTCACAGCATCATTTATTAAACCTATTAGAGAATCTTTTTTCCATTGCTTGTTTTTGTCAAGTTTCATAAAGATCAGATGGCTGTAGGTGGGCAGTCTTATTTCTGAGTTCCCTGTTTAGTTACGTTGCTCAGTATGTCTGTTTTGTACCAGTATCATGCTGAGGAATATGTCTTTCAATCCTGATGGGGCTTTGTAGAACTCAGCACACTTTATTTGAGGAAACAAGAATGCAAATTCAGGGATCAGGGGAGAAGGTTTCAGAAATTTGGAACTGTGATACTTAGAACAGTGATGGAACAGTAGAAGACCTCAATATGTTACTTATTTTAATGAGTGAACAGAATAAGTAGAAGGCATAGGAAGAAATTATATTTTTGGCAATTATGCCTTTGTCTCATGAACTGTATAGTATTTTTAAATTTATTTCAGAGTGATCTGTTGTTATACCAATTGAATTAATTGAGTTAATTGTTGGACATTTGGGTTGGTTCCAAGTCTTTGCTATTGTGAATAGTCAATGGCAGTATTTTTAATGTTGGTCTATTATTGTACTAAATAGTTGTTTATATTGAGCTTGGGAAAGCTTTCGTGTCCAATAGAAATAGCATATTAAAATAAATGCCACTGTATATTAATGAAAGTGTTGATTATATACCCTAGATACTTAAAACTTAAGGAAGTTATGTTTTAATTTTCTTACACATCTCTGTCAATATTTATGGTCAGAGAACTACTCATATCCAAATTTGGCAACTTATCAGTCATGCTCCTTAACCCTTCTGTAATATTTAATATTATCAAATGCCCCATCTTCCTTAATTCTTCTTACCTTTCAATGAGAAATATATTAACTTCTTAATGAACCTGTTAATCTGACTTCTACTTGTCTATTTTGTGATTTCCTTTGACTACCAGTGAAGTTCATTTAGAGAGTCAGTTCCCTAGGTTTTTACTGGGGTCTTATTCACATGGGCTCCTCTACCTGAACACATCCCCAAATTCCAGACTCAGGAGGAAAGCAGGTGTTTAGCATAAACCACGTTGTTTGTACAAACATGGCACAGAGAGCCACTCAGTGAGGGAATGGTGGGAAGCTTCCCAAAATTTAAGTTCCCAGATACCAGCCAGGCATCAACCTCAGAAGCATTCTAAGGGCAGCAGGCTCAAGGTCTGCTTTGTTAGCTCTTTTTCTACACTGATAGGATCAGCCCCAACCAAGCCACATGGCCTAAGAGCAAATCAGGTGTGATATCAGGAAATTTGGAGGACTGGAAAGCCATATCTCAAATATCCACCCCACAGGTTCTTTAGCTCTCTTAATTTGCTTCTTTACCTTAACATCAGGTAAACTATATATCCCTAAGCCTTCCAAGTGTCACCTGTGTGAGACTGTTCTCAATCGATCCTAACAGAATAATCTCTTGACTTCTCACAGAACTTTGTATATATTTTAAAGCAAACAATAAGAAAGCTGATTTTTTTTTCATTGGAAATAAATAGATTTGAATAGTATTACCCCAACATTTTAACTTTGCCTGTTAGGTCAACAAATAAAGCAGAAAAACTGAAAGATAATCCAGTTCCACTGAGAAATTCTGAAGTTCAGAAACTTCAAAAGCTGACAGTTATGGAAAGTGATTTTCTGAAGAGAAGAACATTTTAGGTCAATGTGGACTAAGCTATTTTTATGAGGGGAGAGGATAGAAAATAACCTATTTTACAATGCATAAATAGGCAAAATACAGAAATTGCAAGCCTTAGCTAAAAATGAGTCTAGATTTATATTACATGTATACATGGTATGTTGGTTGAAGTTGCCCAATTAAGTGATTTCTAGACATCAGGGTTAACGTAGCTTAAAAAAAAAGATAACCTGAGATTGCCGAGTGTTGAGGCACTAAAATTCAAAATTTAACCATGTAAGATCTGTTTGTAGCTTCATTCAAAATCCATCTTTTAAGAAGCTTGGTTACATAACTTTTAAGCCTACAGCTCACAAGAATGGAAAAACAGTCAAGTAGAAAGAACCATGTGTTGTTGCAGGGAGCACTGGCTGGGGGTAGTTTTTGTAGGCAGCATGGAAGAAGTCATAAAATTAACCCAGAAAACAGACTAAGAAGTGTCATTTGAAGTGAGGTTGAACAGCTCTATACACCTTAATCTCTTGAAGTTACAGGACTGTCAGTAAAGAACAATGATGGGTTAAATCAGGGGTCAGCATACATTTTCCGTAAAGGGCCACACAGTAAAGACTTTTGGCGTTGTGGGCCACATTTGGTCTCTGTACCGTATTTCTTAAAAAAAAAACAAAACAAAAAGAAAAACCTAAAATTGAAAAAGCCATTCTTAGTTTGCTAGCTGGACAAAAAACAGGCTAGGAACTGGATTTAGCTTGCAGGGTGGAAACTGGATATAGGTGCTGAGAGCCACTGGTTTAGAAAACAAAATTTTCAACTGTCAGCTTTATTTTTTTTAAAAATTTAATTTTTAAAAAATTTTTGTAAATTATTTTATTTCTTCCATGATGATTTAGTGGGACTATCTTCAAACCAGTACAAATATTTCATAAATAATATCTGGCTGTTTTCTAACCAATTGAGTAATATGTTCCACAGTAAGCCACCTCACCTCTTTGAGCAAGAAATACATTAAATTGGAATAGTAAAGACATTACTCAATGGATAAAGACAATTAAAATTTACTTTAAATATTTCTTTCGGGAAGAGGACACCACACTTCTACTCAATGAGTAGAAACATTTTTACAGTCCAGAGGTCTTTTATTTTTTTAACACCTACTATGCCATGAATTCATAGGGAATAAGTTCCAGCAGCTCAGGCTCCTTCCCATCGGTTCTCACAGTGTACTTCGCTGAGTGGAGCAGACTGGCGCTTCAGTTGAATCCAGGTACCTTTGTCTTTGGCTTCTTTTTCTGATTATTTTCCTTCACGCGTTTCAGGAAACTATCTTGGCTCTTAGAGTGCTTAATGTGTTCAATAAGCGCATTAATTCTCTTGGCAAGAATCTTGCCTTTAACTTGTTTGTTTACAATAAGGCCAACAGCATGCCAGGTAACATTGTAGACTCTTCCAGTTTTGCCATGATAACACTTGTGGGGCATTCCTTTTTGAGCAGTACCCATTCCCTTGATGTCTACAATATCACCTTTCTTATAGATTTGCATATACATGGCCAAAGGAAAAACTCTTGTTTTCTAAAACGCTTAGAGACCATATATCGGGTGCCTCTCCTCTTTGCCTTTGTCTTCATCATTTTGGTGAATTACTGGAAGATGGTGGTTCCAGCCGAAAGAACTGTCATATTTATTTGCCTTAAACAATTTATGAAAGTATGAATGCCTTTCAGGAAAATTTTTTCAATTATGAATGTCAAGGGACAGAACTAGGGTCAAGAAACAAATACTTAAAAAAGTTGCTTATTTATATTTTGCTTACTAATGGAGCTTTGTTTTTGCCATTCTTATTTAAATATGTTCACGTAAAATTTTCACCATTAGAGAATAGCTATTTTAAGTCACTTTGCTCATCATTTAACTTGTCTTTTCATATGCTTCCTGTTCCTTTAAGGCTCTTTCTATCTCATAATCTTTAAACCAAATAAAGTATATTAATGAAACAAAATGATTGGCATACAACTTGCGATTCTTGTTGAGATGTTGGAACTACCATGCATACAATTTATCCCATTCTTCCCACTGTTTTTTAAATATTAAAAATAGTAAGGCTCATTAATAACCCAATTTTTAAAAATGGGCAAATGATTAGGACATGCCACGTGTCACATTAGAAGTACTCAACACCATGAGAAGTCAGGGAAATGAAAATGAAAACCATAGTAAGCTACCATTACATACTAACTGAGATGATTAAAGTTAAAAAGACTGACAATACCAAATCTTGGTAAGCATGTGGATCAACTGGAAGTCTTATACACTGGTAGCAGTGTAAAATGGTATGACCAGTCTAGAAAAAAGTTTTAGCATTTTTTTTTATAACTAGTATACACTTTTCCTGTGAGTCAATTCAATTTCTAGCTACTTTCTCAAGAGAAATGAAAACATATTACAAAAAGGCTTATATAAGAATTTTTACAACAGTTTTGTTTTTAATAGCTAAAATCCATCCACTAGGGAATGGATAAACAGATGATGGTATATGATACAGTGGGATTCTACTCAACCATTTAAAAAGTTAACAAGCCAGGTTCAGTGGTGTGCACATGTAGTCACAGCTACTTAGGAGGTTGAGGCAGGAAGATCGCTTAAGCCCAGGAGCTCGAGGCTGCAGTGTGCAATGATCATGCCTGTGAAGAGCCACTGCCCCTACATCTCTAAAATAAATAGTTAAGCAGCATGAATAAGTCTCAAAAATATACTGAATGACCAGGCGCGGTGGCTCACGCCTGTAATTCCAGCACTTTGGGAGGCCAAGGTAGGCGGATCACGAGGTCAGGAGATCAAGACCATTCTGGCTAACGCAGTGAAATCCCGTCTCTACTGAAAATACAAAAAATCAGCCAGGCGTGGTGGCGGGCGCCTGTAGTCCCAGCTATTCGGGAGGCTGGGGCAGGAGAATGGCATGAACCCGGGAGGCGGAGCTTGCAGTGAGCCGAGATCGTGCCACTGCACTCCAGCCTGGGAGACAGAGCGAGACTCCATCTCAAAAACAAGAAAAAAAAGTATATGGCATTCTAGAACAAGAAAATTAAAATATGGTGGAAAAGTTCAGAAAGTAGTTGCACTGAGGAGGAAAGGTTGGATTGCTTGGGAAGGACCATGAGAGAACTCTGGTAGTTATATCCTACATCTTGAATAGGAATTTGCATTACACAGGTAAATACATTTGTCAAAACACATTGAGTTTTACACTGAAGATTTATACCTTTGATTGTATATATAAATTTTTCTTAAGAGAAAAAACTATAAACAAATATTAAACTCTCATCCATGATATGCTTGCCAAAGCACTAAAGGATAAAGTGCACTGATATCTGCAATTTACTTTGAAATGCATAAAAAAATAAGAGGGATGTATAGAGGGATAGACAGATGGACAGATGTGACGCCACAAGCGTAATGAGGCAGAAAAATGGAGTCTGGAGGCAAGGAACCTAAGGCCAATTCACGCTGACTTCCTAGAACTAAATCAAAAGGAAAACCCCAACTTTCCACACATAAGTAACAAAAAAAATGGAGACTACTCCCTTTGCAACCCCTCCCCGCCTTTTTCTGCGTGGCAGATGGAAAATTGAAAATATCTGTGATTGGTTGCTTTCTGCAATCAATCGGACATTTGCATAGGAGTGTAACTTTGTAAGTTTGTGTAACTTTGTAACTTCACTTCAGCCTCTGATTGGTTGCTTTCCACAACCAATCAGACTGACTGCAGGCCCAGTCTTCGTTTGCATAGAAGTATAACTTTGTAACTTCACTTTAGCCTCTGTTTGGTTGCTTTCCACAACCAATCACATGCTTGCGTAGGGTGTAACCTTTGTAACTTCACTTCAGGCTCTGAAGTAGTTGTGTGCCATCTTCATTTCCATAGGGCGCACACCAAGTAACCAATGGGAAACCTCTAGAGGGTATTTAAGCCCCAGAAAATTCTGTAAAAGGGCTTTTGAGCCCCTATCTTCAAGCCCACTCCCAGCCTGTGGAGTGTACTTTTGTTTTCAATAAATCTCTGCTTTTGTTGCTTCATTTTTTCCTTGCTTTGTGCATTTTGTCCAATTCTTTGTTCAAAACGCCAAGTACCTGGACACCCTCCACTGGTAACAATAGTACAACGTTAATTATTCAGGAGGTGGTTATAGAGGTGCTTAGTGTAAAATTCTTTCAGGTTTACTGTATTTTCAAACATTTTTGCAATTTAAATATTGGGAAAATACAATAGTGACATAAAAAAAGAAAATTCAACTATATGCTATAAAATAATACACACCTAAAGCAGAATGACGGAGAAAGATTTTTCACTATAGGAAAAATGTATCCCAACACATTATGTCGTTAGCAAAGATTACCGTGGCAGTTAGGGTATGGTGATTATAGTGGAGGGGAGAGGAGTGGAGGGAGAAAGGGAGACCAAGCAAAAGGAGAAGGAAAAAGGTATATTAACAAAGCTTGCATATTATTACATTTATTTTATAAAATTATGTCTGCATACGGGAATATATGGAAATGGTATAACACTGCAGGATACAGTTAAAGCAGTAATCAAAGGAAAATTTCATAGTTTAAAATTCTTATACTAATTATAGGAATATAAATAAATGAATTAAGCATTCAACTTAGTAAGTTAGAAAAACAACAAACCCAAAGAAAGCGGAGCAAAGGAATTATTTATAATAAAAGCAGAAAAAGAAGAGAGTTGAAAATAAAAAATCTAGCGTAAATAAATAATTAAATGAACAAACAAATCAACAGGCTGATCTTTACAAAGTGTAATAAATAGCTAACTCACAATCTTACCTAATTAATTTTTAAAAAGGAGAGTATTTTGCTTAACTGTATGCCAATGAACTTCAAATGCTGTATAAATTTAATGATTTTTTTACATCATTGACACAAAATAGAAAATCTAAACAGATGGCTTGACATAAAAGAATTTGAGGCTGGCCATTGTGGCTCGCACCTGTAATCCCAGCACTTTGGGAGGCTGAGGTGGGAGGATCATTTGAATCCAGGAATTCAAGACCAGCCTAGGCAACATAGTGAAACTCTTTTCTCCAAAAAATGAAAAAAATTGCCAGCCTGGCACATGCCTGTAGTCCTAGCTACTGGGGAAGCTGAGGCAGGTGGATCAATTGAGCCCAGGAGGTGGAGGCTGCAGTGAGTTGTAATCATGCCGTTGCACCCCAACCCATGATAGAGTGAGACCCTGTCTCAAGAAGAAGAAAAATAGAATTTGAGAAAGTTTGAGAAACGACTATTCTCCCTGAGTTCCTAAGCCTCAGATTCACATGTGAATTCAGCCAAACCCTTAATGAACAGAAAATGCCAATCTTACTTCTGTTGTTCTGGAGGGCACGGAATGAGAGCTGCCATGTTTGTCCATTAAGTTGATATAATAACAATACTAAAACTTCAAAGGTGACAGAATCAAAAGAAAGTATGGACTAATGGCCTTTAAAAAAAGTGTCTAATAGCACATTAAAAGCGTACCCCTTATGGTTCAATATTAGAAACTCCATTAATAGGATTAATCACATTAATAGATTGCGATGCAGAGTACTAACCGCTATTTGATCATGGTGAGCTACTGGGGACAAGGAGAAAAATTTATATTATCTCCATAGATTTGGAAAAAGCACTTAAAATTCAGCATCATTTGCTTTTAATTTAATTTTATTTTAAGTTCTGGAATACATATGCAGGACGTGCAGGTTCGTTACATAGGTAAACATGTGCCATGGTGGTTTGCTGCACCTATCAACCCATCACCTAGGTATGAAGCCCAGCATGCATTAGCTATTTTTCCTGATGCTCTCCCTCTACCTGCCTCCCCTGACAAGCCTCAGTTTGTGTTGTTCCCCTCCCTGTGTTCATATGTTCTCATTGTTCAGCTCCCACTTACAGGTGAGAACATGCGGTGTTTGGTTTTCTCTTCCTGTGTTATTTGCTGAGGATAATGGCTTTCAACTCCATCCATGTCCTTGCGAAGGACATGATCTCATTCCTTTTTATGGCTGCATAGTATTCCATTGTGTATATATGCCATATTTTCTTTATCCAGTCTATAATTGATGGGCATTTTGGTTGATTTCATGTCTTTGCTATTGTGAATAGCGCCGCAATGAACATAAATGTGCACAGATAATAGAATGATTTATATTCCTTGGGGTATATACCCAGTAATGGCATTGCTGGGTCAAATGGTGTTTATGGTTTTAGGTCTTTAAGAAATCACCACACTGTCTTCCCCTATGGTTGAACTAATTTACGCTCCCACCAACAGTGTAAAAGCCTTCCTATTTCTCCACAGCCTCCCCAGCATCTGTTGTTTCTTGACTTTTTAATAATCACAATTCTAACTGTTGTGAGATGGTATCTCATTGTGGTTTTGATTTGCATTTCTCTAATGATCAGTGATGCTGAGCTTTTTTGCATGTTTGTTGGCCCCATGTATGTCTTCTTTTGAAAAGTATCTATTCATATCCTTTGCCCACTTTTTGATGGAGTTGTTTTTTTCTTGTAAATTTGCTTAAGTTCCTTATAGATTCTGGATATTAGACCTTTGTCAAATGGAGCGATTGCAAAAATTTTCTCCCATTCTGTAGGTTGTCTGTTCACTCTGATGATAGTTTCTTTTGCTGTGCAGAAGCTCATTAGTTTAATTGGATTCCATTCATCAATTTTTACTTTTGTTGCAATTGCTTTTGGTGTTTTCATCATGAAATCCTTGCCTGTGCCTCTGTTCTGAATGGTATTGCCTAGATTTTCTTTAGGGTTTTTATAGTTTGGGTTTTGATATTTAAGTCTTTAATCCATCTTGAGTTGATTTTTATATAAGGTGTAAGAAAGGGGTCCAGTTTCCATTTTCTACATATGGCTAGCCAGCACCCCCAGCACCGTTTGTTAAATAGGGAATCTTTTCCCCATTGCTTGTTTTTCTCAGGTTTGTCGAAGATCAAATGGTTATAGATGTGTGGTCTTATTACTGAGGTCTCTATTCTCTTCCATTGGTCTATGTATCTGTTTTGGTACCAGTACCATGCTGTTGTGATCAGGTTCATGTTTGCCTTGTAGTGTAGTTTGAAATCAGGTAACATGATGCCTCCAGCATCTCTTTGCTTAGGGTTGTCTTGGCTATACGGGCTCTTTTCTGGTTCTATATGAATTTTAAAGTAGTTTTTCCTAATCCTGTGATGAATGTCAATGGTAGTTGAATGGGAGTAGCATTAAATCTATAAATTACTTTGTTCGGTATGACCATTTTCACAATATTCATTCTTTGTATCCATGGGCATAGGATGTTTTTCAATTTGTTTGTGTCCCCTCTTATTTCAAAGCAAATACTTATTACAAAGCAGTGCTTATTACAAAGCAGTGCTTTGTAATTCTTCGTGAAGAGTTCCTTCATATCCCTTGTTAGCTGTATTCCTAGGTATTTTATTCTCTTTGTAACAATTGTGAATGAGAGTTAAGTCATGATTTGGCTCTCTGCTTGTCTTTTGTTGGTGTATAGGAATGCTTGTGATTTTTGCATGTTGATTTTGTATCCTGAGACTTCGCTGAAGTTGCTTATCAGCCTAAGGAGCTTTTGGGCCGAGACAATGGGATTTTCTGATATATGATCATGTCATCCGCAAAAGAGAGAGTTTGACTTTCTCTCTTCCTATTCGACTCCTTCCTTCCTTCTTTCCTTCCTTCCTTCCTTCCTTTTTTCTCTTTCTTTCTTTCTTTTTCTTTCTCTCTCTCTCTCTTTCTTTCTTTTCTCTCTCTCTCTTACTCTCTTTCTTTCTTAGTGTCTCACTCTGTCATCCAGGCTGGAGTCCAGTGGCATGATATTGGCTCACTGCAACCTCTGCCTCCTGGGTTCAAGTGATCCTCCTGCCTCAGCCTCCTGAGTAGCTGGGACTACAGGCATGTGCCACCACGCCCAGCTAATTTTTGCATTTTTGGGAGAGACACGGTTTTGCCATGTTGCTCAGGCTGGTCTTGAACTCCTGGGCTCACGTGATCTGCCCACCATGGCCTCCCAAACTGCTGAGATTACAGACATGAACTACCGTGCCCATCCTGAATACCCTTTATTTCTTTCTCTTGCCTGATTGCCCTGGCCAGAACTTCCAATACTATGTTGAATAGGAGTGGTGAGAGAGGGCATTCTTGTCTTGTGTTGGTTTTCAAAGGGAATGCGTCCAGTTATTGCCTATTCAGTATGATATTGGCTGTGGGTTTGTCATAAATGTCTCTCATTATTTTGAGATACGTTCCATCAATACTTAGTTTATTGAGAGTTTTTAACATGAAGAGATGTTGAATTAGGCCTTTTCTGTGTCTATTGAGATAATCTTGTGGTTTTTGTCTTTAGTTCTGTTTATGTGATGAATTACGTTTATTGATTTGCCTGTTGAACAAACCTTGCATCCCAGGGATGAAACCAACTTGATCGTGGTGGATAAGCTTCTGGATGTGCTGCCAGATTCGATTTGTCAGTATTTTTTGCATCAATGTTCATCAGGGATAGTGGCCTGAAGTTTTCTTTTTTTGTTGCTGATAAAGACATTTAATGTGATAGGTATAAAGGGATACTTCTTTAACCTAAGTTGAGTGATTGTTCTATCTCTCCCTTGTCCTTTAATGGTAAAATACAAAGGACATTTCATTATAGACAGGAAGATAAGTCCACTGTCACCACTACTATTTAACATTGTCCTCGTGGCACTCGTGAGTACAAGTGGGAAAGGGAAAGGAAACAGATATATAAATAGACATGTACTAAAATCAGAGTCAGGGATTGCACTGAGTGATACAAGCATGCTGGAAAGCCTGAGTCAGGGATGGTGTTCAGGGACCCTAGGGTACTGACACATGAGGTTGTGTTCTAACTGATATATTTGTTAATATTCTAACATTCTATTACATGATTTCTCTTTCTTTTCTTTTTTCTTTCTTTCTCTTTTTTTCTTTTTCTCTCTTTCTTTTATACAAACACAATTATTTATTAATCAAAGCCATATTTCTATGGCTATATTTACATGTAATAAAGGGATAAAGCATGGACTGGAGAGGGTTCTAATTAAACCAACACTTTGAAATAGTTGCATGTAAAATGTTTTTGATAAAGGTAATTGAATACAGTAATGACAAAAAAAGCAGTAGTAAGGGGATTTGTCCATTGAACTGAGCTTGTTCATTCTGATAACTAATTCTTGTCCAAAGTGATGATGGAGTTTTTATTCTACTTTTTCATAGATCTGAGTACAGGTGACATTGTTTATGATGCAGTCCACCACTAATTTCCTGTCTTTCAATTTTCTTATTTTGCCTTCCTTTCCATTCCACTTCTGATGTCGAACCAATGTGCCATATGTAAAGGTGCAGTCTGAGTTTTTCTGCCGTCACCTGTAGTTTCTTTGAATTTCCCTCCCCTGAGTGTGAGAAAACTGTATGATTTTAAAGTACTCTCCATTTTTATGGTGAGGTTTTTGCCATCAAAAAAGCTAATACAATCTTTTTTGGCCATAGCACCCTTTTTTTCGCAGAGGGCTAGTCCCACTCCTAGTTCCTTCATGTATTTATTATTCATCAAAGCCTTTGCTGTCCATCAGGTGCCCTCTTTCTTCCAGTTGCTGAACAGTGTCCATGGTGGGTGTCAGAAGGTGTGTGGAGTGAGCAGAGCAGGGTCCAGCATGGGAAACATGCTGTGCCCTCTTACATGATGTTATAAGGAAAGAATAGAAGGGCAATGGCATGACAAGAGTGTGGCTGTGTCCTCAGATGCTTCAGGATCCTTCCTGTGTGGACTCTGTCCCTGGATATGGTGCCCACCTTAGGGAGCTAGAGGCTGGGAAGAGGTCCAGCAGTCACCTGCATCTGCTACTGTTCTGTGTGGACACTTTGATCCTGTTAGTTATTATATAGTTATTTCTTGTTTAATTAGAAGGCAAATATTCCAGTTTCATAGTAGACATGTTTGTGGTCCTAAATATATAACCAACTAAAACACAATTGTTGGCCAAAATAAAAAAAATCACTCCAGAAATGTGTAGAATGATGCAATTCATGTAAAAATTTAAAAACATTATACTTTCTATGGCTATATTTACATGTAATAAAGGGATAAAGCATGGACTGGAGAGGATCCACACCTGCTTCATGAGAGTGGTTGCTTCTGTTGAATGAGCGTGCAGAAGTTATCAAAGATGATTTCGGTGTATCTGTAAGGTTTCATTTTCTTCATCTAAACTATATTCATTAATTTAACTTTTTGCTTTGATTTTATTTCTTACATTTCCTTTATTCATGTTTCATTTGGAATCTTTGTCCCTCTGTATCATATAGGTAGAAACCCTCTGTATCATAATAATTTGATTATTTTTACTTCATTATCTATCACTTTAATAATGGTCAACAGGGGCCTGACAGAGGAGCTGAGGTAGCTCCCACCCTTCACCCTGATAAAACCTCAGCACATCTCACTGAGAGCTCCCCCGGCCACCTTCATCAAGCCTGGGACCTCTGCCAACCATTGGGTATTACATCTACACATCTGCCTTAGCTACTACCAGTGCTTACCCAAGGACACCTCCCCTAATTGGTCTAAAGCCTGAATCATCAACTCAGTAAATAAAATACTGGGGAAAAAGTAAATAAATAAATAAACTGTATACCTTGAGAGAATGAGATAAGCTTCAAGAGATCCCTGCCATTCCAACCCTATAGGAGACAGTGAACTTGCCCATGCACCAAGTATATAACTACTACAACCAGCATCTGGGAAAGCCAGTGCACAAGACTCTCTGTAACTAAGGAATTCATATAGAGTGTTCACTCTTAAAAGCACCAAGAATCAAATTAGGCTAAAATAAACTATAAGCATTAAAGTCATATGCTTAAAAAAACACAGTCCAATTAAAAATAAATTCAAGAACAATTTGAAGAAATAGTCTACCCAAGTGAGAAGGAAGCAGAAAAGTAAATCTGGCTAATATGACAAAACAGAGTTCTATAACACCCCCCAAAATATCACACTAGCTCTCCAGCAATGGATCCAAATCAAGAACAAATCTCTGAAATGCCAGATAAAGACTTCAGAAGGTTGATTATTAAGCTACTCAACGAGGTACCAGAAAAAGGTGAAAACCAACATAAATAAATTTAAAAAGTCCAGGATATGAATGAAAATGTTTCCAGAGAACTAGATATCATAAAAACAATCAGAACTTCTGGAAATGAAAGACACTCTTAGGAATATATAAAATGCAGTAGAAAGTTTCAAAAATAGACTAGAACAAGAAGAAAAAGGAAAGTCAGAGCTTGAAGACAAGGCATTTGAATTAACCCAATCAGACAAAGAAAAAAGAATTTTAAAAACTGAACAAAGTCTCCAAGAAATATGGGATTATGTAAAATGGCCAAACCTAAGAATAATTGGTATTTGTTTTTTTTTTTTTTGAGATGGAGTCTCGCTCTGTCGCCCAGGCTGGAGTGCAGTGGTGTGATCTCGGCTCACTGAAAGCTCTGCCTCCCGGGTTCACGCCATTCTCAGAATAATTGGTATTTCTGAGGGAGAAGAGAAGTCTAAAAGTTTGGAAAACTTATTTGAGGGAATAATTGAGGAAAACTTCCCTGACCTTGCTAGAGATCTGGACATGTAAATACAAAAAGCTCGAAGAACACCTAGGAAATTCATTGGAAAAATATCACCATGGCACATAGTCATCAGTTTATTTAAAGTTAGGACAAAGGAAAAAATTTTAATAATTGTGAGACAAAAGCATCAGATAATCTATACTGGAAAACCTGTCAGAGTAACAACAGATTCCTCAGCAGAAACCTTATAAGCCAGAAGGGATTAGGGTCTTATCTTTAGCCTCATTAAACAAAATAATTTTCATCAAGAATTTTGTATCCAGCAAAACTAAGCTTCATAAATGAGCAGAGATAAAGTCTTTTTCAGACAAACAAATGATGTCAAACCCGCACTACAAGAAATGCTAAAAGAAGTTCTAAATCTTGAAACAAAAGTTTGAGATACACCAAAATAGAACCTCCTGAAAGCATAAATGTTATAGGGCCTATAAATTTACATTCAATGTTAATATTGAGATGTGAGGTGCTATTCTATTCATCATGTTACTTGTTACCTAGATACTTTGTTTTTTTCATTGTATTATTTTTGGGTTATGATTGGGTTAATTCAAACACCTTGTCTTCAAGCTCTGACATTCCTTCTTCTACTTGTTCTAGTCTATTTTTGAAACTTTCTACTGCATTTTGTATATTCCTAAGAGTGTCTTTCATTTCCAGAAGTTCTGATTGTTTTTCTTTATGATATCTAGTTCTCTGGAAACTTTTTCATTCTTATCCTGGATTTTTTTTTATTTATTTATGTTGGTTCTCACCTTTTTCTGGTACCTCCTTGAGTAGCTTAATAATCAAAGACACAAGGAAAAAAACAAAATATCTAGGTAACAAGTAATATGATGAATAGAATAGTGCCTCACATCTCAATATTAACATTGAATGTAAATGGCCTAAATCCTCCACTTACAAGATACAAAAGGGCAGAATGGATAAAAAATCACGAACCAAATATCTGCTGTCTCCAACAGACTCATCTAACACATAAGAACTCACATAAACATAAGGTAAATGGGTGGAAAAAGATATCTCATGCAAATGAAAACCAAAGGTGAGCAGGAGTAGCTATTGTTATATCAGACAAAACAGACTTTAAAGCAATAACAGTAAAAAAAGACAAAGAAAAATATTATATAATGATAAAAGGATTAGTCCAACAGGAAGATATTACAATCCTAAATTTATATCCTAACACAAGAGTTCCCAGATTTATAAAACAATTACTACTAGACCTAGAAAATGAGATAGAAAACAAGACAATAATAGTGGGGACCAATATTCTAATGACAGCACTAGACAGATCATGAAGACAGAAAGTCAACAAAGAAACAGTGGACTTAAACTATACCCTAGAACAAATGGACTTAACAGATATTTACAGAACATTCTACCCAACAACTGCAGAATATACATTCTTCTCATTAGCACATGGAACATTCTCCAAGAGGGACTATAAGATAGGCCACAAAAGTCTCAATAAATTTAAGAAAATTGAAATTATACCAAGCACCCTCTCAGACTACAGTGGAAAAAACTGGAAATCAACTACAAAAAGAACCCTCAAAACTGTACAAATAAATGGAAATTAAATAGTCTGCTCTTGATTGATTTTTGGGTTAACAATGAAATCAAGATGGAAATTTAAAAATTCTTTGAAATCAATTATGACAGTGACACAATTTATCAAAACCTCTGGGACACAGCAGAAGCAGTGCCAAGAGGAAAGTTCATAGCATTAAATTCCTACATCAAAAAGTATGAAAGAACACAAATTGACAACATAATGTCACACCTCAAGAAACTAGAGAAACAAGAACTAACTAAACCCAAACCCAGCAGAAGAAAAGAAATAACAAAGATCAGAGTAGAACTAAATGAAATTGAAATAAACAAAATACAAAAGATAAATGAAACAAAAAACTGTTTCTTTGAAAAGATAAACAAAATTGATGGACCATTAGCAGTATTAACCAAGAAAAAAAGAGAGAAGATCCAAATAAGCTCAATTAGAAACGAAACTTGGGATACTGCAACCAATATCACAGAAATACAAAAGATCATTCAAGGCTATTGTAAACAGCTTTATGTGGACAAACTAGAAAACCTAGAGGAGACGGATAAACTTCTGGAAATATACAACCCCCCTAGACTAAACCAGGAAGAAATAGAAACTCTAAAAGACCAATAACAAGTAGTGAGATTGAAATAGTAATAAAAAAAATTGCGAAAAAAAAAAATTCCAGGACCAGATGGATTAACAGCTGAATTCTATTAGACATTTAAAGAAGAATTGGTACCTATCCTACTGAAACTATTTCAAAAGATGAGAATTAGAGAATCCTCCCTAAGTTGTTCTATGAAGCCAGTATCTCACTAATATCAAAACCAAGAAAAGACATAACAAAGAAAGAAAACTACAGACCTATATACCTGATGAACATAGATGCAAAAATTCTCAACAAAATACTAGCTAACCAAATTCAACTGCATATCAAAAATATAATACATCATGATGAAGTGGGTTTCATACCAGGGATGCAGGGGTGGTTTAACATATGCAAGTCAATAAATGTGATACATCACATAAACAGAACTAAAAACAAAAACATATGATCATCTCTATAGTTGTGGAAAAAGCATTAGATAAAATCCAGCATCCTTTTATGATAAAAACTCTCAACGAAATAGGCATGGAAGGGACTTACTTCAAAGTGATAAAAACCATCTATGACAAAATTATAGCCAACATTGTACTGAATGGGCAAAAGTTGAAAGCATTATCCCTGAGAACTGGAATGAGACAAGGATGCCCACTCTCACCACTTCTATTCAACATGGTACTGGAAGTCCTGGCCTGATCAATCAGACAAGAGAAAGAAATAAAGGGCATCCAAATCGGGAAAGAGGAAGTCAAATTGTTACTGTTTGCTGATGATATGATCGTATACCTAGAAACCCTTAAAGACTCCTCTGGAAAGCTCCTAGATCTGATAAATGAATTCAGTGAAGTCTCAGGATACAAAATCAATGTACACAAATCAGTAGCACTGCTGTACATCAACAATGACAAAGCTGAGAATCAAATCAAGAACTCAATCTCTTTTACAACAGCTACAGAAAAGATTCTTAGGAATATACTTAACAAAGGAGGTGAAGGATCTCTACAAGGAAAATGACAAAACACTGCTGAAAGAAATCATAGATAACACAAACAAATGGAAAAACACCCTATGCTCATGAATGGGAAGAATCAATACTGTGAAAATGACCATATTGCCCAAAGAAATCTACAGATTCAATGCAATTCCCATCAAAATACCATCATCATTCTTTACGGAACTAGAAAAAACAATCCTAAAATTCATATGGAACCAAAAAAGAGCCCACATAGCCAAAGCAATACTAAGCAAAAAGAACAAATCTGGAGACAGCACATTACCCAACTTCAAATTATACTACAAGGCTATAGTTACCAAAACAGCAAGGTACTGGTATAAAAATAGGCACATACACCAATGGAATAGAATAGAGAACACAGAAATAAAGCCAAATACTTACAGCCAACTGATCTTTGACAAAGTATACAAAAATATAAGTTAGGGAAAGGGCACCCTATTCAATAAATGGTGCTGGGAAAACTGGCAAACCACATGTAGAAGAATGAAACTGGATCCTCATCTCTCACCTTATACAAAAATCGACTCAAGATGGATCAAAGACTTAAATCCAAGACCTGAAACCATAAAAATTCTAGAAGATAACATTGGGAAAACTATTGTAGATATTGGCTTAGGAAATTAATTCATGACTAAGACCCCAAAAGCAAATGCAACAAAAATAAAAATAAATAAATGGTACATAATTAAACTAAAAAGCTTCTGTACAACAAAAGAAAGAATTAGCAGAGTAAAAGACAACCCATAGAGTGGGAGAAAATCTTCACAAACTATGCATCTGACAGTGGACTAATATCCAGAATCTACATGGAACTCAAACTAATCAGCAAGAAAAAAACAAATAATCCCATCAAAAAGTGGGCTAAAGATATAAATAGACAATAAAAGAAGATATATAAATGGACAACAAACGTATGAAAAAAATGCTCAGCATCACAAATTATTAGAGAAATGCAAATTAAAACCACAGTGAGATACCACCTTACTTCTGCAAGAATGTCCATAATTAAAAAGTCTAAAAACAATAGATGTTGGTGTGGATGTGGTGAAAAACAATTTTACTCAGCTGGGGGGAATGTATATTAGTACAACCACTATGGAAAGCAGTATGGAGAGTCCTTGAAGAACAAAAGATAGAAATACCATTTGATCCAGCAATCCCACTAGTGAATATCTACTCAGAGGAAAATAAGTCATTATATTAAAAAGATACATGCACATGCATGTTCATAGCAGCACAATTTATAATTGCAAACATATGGAACCAACCTAAGTCCCCATCAACCCATGGGTAGATAAATAAAATATGGTATATATACACTGTTGAATACTATTCAGCCATAAAAAGGAATGAAATAGTGTCTTTTGCAGCAACTTGGGTGGAGCTGGAGGCCATTATTCCAAGTGAAGTAACTCAGGAATGGAAAATCAAATATCATATGTTCTCACTTATAAGTGGGAGCTAAACTATGAGGATGCAAAGGCATAAGAATAATATAATGGACTTTGGAGACTTGGAGGGGAAGATTGGGAGGTGGGTGAGGGATAAAAGACTCACCCACAGGGTTACCTGGTTATCTATGTAACAAAAAACCACCTATACTCCAAAAACTATTGAAATAAAAGTAACAATTAATTAAAAAAAGTGGCCAGCAGGGAGAACACAGAAAAGGTGAGTTGAATTAGGAAGGAGCTACATACTCCAAGGACAGTTGAAGGCTTCTTCTTCCTTTCTGTTCCAGCTGTTCATCTGTTCCTCCAAATAGTCTTCCCATATCTTTTCTATTTGGCTCTTGTGAAAGTTGATAATATGAATTGTGTCATTCTTGTCATAGCCAACTAAATCTGAGTCAAGAGGGCAGGCGGGAAAATCACTTGAGGCACAGAGCACCTGCTCCAAGAACTGAATTTTCCACAAGCCTGGCTGCTGAAACAGCTAGCTGTAACCCAAAGAGCAGTTTTACCTTGTAGCTGCTGAAATGACTGGGTGTGACGCTAAGACTAGTTGTACCTACCACCGTCACTTACCAGTCAGAGCTTGCCAGCTTTCGAAAGCTTCTCTAGTGCTGATGAGATTTCTTTCAAAACAGTACATAACATTGATCTTTCTAATAAAACTCCCAATCTTCTCTTTGTTCTTTGGACATGCCGAAGACTGCCTGGTCTGTGTATGCCCTGAATTGCAATTCTGTGATTCCCAAATAAAATATTACATTTAGAGATTTGTCTCTGTTTTCATTTTAATTTTGATACTCTTGAAAAAAACAGACAGCATCCAGGGACAATAGCAGTTCTTTCCCTTAATCATATATATAAATTCTAAGATGCTTGTTTTTTCACATTCTCACATCTCTGAAATTAGTTTGTATCTTACAATTGATGATTCTTAGGTGCAATGAGCCATGATAGAAGATATAGCCCTGTACAATGGGGTAGTTACTGCTTCTCCTGCACACTGATGGCTCCACATTTATGTAACTCCAGCTAAACCTCGGTCCTGATCACTGCTTCCTACCCTGCAATTCCCCTAGATACCTCAGGTGTTTCAAAAACGGAACACACTCACAACTGAAAGCACACTTTTTCCCTCTCATCCAGAGCTGCCTGTAGGCCACAGGGCACTCTTTTGTGTTAAAAATACATGCTCACCGCTGCAGGTAAGTAGGGCCTTGTGAAAATTAGAAAAGGTCATCCCACTCCCACAGTAGTGCAGTTAAAATGGCACAGCACATGATGTGGCCCTGCTCCTACCTGCCCACCCGTATGCATTCCCTAGATCAGTGAGTGGCCCCAGCCCCAGCATCCACTCGGTTTTCCAACTGGCTGCTCAGATAATGTCTTGGATCTTCCCTTTTCATCCCGATCAACATTTATGAATCACTACATTCTATTATAGGAAATACTGCTGTAGATGTTTCACTTCTGAATTGTTTTCTTAGATTAAAACATTTAGGAATGGAATTGTTGGAGACCACGTGTTTTTATGTTTATGAATGGTGAGTTCTGTCATAAAATAAAAGTAACACCCTATACAAGTCAAAGCCTATTGATTAGGCATTCTTTATTTCCCAGGTTTATTAAATTTTGTGTCCAAGTAGGAAAAGGCAGTAAGACTTAGACCTCTGATTCAAATGAGGTGGCTGTGGGAGTAACTGAGACAAGAAGTAAGCACACTAATTCTGTGTGCAGATGATGGACCAGGAGGAGACTCCTGCTTCTGATTGGGAATGGACACTATCAGAATATTCCGTCCTGCTCACAGAATATATTATAAGGATATCGGTAGTTCTGTGTGCTAAAATGACTTGAATCTTTCGCCCTTTTGAATAATCAGTTGAAGTTGGGGCTCACTGACAACCAAACCTCAGCCCAGGTCACCCTCATGTCCCAAGGGAGGACACCAGAACAGTGAGAAGATTTCACATTGGAGCCCAGATTGGCATATTAGAGGTGATTGGTACTGCTACTTTCTGGCCCGCTGCACACTATAAAATAGTCTTCTCTTCTTTTTCCTATGCCTGGTTAAGAATACACAGTTTGGCACATGAGGGCAGGTCAGGACAGACTGAAACAAACCATTTTCTCTCATGCTTTACCTTGAAGCTTAATTAGTTGGCTCTACCAGAAATATGTGCTCCATGTGGCTATACTGATTCTCAAATAGCAGTTTTCAACACCACCAATGGCTAGTACTGATTGAACAAATATTTACTGAACTAATGTTTACAGGCCCTGGCGATTTCTATATAAATAAGGAAGAGAGAATATCTGCTTTTGAGCAGCTGATTGCATTGAATGAGTGAATCCAACTTTATCGTTATTTCTTAAAGATTATGATCATTTAAAGACATTCTTACTCTTTAGCAGACATTTGGTGGTTTCTCAGGTTTAAGTTGCATTTTTAAATTATTTAGAGAATAAATTCTTTTCCAACAGTTGTTTAAGAAATATGCATTTCTCCACATGTGAATTATCAGTTTCTATTCTTACTGTTGATAATTTTAAAAAGTCCCATCTGGCAAATGGCAATGAAACTCTGAGAAGTTAAATGAGTTGTTCCAGGTCACAGTGGGAGAGATAGAGGTATCAAAGTTAGATCAAGAAGCAAGGTCACCTGCCTCTTAGTTTGTGTTGATTCTACTAAGCATTCTAAGCGATACCTCTAAACATATCTTTTCAGCCTCATTTTAAAGGATAATATGCTTTGTCTTAAAATCTCTCCTTAAGGCGAATGTGCTGTGAAGAGGGCTGTCTCTAAAAGCTAGCTGTACTTTCACTCCATAATTTTGGAATTATAGAACATTATCTAACTGAAGGGCTGGGGATTGTATTTCTTGGTATTTGTGGTATTCTTGGACCAAAGAAGTCCCTTTATCTTTGACATTTTAAACTTCTGACTTTCCTTACAGAGTTGAAAATGTGCCCCTAGCTTATACCTTGTTAGTGCCTTTCTTTATGTATTAAGGTTTCATTCCTTAAGTGTCTTTTTACAACACCTCAGGGACTCATCTCTTCTAGACCTCCACCCCCCTCTTTTACACTCCATATGCAAACAAATATATTTTGTATTTTTACTGATAAAATCTTATAGTTGGTATTTGTCAGGGTTCTCTAGAGGGACAGAACAGGAGAGATGTATATATAAAGAGGAGTTTATTAAGGAGAGTTGACTCACACGATCACGAGGTGAAGTCCCACAATAGGCTGTCTCCAAGCTGAGGAGCAAGGAAGCCAGTCTGAGTCCTGAAACCTCTTAAGTAGGGAAGCCCACAGTGCAGCCTTCAGTCTGTGGCCAAAGGCCTGAGAACCCCTGGAAATCTTTGGTGTAAGTCCAAGAGTCCAAAAGTTGAAGAACTTGGACTCTGATGTTCAAGGGCAGGAAGCATCCAGCATGGCAGAAAGATGAAGTCCGGAAGACTCAGGAAGTCAAGTCCTTCCACATTCTTCTGTCTGCTTTTATCCTAGCAGAGCTGGCAGCTGATTAGATAAGATGGTGCCCACCCAGACTGAGGGTGGGTCTGCCTCTCCCAGTCCACTGACTCGAATGTTAATCTCCTTTGGCAATATCCTCACAGACACACCCAGGAACAATACTTTGCATCCTTCAATCCAATCAAGTTGACACTCAATATTAACCATCACAGTTGGCAAAGATAAATTGTCTCTTGAATTAAATTCAGTTTATAACTATTTTAAAGAATAACAGCTACAAGTCTGAGACATGGGCTATTTACTCCGATTTCTATACAATAGCTTATCTATATTTTCTTTGTGGATCTTAAAAGTAAAATAATTACCATTATAAACACACTGAATTGCTGTAGAATTATGATTTTATCATTCAGCCATTTAAAAAAATCAGTTTTCAAATCTCCTAATTAAATTAATTAAAATGTTTAGTTGCTTTTTATAAATTCAATGATAATTAGTCTAATCATTTATTCAACAATTAAACTACAACAGAAATGAATTATTCAGAGCTTCATATTCTTTGTAAAGGCATTGAATTTTCTAAGTTCACTTCAACTCAACTCCACTGAAAATCAGCTCAAAACACAGGAAAGCAAATGAATATATTAGAAGTTCTGATGATCAATGGGACCTGTTTTCATGCTTAATTTCACTTTTATATGTCAAAGAATGGGTTTCATCATGATATTTCACTCCAAGGAGAGCATTAATTTATCATTATAAAGGTATCTGATATAATAATGTATTGACATAATTAATTGGTAGAATTAATATAAAGAGATTGTCCATTGCTAAAATGGATTAATGAATGTCTCAACTCAAGAAAATATGCAGACAGCTAGGAATAGCTCCCTAGTTTTGTGAGCTACCTTACCTGCTCAGGCTTATATATATTCCCTTTCTCACTTAAAGAAGGGAATGGTCTCCCTTGGCTGAAAGCTCAAGTCCATTTGCTGCTGGCAACTTGCCATGAGAACTGGGAAAGTCACTCTCCAGGCTTGCTTCCTAGCTGTTAATTTAAGAGCTTGCACTAAGTCATGGCTAGAACGTCTTCTGGTTTCAAGATTTTAGGAGTCCATAAGCATTAGAGTTTCAGCCTTGCTTTGAAATCAAGTATTTTACTTTATCAAGTAAGAGTTACACTGTATATGTATACATAACGAAAAGCAAGTGATGAAAAGGAGAAAATGGTATGATTAACATGTTAACAGTACTGGTGGGGCGAAGGTGGTGGAAACCCAAGTTTTTTAGCCCTCCTGGTCACCTCTCATTTAATATTTAAATCAAAAGAGCTTGCTTGAGTCCTTATTCTGCTTACATGAGAAATTAAAACCCCGACTTCTGATTTCATGAAGTTATTAGTCTCTCATCTCACCTCATTCAGCTATTCCCTTCTTTCATCATTGCATTGAATCCAAATGTGGAATAGCATTCTTTTTCATTGATATTTTCCACCAAACCACACCATATGTACTAGACTTACTGAAGTGTTAGGCTCAACATACAGCTAAGCTTAGCAGGCTGTTTGCACTCTAATTCTTTGAAGTGCTTGGCCAATCCCACTGCTGAAAAGTCACAAACCAGAGACCCCTCTCACATCTGCCCTCCTCATATCCCATACCTCCAGAAGCTCCCAACTTCTCCCACTTTATTATGCATAAGTGTTTAGCTCTGTTTCTCAACCAGGCCATGAGAGTGTTTCTTTTCACAGCTGATGATGGTGTTAACACGTAGATAACTAAACAAAGACGTTTCTCTCCATATGAGGAATTCTGCCTCTAGGTTACAAGTTTTTTTCCTTCTAGGCAAAGTGGGATGGCAAGGTAGGAAAGAGTGAGCAGGAAACATGGAGGTGGCTTGGAAAGAAGGAGGCCAAGAAAGGGAAATACTATCCCTGAGTTGCCCACCACTGGCAGCATGCTGTGTTGAGGGTCTTACAAATATTATCCCAGTCAATCATCTCAACAATATAATCTACCTATGAGGTAGATTATGTAATTGCCCCCCATTATAAAGATGAGTACACAGGTTTGGGGAGGTTAAGTTGCTCAACATCATATTGCTATTAAGTGGCAGACTTGAGATCTGAATATAGGCAGTCTTTTTGCTTAATCACTGTAAAATGCTGCTTTGTCTATTATGCTGGTCTGGCACGTACATTATTGCATTTTATTCCCATGAGCTACGTGCAATTTTCATCATTATTTTCTGAAAAGTAAACTTTTCCAAAGTCACAAAGTTAGGATGTAATGGCACCAGGAATCAAACCCAGCTCACTCAGCTCCAAAGTCTATGTGGCATGATAGGCTTTCCACTGAAAATATTAATGTACCTATACTTTTACTTGAGTTTAACAAGCAGAATTTATAATAATTTTATTAAAAATTTTGCAAGGTTTTGTAATAAACATCACAGATTTGCTCCTTAAGAACATTAAGTTGCCAGGCACGGTGGCTCACGCCTGTAATCCCAGCACCTTGGGAGGCCGAGGCGAGCACATCACGAGGTCAGGAAATCGAGGCCATCCTGGCTAACACGGTGAAACCCCGTCTCTACTAAAAATACAAAAAAAAAAAAAAAAAAAATTTAGCCGGGCGTGGTGGCGGGCGCCTGTGGTCCCAGCTACTTGGGAGGCTGAGGCAGGAGAATGGCGTGAACCCAGGAGGCGGAGCTTGCAGTGAGCCGAGATCGCGTCACTGCACTCCAGCCTGGGTGACAGAGCAAGACTCCGTCTCAAAAAAAAAGAACATTACGTTTACAGTGTAAACAATAGAAAGAAAAGGAGAAGGAATGCTTCAAAGAAGATGAAAGAAAACACCTTTAGATAGTAAAGATACAATTGGGCAAGAAATGCACACAGTTGGGATTGTGAGGTACTAGTATGCTAATTTCAGGATTTTAAACCCATGGATTCTAGTAGGAAACATCTTACTGTGTGCTTTAACTTGATGAAAATTAACTGGCAAGTATGAAAACATACATTGTTGTTATTTTAAATGTTGCAACTAAAATACGGAGTTTTTGCTGTCTTTTGAAATTAGAATGCCCACAGAAATATTTTACCTGTAAAAATTACAGAAAAGGCTGACAGGCAATTTGAGTCTGTTCTTAATGAGTAGCCCACCAGAGAAATGAAAAGAATTTAGAACCAATTGACTCTAATGCATCGGGGCCATCCCAATGAATGCTTCAGTCCCTTTTTTTGAAGTACCTGACATGTGTTTGTGCAGCCTCTGCTTGGTCCCCTCTGTGGATGGAGAACTCTGTTTTGTCTTAGGCAAGTAGGCTGTCGTGAGTATTAGAAAATTCAGTGCAGTGATAAAATGTGTTTCCTGATATATTCTGTTCATTTTGGATTTTGCTTAATGAAATGGGAGAATAAATTTATCCTGCTCTGTAGTGTTGGTTTAAATCCTTCGTTTTTTGAAATGTGGTCTTGCTCTGTTGTCCAGGCTGGAGTGCAGGGACACAATCATAGCTCACTGCAGTCTTGAACTCCTGGTCCCAAGTGATCCTTCTGCCTCAGCCTCCTGAGTTGCTGGGATTACAGGCTGAGACACCGTACCTGGTTCCTAAATCCTTTTTAAAAGGGAGGGAATGTGGTCCAATAGAAATGATGTTAGACTTGGGTCTCAGGGCCAGTTGTACGATACCTGAGGATCTGTTCTCTTGACTGTTCTCTTTGCCCATCTCATGGGGTTGCTTTAAGAGTCAAATGAGAATAAATATGAAAGTGTCTTAATAACAGCAGCTGATAGCTGTCCTTTATGGTTTATAAAATTGGTGCAGACAGTGCTCTAAATGTAAGCAGATAAGTCTAGAGTTCAGTAATTCAGAAACTTTAATTACACAAGAATTGTCAAGACATGGACACTGTGGGCATAAGTTTGTCTGTGTGGGGATGGGGGTGGGTTCTGGTTGTCAAAGGTCTGACACCAGAAGAAGGAACACATGTTCCAATCTACCTGCAGATGGGTCAGATCCTTCTCATGGGTGATGATCCCAGGCGAGGCTCTGTGTTCCTTAGCCTGATTCCCTTGAGGGTTGTGGACCTGATTGATTCCAGCAGGTGGATTGTGACTATAGGACCCGGCCTAGTTTTGTCCACCTTTTCCACAGTGAGACTTTAATCCCCACATGAGGGTGAAGGGCCTGACCTATGGAGCAGATTTCGGAGACTCAACCATTATCTGCCTACCTCCTGTCATTGGTGGCTTAGTTTTCTTAACACTATGTTCTGCTTTTGGATGGGATTCAGCTAATATCAAACCATTTTCTAAACAATGCTTCAGGTTTTTAAACTTCTGAGATTCTATGTCTTAGACCACTGGTCCTCAAAATATATAGTCCCTGAATCAGTAGTATCAACATCCCCTGGGAACTTGTTAGAAAGGCAAGTTTTGGGGTCCCGGTCCAGATCTACTGAATCAGAAACTCTGGGGATAGAATCCAGAAGTCTGTATTTTAACAAGCCCTTCAGGGGATTCCTATGCTGATTAAGGTTTGAGAGCGCTGTCTTGGACTGTCTGGTTGCCCTCTGTGCAGGCAATTTAGGCCACATCACCTCCTCCTTCTCCCTGTCCTAGTCACAGAGAAGGGTTTCTGCTTGATGTCAGCTTGCACTGCATTTCTACCAGCCTGTTGTTAAAATCCATCAAAAGGATCACCACTGTATCTATATATAAATAGTCTAGGTTAACAACAACAAAAAAGAATCATAAAAAGAAAAGTAAATAGTCTAGGTTAAGAGTACCGCAGGGGCATGTTGACCCACATATTTTGATGCTCTAATTTACAGATGTCCATCCTGATCTGAATTAACTGGGCACTTATATTGCAATGACACATAACATACAGTTCCTTCAAAAATGAAAGAAAGGCCACTGAAGATGTTGGACTTGGGGTGAGGGGGCACAAAGGGCGGGAAGTCAGTTAGGGTAATAGCCTATTTCACACGTAAGATAACTTTCCTGTACTTTCTTCTTTTCTCCTCTTCGTTTTCCTTCTAGTTGTGTTTTCCTTTCTTCTCACAGGAACAGATGAGTAGTCTGACAATGTTATTAGCCAATGAAAAAAAGAGAACATTACCTTATTTATAGACTTTTGGCATTAATATCCAGAGGTTTAAATGTGAAAGCTAAGGTGGGGCTTCATGTGTTCTACTTAATTTCCTCAGGAATAACAAAATGGGAGCTACAATACATCTTTGTTTAGCTGCTATGGTTTTCATTAAATTTAATTAAGTCTCCCAGAAGCTTTAAATTTAGGCCACTTCAAAATGCAGGTGGCTTCTGTTAAATGTAATTATATTCCCTTTATAGCTGCCATGGTTTGGGAAAGCTGAGCTGTCAGACTTCAAATCTTTAATGAGTTCACCAGTGCTTTGGTTTCAGAATCCATTTCCAAGCAAAGCTTTGATTTCCCTCCCTCTCTCCTTCCCTTCTTCTTCCCCTCCCTTCCTCCTCCTTCCCTTCTTTCTTCCTCCTTTCCTCCCTCCCTTCCTTCTTTTCTCCCCCCTTTCTTCCTTTCCCTTTTGCAGAAGGCTGAGGCTAATATGAATCTAGCAAAAGCTTACAACCTCACTAATGAACTGAGGTCAACACTTCAGAGGTTAGTTCTCCCAGAGGTATTCTAAGCCAGTCTGGTTGACCAGCGGGGCAGGTGTATGAGGCAGGCAGGGGTCCTTGAGTTCAGTAGGTTATCTGTCCAAAGAGCCAAGGGGCCACAAGTCTGGCAGGGATGAGAACAAATGTCTGGCGCTGCCTTAACAGCAACCACCGCTGCCAGAGTGGATGGGGACTTACATGCACGGAGCTCCCCTTCACCTTCTGTTTAATCCTTTTTCCTTTGATCCAAGTACATCCTTTTTATTTTTAGATTTAGAAAGGAGTTAGTGCTAATTTCTTGTGAAGTTAGTACAATAACATTGCAGAAAGCCTCTGATCAGTGTTTCCCAATGACAAATTGAGTCACAAAAAGTAACTTGCTCAAGTCACACAGAATAGAATCTCAGTTTTCTGAACCCCCATCTATGTGCAGTCCTGCAAATTGAGGTGGGCTTAGGGAGTAGGAGGAGGAGGATGAGGAGTTATTAACAAGCTAGAGGGTGCAAAACTTTTTTCAGGATCCAACGTTTTCATATGAAAACAGTTCCTCCTCAGAGATCCCAGAACAACTATTTTCTGTAATTGTGCTGAAGTTTCATCTCAGCATTTCTGTCACCTACCTAAGAGCATAATATATCATTGTAAAGGTAATGAGAGAAGGTTGTCATGAGTTTGCTAAAGTTCAAATATTTTTGTATTCTTGATATCAACTACATTTCCCTGCGTCTGAATATAGATTATCTAGGTCAATGCAATTTATTTGCAGGTAAACAATTTTCTTTTAAAGTTGCAAGCAGATTTCTGTACTACTTTTGTACACTTTAATTCCAACTATAATGTGGCACACATTTAATGACATGCATAATTGTTATTGTGAATTGTGGTCACTGGGGAAAAATGGCAAGGAGTTGAAATAAACTGTTTTAATTGGTGGTATTTCTACACAGCCAAGCAAATCAAATGTGTAAGTTTTATTTCTCTTTGATAGCTGTTCATTATCTATAATCAGCATTACTGTAATCGATTTTTCAATATTATCAATTTTTATTTTATTCATACAAAGTAAAAACATTTCTCTCCAATTCAGGATTGAATATGGACTAGGTATTAGATGATATCACGGAATTTTATTAAGTATAGTAATAAAAATTCTATTTTATTTTGGTGTTGTAATTATGTAAAAAATCCTCATGTTATATAAAAGCACACTGAATTTTATAGCATTGAAGTGATATGATAGTTGTTTATACTACTCTCTCTACTTTTGTGCATATTTGAACATTTTCATAATAAAAAGTTAGCCCCCTCATATATGTGCATGCTATAATGCAAAGCATGGATCTAATCCACGCATATATGAGGTTGCAGTCATGGGCCCTGTATTCAAGATGGCAGTCATTGCTGGTTCTCCCATAGCGCCTTCTTAGGACTGTTCTGCTCAGGCTCTTTTTTTGCTTTTTTCTTTTACTCAGCATAATTCTTAGGTTCCCATCACCCAGGCTCTTGATATCAATTTAACACTAAATTCTCTTCCCTAACACCCTGAATTCCAGGACATAGCAGATTCAGGTAAAAGGCCCTGCTGTGGCCTTAGACCTAAGCTATGTTTTCCAATTCTGTTTACCAGAGCCCCTCATTTAGGGAAATCACTTGGCATTTGTGTCACCTAGCAAAGGCTATTGACAGAGTGACCTAGGGAAGTCTGAGAAATGCCAGCGCTACTTCCCAGTTTTTGTGACAACCAGAATGACCCCCAGATGTCCAAATTGGCCCAGGCCCCTGGCATGTGGGTAGCTAGTTCTAGGGTGGGTAGGGCTGAGAGGATGGGAAAGAAGGAGCAGTCTCTGCACTCAGACTGAGACTGCGTGAAAGCTGGGCTCCTCATGCTGGGGAAGGAAGGGTTCCAGTCCCTCAAGCTGTGTTTATGGCATGCCACTTGCCCCTGGCTCATGCCTTCCACCCACCATTTCCCCCTCCATCTCCAGAAAATCGTTAAGCGCTCCCTACACATTTTCCCTTCATCTACTTGCTGATGGGCAAAATGCCTGTAAGGAGAGAATACATTTTAATCAGCAGTCATTGATGAAATATATAAAAGCAAACAGTGGTTGAAACGAAGCACTGGAATTCCTTTGCCCCGAAGGCTAATCAGTCCTCAAGTATTTAGTGGCGATATCAGAGCTTCTCCTAATGATAGGGAAAGAAGGTGGTGGGGATGGTGCATGGATTTTCTTCTAGAAAGCAGAAGAGGCTGCTCTGACTCTCCTCTGTGGACTCACAAAGACGGTTCTCACTTCTCTGGCCCTTTTTGCCTAAGGCAAGGAAGACCTGAGGGGAAGCCCGAGGTGTGCTTTTGAAGCACAGAGGATCCTTGCTGTATTTGGCCTATGGAAATAAATGTAATGGCTTTGGAGTATGAAGTTTTCCTTTCTCCAAATGCGACTGGGGAGGGGGTCTCAGAGCTTCGGAGAAGGCAAGTGTAAATTAGGAAGGCTGGCACATGTTCTCTTTGTACTTAGGTGCTAGGATGGTCACCTCATTTGGATATTGTAACAATTGAGTTTTTATCTCTGGTTGTGTTATATAGAGACTGGGGTTGCATACGTAAAACAGCTGAGCTATGATTCCTAATATGGGTGCTTGTGTTTTTAAATCCTTGCTCTTTGCTATAAATTAACTCTAATTGTTAATGTGCTTTGATACTGTCTTAAGCTGTGTTTGTTGTGAGAAGATAATTCAGAAAGAATTTTTAAAATTTCTATATCTTTGGGGATACAAGTGGTTTTTGGTTACATGGATGAGTTCTATAGTGGTGAATTCTGAGATTTTAGTGCACCCAGCACCCAAGCAATGTATGCTGTACCCAATACGTAGTCTTTTATCCCTCAGCACCCTCCCAACATCCCCATGCTGAGTCCCCAAAGTCCATTATATTACTCTGTATGTCTTTGCTTCCTTATAGCTTAGCTCCCACTTAGAAGTGAGAACATAAGGTACTTGGTTTTCCATTCCTGTGTTACTTCACTTAGAATAATGGCCTCCAACTCCATCCAAGTTGCTGCAAAAGCCATTAATTCATTCCTTTTCATGGCTGAATAGTATTCTATGGTGTTATATACCACATTTTCTTTATCCATACCTTGGCTGCTGGGCACTTAAGTTGTTTTCACATCTTTGCCATTGCAAATTGTGCTGCTATAAACATGAGTGTACATGTGTCTTTTTAATATAATGACTTCTTTTCCTTTGGGTAGATACCCCCAGTAGTGGGATTGCTGGGTTGAATGGCAGATCTACTTTTAGTTCCAGAAAGGATTTTTTTTTTAAATAAAGATTACCCATGACTACTACCTGAGCTATCTTACATACAGGATTAGACACAAGGTAATCAATACATAATTTTGCTTCATGACCAAAATAACAGTGCCTCATACAAAATGTCCTTTGTGCCAAGGACTGTAACAGAGCCTAAGTTATATTTTAAGTGTACTTGTAAGTGGCTTGAAATGAGAAGGGATAAATCAAGTTGGCTATAAAGGGGACATGAGTCTCAGCCTTATCTTCTCTCAGTCTTAGCCTTATCCTTACTCCTGTCATTCTGCAGTCCCCATTTCAGGCATGAGCTCATTGAGGACACGTTGTAGCCTCTCTGAATTGTTCACAAGCTATTAAAGTATTTGCAGTGGTGAAAGCTAATATCAGACACTTCACCTCCCTATGATTTTGGAGATGTTTTAAGATGTGCAGGGACTTACTGAATTGCTAATTAGTGTTGAACTCTTAAAAAGCTTGTGCTACAGAGGAATCATGACCTGGTGAGCAGTTTTATCTGCCTTTAGAAAGCATGATTATATTTTTCCTCATTAGGCTTTCATCTGAGTCAGAAATTTTACAATAATAATAATAATAATAATAATAATAATAATATACTTCTGAACCTAAGAAAGAAAGTACTGGCTTAAGAAAGAAAGGGGAAAAGAGTGATTCTGGGAAACACCAAGACACAGACCTGACTAATGGTAATCAAGTTGATAACATGAAAAGGGAATTTATTCGATGAGAGTAAATAAAATTTTGTATCAAAATGAAGCATATAAAATTAAATACAGATGGTTGATTACCATCAAATTGTTGAATTTCAGTAGAGGCAGTTTCCATTAGTAGAAATCACATTTTTATCTCCGTACCAGCTCATAGACAACATTAATGGTAGAAAAGAGTAATGGGGTTTTTAGTCCTTCACCCTTGAATCAGTTATATTACAGGTCCATGGTTGGGAATCTGATGGCATAAGGATTAAATATGAAACCCCTCTTGCATATCATTATACACGTAATGTTGTTCTTCACATTCAGGTTGATTCATATGGTAATGTAAGGAATTCCAACTGGAATATGGACTTTTATGAATGTTTTTCTTCATCAGTGAAACCAGCCCTTATTAAGTGGCTGTGATGTGGGTAATGGGTAAGAATGTTCTCTCCCTTTCTCCAAGGAAAAATTCATGTGAACAATAGTAAGCTATTTGACTACAGGTTAACATCAGAATAAAAAGGATACAAAAGTAAAGGCAAATAAACAAGAAAACCTGACTTCAAGCCAAACTCTAAGCTTTTGAAAATGAGAGCCTTTTTGTATAAAGGAGAAACCATATCTAAAACTAAAAATATCACTTTGTAGATGCTTTGCCTTTGGGATATGGGGCACTTAATTTTCTAAAATGACTTTTTTCTTTCTATGTATATTAAATGCTGAAATAATTATTCCTTCTGGAGCATCCTTTTAGGCTGAATTGATTCCCTATCATGACTGCTCTGAAATAGTGAACACACAAATTGTTTTTTAGAAGGCTGGATATAATATCAGACATGGACTAAGAAAGGCTTCCTCAATTCTTCATATGTCCACTTTGTGACTTACTCTTCTCATCATGTGCTTTAGAAATGAAACATAAATCAGATTTTCATGTCATTTTTATAAACAATAGTCTTTTGAATCTTTTTAAATAAAATACATGCTTTCTGCTACTAGATGTCTAGAAAAAAAATGGAGTAATGTTTCTTCCTTGGAGCTCTAGTAAAGATTCTTTTATGTTAATGTTCTTTTTAACAAATGAAGCTTCAGGGTAAAAGTCCATTCAGCAACACCAATAGGAAATAAATGACAAGCAACAAACCATAATTAGAAATGTAGTCAAAAAACAAGGCTAGCTCTTAACTGAGAGCTGGTTTTTAACCTTGTAGAACATAAACACACACATATATATTTGCCATGTATAGTTATATCTATATCTATCTATCCATATCCATATCCCTCTCTCTATATATATAATACACACACACATACATATATAGTTATATATATATGCACACATACATATATAGTTATACACACACACAGACACACACACATGCACACACACATATATAGTTATCCAACTAGGTAAAGATACCTTTACCTTTTCCCATAGCAGGCCAAAATATTTGTGCTTTAGAGTACGGGATCAAAACCTTCATTATAGTTAAGCAATGAGAATATAAAAGATTTAGACATTGGAAGGCAGGAAGTGGGATAAAAATTGAAGGGAAGAGGGTCTAATATTTCAACAATAAGCCAAGTGTTTCTATATATTATACGATCTTCAAGGCAATGCTTTAGGGATAATATCTCCATTTTATAGATGAAGTATAGAGGGATCAAGAATAGCCTCAAGATCATGGACTAAAAATAGGGATTTATTGAAGAAATCTGTAGCAAAGGCACGTCTTTGGCAGCACTGGGACAGCAAAATCCAGGGAATGCTGGATACAGGTATCTGAGTGTGGTTGAGTGTGGTGGGTGGGGACTGAATATCAAACTGGAACCTCCTGATTAGAAGAAACTGAGGCACATAGAAGAAGAGTGCATCTTTGCATGTGAGGCTTGGAGATGAAAAGAGACACCTGGAGCCTGATTATGTACCAAATGTCTGAGTTGGAAGTGACTGCAGAGATCACCATGTCGGTTTCTGGGCCACTGCAGGTGTTGCTTCTCTCTGACCAGGCTGAGTGAATGTCCTCTTCCCTGGGGTGAGGTCACTACTACTTGGGAGCTGCTCCCTCCCAAGATAGCTGGGTCAGAAAGTCCTTCTTTGACTGAGTTGAAATCTACTTCCCTGGGGGTGTTCCCTGAGAACATGAACAGATTGAGCTACTATGGGAAGGCGAACATCAACTGGCTGGGAAGAAACAGGGACTTCAGAATTTGAGGGCATAGGTTACCCACCAAGTGCCAAGAAGGTGCTGGCTGCTACACAACAGGTACTTGAAGCAGATGGAGGACGACCAAGACAGTAAGGGGTCTTGACTGGAGGGGTCAAAGGGCAGCTGGGCTAGCTTTTTCACGTACAGTGGCTGTTGCTGGGTAGCACATGATATTAATGTGCTGGGAAAAATATCCACACAAACCAGAGGCTGTTATACTGATGTCATTTCTATATCAGCCCATGTATGGGAAGTCCTCCAAGACAGATTTAATCTAGGAATTAATTTATCCAAGAATATACATGCTCTCTGTGAAGAAAAGTTTAAAATATAAATAAAGGACATAGTAGATAATCTGAATAAATAGACATTTCATGCTCTTGGATAAGATGACTTATGCAATAAGGGTTATTCTTCTATAATCTTTAGTTTAACCCCAATAAAAATTCCAGTTGGACATTTTTGATGATGGCATTTATTATAAAATTTTACAGAATAATGAAAGTCAAAAAATAGCAAACCAATCTTTTTTTCTATTGTGGTGAACAAGAGATCTACCTTCTTATCAAAATTGTAAGTGTCCAGTACAATGTTGCTAACCTAAGCACAATGTTGTACAGCAGATCTCTAGAGTTTTTTCGTAGTAAGCCAGTTTTGAAAAAAGAAGAGTATATGGGGTAACTTTCCCTTGAAGGTATTAAGACATACTACAAAGCAGCCATGGTACACAATAAAAACAGTGTGATATTGGTGCAAGGACAGTCAAATAGGTCACTGAAACTGAATAGAGAGCTCAACAATGAATTCATATTGATTGGAAATTTATATAATAGGAAGGTGGTACCATAAGTCAACAGTGAGAGGAAGGATTTTGTAGTAAATGCTAATAGAAAAACAGGCTCATTAAATGGAGTAAAAAAGATTGATCTTATCATAACACCACATTATAAAAGTGGATTCTAGATGAATTAAAGATCTAAATGTAAAACTTAAAACCATACAGTTAATTAAAGAAAAATGTAGGATAATATCTTTGTGACTTTAAGATGGGGAAAGATTTAGTAAATAATAATTCAAATGTAAAATCCATAAGAAAGAAAAGTTGATTTTGATTATATCTGGGCAATGTTATTACAAAGATTAGAATGTCAGTAGTCTGTAAGTAAAGTTTCTAATGCCAACAAAGGACTAATACCTAGAACACACAGATAACTAAAATAACAAGAAAAAGGTAGAAATCCTAGTGGAAAACGGCAAAGTATATGAAAAGAAAATTTACATACTACGTACAAAATTTCTACAAGAAAGTATGCAAATAAAAGAATGCTAGGGTTTGGTTTGTTCGACCCCTCTAAATCTCATGTTGAAATTTGTTATCCAGTGTTGGAGGTGGGGCCTAGTGGGAGGTGTCTGGGTTATGAGGGCAGATGCTTTATAAATAGATTAATGACCTCCAGGGGGCAGAGTGAGTGAGTTCTCACTGTTCTCCTGAGAGCTGGTAGTTAAAAAGAGCATGGCACCTCTCCTTGTTCACCACGTGATTTCTGCATGCACCAACTCTCCTTTTCCACCACTAGTGGAAGCAGCCTGAAGCCCTCACCAGAAGCAGAAGCTTGCATCTGCTTCTTGTGTAGCCTGCAGAACTGTGAGCCAAATAAACTTCTTTTTAAAAAATAAATTATCCAGCCTCATGTATTCCTCTATAGCAACACAGACTAATACAAATAATATACATTGTTACCTATGAAGAGGAAAGAATATGCTAGTGGGGCATAGAGATTTAACAAATATGCATGTGAAAAAACAAAGTAAGTAATGAATAAATAAGAAAGGGGTTCTGCATGAACCAAAGAACTGAGTCCCACTAATTGAGGAGTATAATTGCCTTACCCTTCTCCAATGGAGACACAAAAACAAAAGAAGAAAAGAGATGAAGCTGTATATGTCTCTTTCAAGCTTCAGGCCCACCCACCTCTTCCTAGTTTTATCTCTTTAGGCCATTTAAACATCTCCTTGTTAGATAATTAGGTAACCCCAGAGGCTGTTCTGATGATTACCTGAATTAATGTATAAAGACATCTGTCACTGAGTATATACTCAAATACTGGTTTCCTCTTCCTCATTTTAATATTTTCTTTTTCATCTGCCTTTCACCTAGTAGTTCTTTATTTGAAATCTTTCAAAACCCTTCACCATTGTGTTCATTCTCCCCTGTTTTTTTCTTTCTCTTTTGAAGTATGGTCACCTTAGTACCCTACTGAAAGTATGTTTCTGATGCGTCCCTCTTCTGGAGATGGCACATCTGTGAATGCAGGCTGGGAAGACATGGGTGGTTTCAGCAGCCACGTCGCCACCCACCCAGCCTCCATCCCTACCCTGGAAATCTATCGTGTAACTCTGCTGCTAAAGCCCTTTCTCTCCTATCCTCTCTTGGTGAGTTGTTTCTTAGCCCTGAGTAAAATATAGGATGTAGATATCTGTTAGATTTTTATTAAATTTGACCTCAGATTTGCCCTCAGACTGTTCATTGTGTTATCAAAAAATTTCCTCCAGGTTTGTATCATTTCCAAATTTGATAAATGTATCATGTAGATTTCTTGGGCCGAGCTAGGAAAAAATTGGCGAAAGTTACAGAAAAGCAGGTTTAGCCACAACATAAGGAAAACCTTTAGTAATGAGAATGATTTTAGAATGGTCTTTAAAAGGAATTAATTTTTAGGAGGGTAGTCAATTCCTTGTCACCAGAAGTGCCCATGATGTAGCTGCTGGATCAAGGCAGGCATTGGAGTCCAGTGGATCTTATCCCTCCCTCACCTATATTGCTAGTTTTTAAAAAACTTCCCAAGGCTTGCCCCTTAGCCTAAAATATTTTTATTTCATTGATCTGGCATGGAACCAGACATCAGATTTCTTTTTTAAAGCTCCCAGGTGAATACAATATGGCCCCATTGCTGAGAACATCTGTTGTAAAAAGTACCGTTGACGCCTAGGTTGGGAAAGTTGGGTCTGACAACCTAAAGTTTTTCCTTTTGCCTTATGAGATTATGTATTTTAACTTCCTATCTGGTAGAAAGATGGGTGCTTAGTGCCTTTTTATGCTGACCTTTCCTCCTTGTGTTTTCTTCAAACCAAGCTTTCTCCCCTGTGTCCACACCGGAGCTGTCTTTGTCAAAGGTAGTGTGTACTTTTACTTTTGGCTGCTGAAATATTGTTCTCACTTTGAGATCAATTGCCTTAAAGTGCTTTGTTAACCCCTCAAACGGGAAATCGCAGCACTTTCTCCAAAGGGACAATTTTCTGTAGAAGAAGCTATTTAAATAGCAGCACAAGATTGAAGACAACACATTTAACTGTGAAAAGGTCATCCTCAGTAGTCTTAAGAATAAGGTGGGTTTTGTTTTTTTTTTTCTGTTCTGTATGTTGAACTGGTTTAGAAAACTCCAGATTCTTGTTAACTTTGACAATTGGAAAAGCCATTAAGGGATGATTACAAGACCTTCCATCTATAGGCACTTGTTAATTATCTGCATCCTGCAGGGAAGAGAATGAAGTTGGGAGGAAAAGGGAACAAAGAACAGGGAAAAAAGAACAGAGAGAAATCAGCTGCAGAACTCCAACTTGAAGTCCTCTCATCAGCATTGGCTTCTTGTTTTTCTGCAGAGCGAACTTTTCATGAAATTTGAGTCCTGAGGTGCCTCTTTGTCCTTTCAGACTCACTATCTGCTCTTTCTGCCTTTTTAACTCCCCCGAGGGTAGATGGGCAGGCTGCTCTCCTGTGACACAGTGCCATTTTTTAGAGTTAATTCTTATGTCTTTTGCTTCCTTTCAGGAAAATGTTCATTGCTTGACATTGTAACAGGCTCCTTAAATACCTGTGAAAGGGTAAAGTTCACTAAAACAGAATCCATTGCTTCTGGTTGAATAGCAATAATACTTGATTCAAAATCTTAACCTTCCAACTATTAAAATGTTAAATGTAAACAGACTCTTATGTTGCCTTAAATAAATGCCTTCCTTAAAAAACAAAAACAAAAACAACTGTTTCTCAAATTAATTTTCCCAGATTCATAGATTTCTCTCCTTAACCTGATAATTGGCCAAACAGTATTTACTCCTAAATACTGTTTCTAAATTCTTGTGTTCAGCGCACTGGGATGCATGAGGGTATATTTTTTAAGGCACAAAGAAAATTTGTTTGCCTGTGATCTCACTAATAGGTGTTTATTGCCCTCCTGGAGCCACAGTTGCTGTGTCATCTCAAGGCTGGAATTCTGGATGAAGAGGAGGAGCTTTTTTGGGGTAGAACCTGAAGGATGGGGATGGGGCATTCATTTATTCATAAAATTATATGCTCTCCTTGGACATATAGAAAAAATCGTAAGTTCATGTTTATGCAGATAATTTTTAATTCATATGCTTTTTTGGGAACATAAAAAATGATGCATATATAAAACAAAAAGAAGTACCATGCCTCAACTGCATGCTTTCAGAACGTTGGCTGATGTGTAGTGTCAAGCAGGCTTCTCGATAAAAAAAAAAACAACAATGAACAGAATCGGTGAGGAATTTTAGTTTTGGCTTAGCTCTTCTTGACACCCAAAGATTTCACTTTAGAAGTCTGACCCCCAAAAGGGCTAGGGATAGGTAAGTGCTCACTGCTCCAGGAAGTTCTTCTAACTCTTCCGGGACCCTTTTGAATTGTTTGCATGATTGTAGGAACCAGGCTTAAAGAATTTCCCAACCAAGAGTCAGTGCTCTGTGGCCTGGTGGAGGTTGACAATGTTGACATGACCAGGTGTGACCACCTCCCTTCAATCTCCTGGAAGCCTTCCCTCAGTGTATGGTCCAGGCACCATTACTTAGCCTGGAGGAATGGAGACCATTGCAACTAGAAGGAATCTTGGTGTCTTGGCCAGTAAGAGGCTCTCAGACCAGCACAGCCACCTGATCTTTGGGTCCTGGCTGCCTGAAAATTTTGGTTCAATTAAAAAATGACCAAACAAGAGCGTGCATATAAACTAGCTCCTGTTGTATAGCTGGCTGCTGCCAGGATTCATGTTACAGATGGGATGGAAATGAGTTTTGTTAATTACATAATTTTGAACTATTTAATTCAGCTAAAATTATACCAGACCCATTTGATGAATAGATTGTGAATATGAATAAGCTTTGGTATGCATTTGTCTTATATTTGAGTAAAATTCCATATTTATATGCCAATCACCGATCTTCTCTAACTATGACTATCATCAGTTCAAGCAGCCCTCCTACTTGTGTTTTTATTTTCATAAGACCTGCTACTTACAAAATTGTCAGTGCCTCTGATCTAGACTATGGTTGTCTAGGACCTGCTTGTCCTCAGATACTTTTCTTGTTTTTTCCCTGCTGTGTTTTTTCACAAAGGGGCTGAGCCATGAAGGCTGTTGTTTATCAAATTCCTGTGTTAGCTGGATTCTCACTTAGTGTAGCCAGTAGGAGGCACTGGTTAGAGATTGGAGGGAGGCTGGGATACAGCAGAAGGGAGAAGCCAGGGTATTTCTCCTTCTTCCTTTCTGCCTTGGGCTGATTCTCTGGCAGCAGGCACATTAATCCCGTGGCTCCAACTCCCATTGTACAGGCCCAGCATGGGTCAAGCCTTTGTTGGATGATTGAATCTCCTGAACTCCAGCAATACCACCTTCCCTCTTTGTTCTCCAGCCTAGTGGTTGTAGTGGCTTCCTTTTGTAGGTAATGTCTGAGTTACTGCATCATCCCATTTGGCTCTCAGCTTTTCTGTAACCTGTGTAACTCATTCTGTGCATTAAATTCCCTGTTATAAATACTTTCAGTGGTACATAATCCAACCTCCTCATTTTATAAAGAAAAAATATGAAGATCAGAGCAATTAAAGTATGCCTCCTAAAGCTATCTGGAAGTCAGATTTCTAGCAATTTCAATCACTGACAACACATTTAAACACCCAGGAGTAAGAAAACTGTAACATCTTTAATGGGAGTAGCTAGCAAAAATTCTTGCACTAATACTAATTCATCAACCCCTGTAAGCCGACCTTCATTCAGCCTGTTATTTCTGTTTTTGCAAGAAATTACTTAAGTTGCTGTCACAACTAAGTTCTCCTGGGAAACTGGTGTTCATATTTGCCTAGTTGCAGCATTACTCACATGCTATTATTCACTGCATAGAGCCTTCATAGCCCGGAATGATGGATGCATCTCCCCAGACACCTAATTTACTATTAACTAGAGACTCAGTGGAAAGAATCTGGGTCAATAATTCGTAGAAGCACAGAGAACTGAAACCCCAATACCTAGAACTAAACAAATTAGGGGTTTATTTTTTCTTGCACAATAGGAAGCCAGAGATGGGGGTTGCTGGCAGTAATTTCAGCTCAAGGATGGAAGTCAGCTCAGGGCTGAGACCTTCATGGTGGTGGTAGCCCTGGCTATGGAGGTGTGCTGTTTGGATCTTCCTTCAAGGAAGAATTTGCCATCTTGAGAGCCCCCAAATTCAGTGCCTTCAGAATCTGCCTCAGCTTTTGATCCAAGGCTACACTTTTTTTCAGGTAGCTCCCAAGCAATGGCAGAGCATGCAGGGGACACTTGGGCATGGCCATGGCCATTTCTGCCCAATGCAGACCTCCTCTAATGGGCAACCTTTGCTCTGGAGGTTGCTATTGGGCTTGCTGAAATTTTGTTAGATGTGCATCATTGTTCAAGGCTCCTCCTGCTCAATATTGTCTCCTTCCGCTTTTCTTTTCATAAAGGTGTATGGCAGATGAACCTGACAGCAATAACATAAGTGTATCCCAAGAATGACACTGTATGGCAGATGAACCTGACAGCAACAAGTTAAGCATACCCTGAGAATGACCATATGGTCTAAGAAGAATGCATATTCAGAGTTGGGAGCTACAGAATCTGGGTGTGGCCAACCTGGAGATTCATTCCTTGTCTATGAGGGACATCTGAGCCTTCAGCCCATCCTGTGGAATGCAGGCAATACAGGGGACCAAGGCCCATTGTTTTAGATTAAATGAAGATTTCCAAGTGGAGGTTGCTAAGTGAAAATGCTGTATAAATTGCATGCTTTTAATAAGTGGTTGCAGTTCTCCTCTCCAGCCCACTGCCACTGGACCACCCCTGTATGTAAGTTTCCTCAACAAACCCTATGTATTCTTCACTGGCTCTAGGTCTCTTCTTGGGCCTCTTAAACATGGTGCGGTTTCTGCTGAAGTCATAGGGGTCCAGCATGTCAAAGCGTCAAATCAGCATTGTAATCTAAAGACTTTTCTCACCCAATCCTATTCCACATCCCTACTCCCACCTTGCTTTTTGCCTCTACAGTCACAATAAAGCTCTCCCAGTCTTACTTCTGACTCAGTGTTTGCTTCCTGGAGGTTCCCACTGGCAGTTCTTCTCTTGGCCCTTTCTTAGTGGTCTACTTGAGGTTGCAAATGGCTGTCCCACCTCCAGCATCTCAGCACTGTACCCATGTTTCCAGCAAACAGTGGTACTATCAGCTAATTCTGCTCTTCTTGTAGAGATTCTTCCTGCTTTCATTTCTTAGCCAGAGCTGCGTTGCATAACTCCAGCATCCACAAGTGGGACTGGAAAATATTTTTTGTTGGGTTGTTTCAGCTGAACATATTGTGGTCCCTATGAAATGGAATTCTGTTACTAAGAGAGAAGAAAAGAATAGTCAGTGGGCAATTGGTAGTTTCTACCCGCTTTATTTTCATTTATGGAAAATCTTGAGTTTATGTGCTTGTTGATAATATAGATGGTAACCAGGCATGAAGAGACAGCTGACCATCTGCCTTTTGGTATAATTTGGGGAGGGATTTCTGCCTCTGGAAAGGGGAGGAGAGAAAAAAAAGATGAGGCTTACCATTAAGCACATCCGTATGGTTGGAATCTCTAGTCTAAGCTAGTATTTGCATTTAACAGATAAGGAAACTATTATCAAATAACAGATAAGGGAGATTAAGCATTCTTTTACAAGTACGCCTACAAAGTACACATTCTAAATGCTTAGGATTAATAGTAAACAAAACAGTTAAAAATTTCCACCCCAAGGGGCTTAAGGACTCACCCACAGGGGCAGGATTGAAACTGGAAGCCAGGTGTCTTAAATGCCATTGCTATATTGTTGGGGTCAAAAAGACTGTAACTTTAAGGTTGCTTGGAATTCAAATGAGGTAAATATTATGATTGAAAGACATTAGTGTTTTGTCTGCTTTGGGAGGTATTGGGAGATTCCGGAACAATCTTTGTCTTAAGAATCTGACCAAACTCTACATCAAATGACAGTTCAATAATACCTGCTGGCCACCTCCCTTTCCCCCAACCCTGTCTTCTCTTCAACAATTCTTGGGTTTTTCTTTCTTTTTTTAAAATTTTACTTTTAGTTCTGGGATACAAGTTCAGAATGTGCAGGTTTCTTACATAGGTATACATGTGCCATGGTGGTTTGCTGCACCTGTCAACTGTCTTGTAGGTTTTAAGCCCTGTTTGCATTAGATATTTGTCTTAATGCTCTCCCTCCCCTTCCCCGCCACCCCTCCAACAGGCCCTGGTGTGTGATGTTCCCCTCCCTGTGTACATGGGTTCTCATTGTTCAACTCCCACTTATGAGTGAGAACATATGGTTTTTGCTTTTCTGTTCCTGTGTTAGTTTGCTGAGAACGATGGCTTCTAGCTTCATCCGTGTCCCTGCAAAGGACATGAACTCATTCTTTTTTATGGCTGCATAGTATTCTATGGTGTATAGGGTTTTTCTTTGCTGTTTAAATAGAAGAGAGCCAGAACAGACAGAGTAAGTCCTCATCTCTCCTCCCAAATAATACTGGAATAGAAAATAATCCATTTGGATGAAAATAGGTAGGTAGCCAGTTGTTTAGAAGTATGCCTTAAGTTGCCATTGACAAATTACTGACATTGACAAGTTATTTTTGAACAAAATGCAAAAAAAAGTAATGAGAACAGTTTTGAACATCCAAATTTAAATGTTCATAACAAAAAAAAGTTTTATTGTTCACATTCATTTTGGAAAAAGATGTATCTTTTCTTATGATGCTGCCATTAATTAAAACACTTTGGAATTCCTTCTGTCCTACTGATTTCAAAGCAGTTTATAAGACTTACATGAAATTTGGTGACTTTACTTTATAGGGAAACTACAGTTGATCAAAATACCATTTCTTGGAAAGATCATTTATCTTATTTGCCAGATCTGGCTCTGAATGTCTTTGTCTATTTTCCAAATAAAATCAAACTATTGATGATGAAAATTTCTCACCACTTAGAAGATTTAAAAGTCTATGTCAGAAACTAAAGGTGATTTTTTAAAAGGTGTTCAAAATATTTTGAGTAATGTCAGGATTGTGAGACTAAGGTCACAGATTCCCCAGGCATCTACTTGGAAAATGTATAACCCTTTCTTTTGGCATATATTGTTCTGCTTATTCCATGAATAGTTGAAATACATATTCAGGCATCTTTATCCAAATCTAAGCAAATATTTTGGATATACAATTTTTGAATAGTGGTAGCCTATATCTCATTATTTTAAATGGGGGAAATTATAAAGTATTTCTAGCTCACCCCAAAACACACGAACAATGACAAAATCATTCTGTGTACATATGAAAAACAGTAAAGCTTTCTGGGACCAACCACAATTGCAAATGTCTTTTAAAATTTTTCATGCTTACAAAAAATCATAGATTTGGCAGATGAAAACAAATGCATGCCAAGCATATGTCTTTTACATGTTTATTCTTCACGTGCCTCATTATTCACCTCTTTCTTCTAATATATGGGCTTTCCCACATCTCTTAGACTTACCTGCTTTATTCAAAGACCTTTATACTTTTCTATTCTTTCAATAAACTTTTTCTTTTAGTGATGTAGGGGAGGTGAAAGTGATAATGCACAAAACTTTTAATCAAAAAATGCGTAAATCGCAAACCTGTCTGGAGAACAGTTGAGACTAAGGCTTTTCACTTTTCACTAAGGCTTTTTCGAGACACTAAAATGTTTTTTCTGGCATGCATATGCAGATTCATTGAAGTAATTTTTCACTTGGAGAGTAAATTTTGAGTGAACACTTTTTTAAGTTGTTAGAGTAGATATTCCAATGGTAAGTATTCAACAAGTGAAGAAACCCGTATAAAGTGGCTGTCTTTCTTTGAAAGTAGTGATTAAATATTCTTTTTTGGCATCTTGAAAGAATTACCTATAGTGATGTTTGCTACATGATACATATAATTCTTTTTTTAAATTGCTATTTGTTTTTTGGCTAAGTATGCTCTTTGTTGGATGAAGAAAAAATTTCCATAGGCTCAACTAAACTCCTAAAGCTGACTTGTGGAACTATCTTTAAGCTGGAGTAATTCATTAGCTAAGTGTTTCTCAGAATGGTATTTCCTGAAACAACATTCTGGGAATTAATAGGTGTAGCTAAGAAATGTTTCATTGTAAAATAAGTATGGAGACATATGTCCTTTCTCTGGAGAGTCACAACTTATGAGAACATATTAAAGAGACTGAGAAGTCTTATAGATAAAATGAAAACTTGCTTATTAACTTTGGTCAATTTACATTTCCCATTTCCTAATGAAACACCTATTAATATCCTGCAAATGCCAGTTTGGGAGACATTCTATTAAACCAATTCTTTATTTCTATCACAGATTGAAGAGATTGCTCTGGAGTTTGAGGAAGTTAAGAAATATAATACAGTTAAACATTTTCATTTTCCAGCTCTTAAAAATATTCTGAGGAAGTTAATTCTAACGCTAGACATCAGAATTTGGCAAGGATGGAATAACAAAGAAGTTGGCAAGATGTAATGCTATAAATATTAAATGAGTTTTTTCAATATAGAAGTGGAAAAAATAATTTTCCTTTCCATCCTTCTTAATTCTTGACTGGGACCCCTATAACAAGAAGACACATTAACCAGTGTTAAATCAAATTAAAATCTGGCCTTAGAAAGCCTCCATACTCTTATATGAATTCTGCTGAAAATCTATCTTAAGAGAATGCTTCTGTAACAACAGTTGAGTCTCAGCCAATCACAGCAGCCATACCTTAACTACTCAAAGGTGGCCAACTGTTCAAACTGTTTCAAATAAGGCAACCACCAAACTGTAACCAATCCAGCTGTTTTTGTACCTCACTCTTGTTTTAAGTATGTCACTTTTCTTTTTCTGTCCATAAATCTTATCACACCATGTTGCAGCCCGAGTCTCTTTGAATCTCTTCTGATTCTGAGGGCTACCCAATTTGCAAATCATTTTGTCTTTTTTCTTGCTCAATTAAACTCTGTTAAATTTAATTTGTTTAAAGCCCTTCTTTTAACAGATTTGATGTCAGAAGTGAGGATTTGAAGTAAAACACCAGTGACCCCTAGGAACACTAGGCAACCAGGCAAAGTACCCATGAAGCCAGCTGTGTTCACTATTCTCTTGTTTGTAACTGGAGATCATGAGTGAATTTTCTTTTGAATTCTGAGCTCCACTATTTTGTGATTTGAACTCTCTGAATTTATTTGAACAATATTTAGACTGGACTGGGTGCAGGATTTAATTGAATTAAATATTTAACAAGATTGGATTCTGTGAGAGGCCTAAGGGTTTGGGTAGATACCTTTTGGATAATGGGTTTATCTCAATCCAGGGAGTCTAAGACTCTACCTTCTGGTACTGCAGCTAATGTTTTCTACAAAACTTATGGGCCCAGAATGTGTGCATTTTCAGAAAAATGAGTTAATTTTACAAGAGACAACTTAGAATTGTGATGACACCAGTAACATTTCAAGTTGGATAAAATTGTTTATTGTGAGGCATATTAGAAAGAAGGAGATCAAAAACCCACACAAAACAATGGGATACAGAAGCATCTAACAGGCTAAACAAATCAAAATTGCTTCCTTCAAAGATTCTTTGCAAAAGCAAATGAAAAGCTTAAGCAACAGCTTAAGGACATGATAAAAGAGGACTGTTGTCTACTGAACTAACTTCAGCTGTTCCTTCCCTTTATCCATCTCTACCTCAATACTCTGAATCTGCTAACCTTTTTGCAACATTATCCTTTCATCCTGAAGGTGATGAAAAAAGAGGAGTTAGTAAAACCTTCTGATCAGCCAGGTTTTTCCTGCTGTAACCATTTTTACTTCATGGTCTAAAACTCATCTTAGAGACATTGTAAAGGACTTCCCTAACCCAAGGGAAAAATCCTCAATCATTTACTGAAGAATTTAGAATCCTCATAGGAGTCTATAATCCATGACTCCCTGACCTTTACTAATATATTCATACAATATTGACGTTTGGTGAAGCTTAAAAATGGATGGCAGGAGTGGGATGAGACAAATCTGAGGCATGTATTAGACTTCTCCAAAACTTCCTCATGAGAAAGGCCAAAAGGAGCTAGAAAAATTGCTGAAAACCATTTATATTTAATTCCTAAGATTTTCCCAACAAAGGTTGATTGGTTCATCATACAGTCTTGCAGACAAAAAAAAGGATGAATCATTTTCTGATTACAGAACTTACTTAGAAATGCGGTTTGTAAAATATTCTGGACTCCAAATACAGCAAGAAGTATTTCCTGCAGGGACTGAAATGATATTAATTCCTCTATTTGTAAATGGACTTCATCCTGAACTTACCTGTTTAATTAAGAAACACAAACCTGGATGGAGAGTTACAGGTATGAACTGGTGGCCTCAGCTGAACATTTTGAGAGGACTCTGGAGCAAAAAAAAAAAATATCCAAAATGCTAACAATTATGACTCGTCAATTACAACAGTTACAGGGGCTGAGGCTAAAGGGACCTTCTCATTTTTATTTTAAATCACAACAAACAGGTCCTAGAACAAGAAATTCTTTATCCTGAGATGTTTGCCTTCATTGCAAACAACAAGGACATGTGGAAAGAGGTTTCTTGGTTTTATATTAGTCTGCAATAAGCCTCCTTTCTTTAGGCTAGATCATTTTACCCCTAGAATGAGCCCAAGAGATTTTAACATTAATGATGATAATCAATATTTATTAGGCTCCAAGGATTCTCTGTTAAATTGCCCCTGACATAATACCCTTACATAAACATGGAGAAACAAGTTAAAATAAATAAGGAATCTTGTACATCCTGGTGGATACTGTAGCCACCTTATGAACCATAAACTCCACTTTATTAAGCCATCAGATCCCTTGACGCAAAAAAGTCATTTCTCTGGTGGGGGTTTCAAATCAATTCATGAGATTGTCATATATCAACTCATTCACCTTACTTTTGGGCCATTTTCAGAAAATTATACCTTTTCACCATATGATACTACTCCAATAAACTTGCTAGGGTGAGCCTCACTTTCAAAACTAAAAGAACATATATGATTCTACTCAGAGGGAGACAGAGTTTCCAGATTCTCCTGAACCAGGAGAGTTATGCTCTCTACAGGCAGAAATTGATAAGATTGAAACTCAGGTCTGTTATATACCTAACCTTTCTAAAACACCTGAATGTTATGGGCCCCTTCCTCAACTGATATAGGAAGGATTAAAAGTACGGAACCTATACAAATTCAAGTAGATCATTCTAAACCTTTGCCTAAATTACTGTAATATCCACTAAAACTTGAAGCAATTCAGGGGCCATCACCAACTGTAAAAGATTTACTTTTAAAAAGACATAATTCTGTGTACCAGTTCTTGTAATGCTCCAATTTTACCAGTTAAAAAGCCAAATGAGGCCGGGTGTGGTGGCTTATGCCTATAATCCCAGCACTCTGGGAGGCTGAGGCAGGTGGATCACCTGAGGTCAGGAGTTCAAGACCAGCCTGGCCACAGTGAAACCCCGTCTCTACTAAAAATACAAAAAGATAGCCAGGCATGGTGGTGCATGCCTGTAATCCCAGCTACTTGGGAGGCTGAGGCAGGAGAATTGCTTGAACCTGGGAGGCGGAGGTTGCAGTGAGCTGAGATCATGCTATTCCACTCCAGCCTGGGCAACATGAGTGAAACTCCATTAAAAAAAAAAAAAAAAGCCAAATGAATGAGGCTGGAGATTTGTTCAAGATTTACAGTTAATTAATACAATTATAATACCAAGGTTTCCTGTAATTGCAAATCCCAATACTTTATTATCTAATGTTCCTGCTTATTTGAAGTGGTTCACTGTAGTAGACCTCTACTCAGGAGGAGTAATGTCACAAAAGTAATGGAGTAGAAGCATTCTGGCTCCACTCTTCCCATCAAAAAACTAAATATCCAGCATCCAGATTATCACCAGCAATATCCTAGAACTCAAATATGAGGCTGAGATGATCCCCAGGGCCACAAAGAAGTGCAAAACTCCGAGCAGAGAGTAAGAGAAAGTGACGTCTCTCTCCGTGACGCCCCTCTCCCAATCTGCCAGGGATTACACATGGAAAATTCTTCTCAGACTTATGGTTTCTACTCTGGAAAAAGTGAGATTGAGGCAGACAGCCAGCTTCTGCACCATCTTGGGTACGCTTACAAGAAAACTGTTCCTGCCTCCACCCATAGGAAGCATTGCAAGTGCCTGTAGGGAGAAAAATCCCAAAGAGCAGCTAGAGACAAAATAGGGAGGTGAGTCTAGCAATCCCAGCCTGTGAATTCTGCTCTTTATCTCAGCCAAAGGAGATTTCCAATCAGAGTAGCTGTTCTGCAGCACCATGCTGTAGGAGGCACCTTCCATAGGTCTTCTGGACACAACCTCCAGCCACCTTCTTACATAGAACAGGTGTATCCCATTTGGGACCCCCTTCCCATATGGGACAGGCAGTGCTCTGAACATTTGGGAGAGCTGAGGCAAACCTAAGCTTAAGGTGCCATGTAGTCCCATAAAGGAAGCAGTGGTCTAGGATTAAGGAGACTCAATAGGAAACTGCAAAGAACCTCTAAGTAAACATACTCTAATAAACATACCCTAAGTAAATATACCCTCTAAGAGCAAAACAAACTGTACAGTGAAAACTGGAAAAAAATAACTAATCCTGCAATGTGACGCTATAGCTGTATGTCCACAAGAAACAACAGCAAACAAGGAACAATGACCTCCCAAACAGACAAAGCAAGGAGCCAGTGACTGTTCCTAATGAGATGGTGATGTGTGAGCTCTCAGATCAATAATTCAAAATAGCAATTCTAAGGAAACTCAGGGAACTCCAAGATAACACAGAAAAGCAATTCAGAAATTTATCAAAGAAATTTAAGAAAGAGATCAAAATAATAATAAAAAATCAAACAGAAATCCTGGAACCAAGAAATACATTTGCTAAACTGTAAAATACATTAGAGATTCTCAAAAACAGAATGAATCAAGCAGAATGAAGAATCAGTAACCTCAAAGACAGGCTATTTGAAAATACACAGAGGAGAAAAAAGAAAAATAATGAAAGGAATTAAGAATACTTACAAGATATAGAGAATAACCTCAAACAAAACAAAATGAAAACAAATCTAAGAGTCACTGGAATTCAAGAAAGTTGTGAAAAAGGAAGAAGTAGAAAGCTTATTCAAAAAAATGATAATAGAAACCTTTTAAGGCCTAGCGGAACATCAGGTACAGGAAGGTCAGAGACCTCTGCTCAGCCTTCCTTAGCACTTCAATCCATAAATAGAGTCAATACTTGTTTGCTTTTACTTAGAAAAACCAGCAGTACACCTTGACTGTAATGTCACAAGGGTTTACTGAAGGCCCTTTGTATTTTTCCCCAATATTGCATCAGGACTTAATACCCCTATAGTTTCTTCAAAATTCTGCTGTTACTTAGTATATAGATGATCTGTTCTTAGGCTCTCCCATTAAGAGTGCTATAAAATGGACTAAATTTACCTTTTACAGCAACTCACATATAAGGGTCACAAGGCTTCGATGAAAAAACTTCAGTTTTCAAAAGAGCAAGTCCATTATGACTTGACGGCTAAAGGGATTTCCCTCTTGCCTGAAAGAATAAAACTATTTAAAGTTTTCCTCAGCTTGTAACCAGAAGACAATTAAGAAGTTTTCTTGGACTTGCAGGATATTGCCAATTCTGTGTCTTGCATTTTTTCTGAATGGCCTCACCATTGTAAGAGCTTGATAGAAACACAGTACCAGAGCCTTTACCTTGGGAAGACAGTCATGAGCAGGCTTTTAACCAAATGAATTTTGCCTTACGACAGCCTCCAGCTTTGGGACTTCCAAATTACACTAAACCTTTTACCTTGTTTGTCCATGAATGTAACAATCAGGAATTAGGAGCTCTTATCCAAGAACGTAGAGGAAAACATAGGCCCATTGCATATTATAGCCCTCAATTAGACCTAGTAGTGAAGGTACATGCTAATTGTTTAAAAGCAGCTGCAGCCAAGTTGATAGAAGCTTCATCTGAGCTGATTTTAGGGAATAAACTTAATTTGCAAGTCCCACATACTGTGGGAAGTCCTTTACATGCCAACCAAACTCAGTATTTTTCAGAAAGTAGACCAACATCTTGTTAAATTAATCTCCTTCTAATCTCTATTTAAAATTCTGCAACATACTTAACTCTGCTATTCCATTACTCCTGTCTGATGATGGTGAAGCCTATAATTTTGTAAGGATAATATCAGAAATAGTTGCCTCTTGTGTTGATTTATGAGATACACCATTGGATAATCATAAGTTTTTGTCAATGAGCCCTGTGCCAAAAATTCAGAAGGAAAATATTGGGCAGGGTATGCCATTGCCACCCAAAATAAGTTGAGAGAGAAGGGAGCTCTTCCTCAATTTAAGTCAGCTCAGGACATGGAGCTTTTTGCCCCCACCTGAGCTTGTCATATAGCTGAGGGCAAGTCAGTAAATATTTATGCAGATGGCTGATATACCTTTGGCATAGCACACAATTTTGGTATGTTATAGAAACACCAAAGGTTTCTCATTTCTAGTGGGAACTTCATCAAAAATAGACTCCATGCGGATGAACTCCTTTCCACTATCCTGTTACCATCACAGATTGTCATTATTAAGATTGACTCTCATGCATATAAAACTGAACCTGAACATAAAACAGAATTCTCTAGTAGGTTTTTATGCTCAATCGTTTAGTGCTGGAACGGTTAGGGTATGCTTTCTGAATGAACCTCCTAAGATCGATCCAAGTCAACTTCCTTATGATGACCTATTTAGAAAACAGTATAATGCACTTGATTTGGAGAAACAAAAGTGATCTCTGAAAGGACACAAATTCATTGTTAAAAAAGGATCCAAATTCATTGTTAAGCATGGACTCACAGAGGGCCCAGATGGCCACCTGGTCCTTCCTGAGTCTTTGAAGCTTCTATTGTTAAAAGCTATGCACTTCACAACTCAACATGGAAAAGACAAAGTGATACAAGTTATGAAAAAATATTGTTGGGGTTACTGTGCTAACATTTCTAAAATGGTTCATAACCAATATTTTGGTTTGTCAAACTTATAATCCTGGGAAAACAATCAAAACTTCAGGTAGCATATTCCTACCATAAGATGGGCTATTTGAACACTTAAAGATGGATTTTATTCAGTTGCCACTCTCAGTGGGGTATTAGTATGTTCTTGTAATAGTCTGTGTGTTTCCTGGTTGGTAGAGGCTTTCCTATGTAGGAAAGCTGGTGCTGTAACAGTAACTAAGAAATTATTGGAAAATGTGTTTCCTTAAGGGGCATTCCTAGAGAAATCTCTAGCAGTAGGGGAACTCATTTTACTGGGCAATTTATAAAGCAATTAAAGAATGTATTGTGAACATAATGGCATTATCATTGTTTCTATCATCCTCAGTCTTCTGGAAAGGTTGAAAGAACAAATGGCATATTAGAACTGAAATTGGCAATGCTAACTAAGTCAATTGCATTTTCTTGGCCTAAGACACTGCTGTTGGCTTTAATGGTAATCAGATTCACTCTGACTAGAAATCGTAAGTTGAGCTCTTAGGAAACAGTCACTGGAAAACCTATGTCCCTAATAATAAAAGCTCACACATTCCTTGCTCTCTTAAACTCTGATATGATTAAATGCTGCAAGGCTTTAAGCATTATGCCAAAGTGTATTTTCACCAGGTAAAAAAAGCTTTACATGATCCACCATCTGAGGTCAATCAAATACTTCGTGGTCTAGAACTTGGAGATTGGGTGTTTTGGAAATAACATCAGAGTAAGACTGCCCCTGACCCCTATTGGAAGGGACCATATCAAGTTTTTCTCACCACTGACACTGCAATGAAGGCCTTAAATCCTAGGTCCACGTTGCAATTCAAAAGAGCCCTTTCAGATTCTTGGAACAGTACTCCTGTTGGGACTTTAAGGTAAAGCTGACCATGGAAATTTCTCCCTAGAAGTAAATGGCATCTTAAATGTTAACAGCTTTCTCAAATTCACAGATCAAGACTTCTGTACCATCATGAAAACGTTATGCTTTTGTCTTTTTCCCTCATTTTCTGCTGCCCTGATGCTTTTTTCCTACAGGAAGATTCATGAGGCCATAATCAGTGGATGGCTGTAGCTCAAGCTTGTATTCTAGCATAAAACTAGAACAATTGCTGGGTTTGTGGGCTAATGCCAAAAAATCAGGAAACAGTCCCACTGATGCCAATGCCTCTCTGCATTCTCAATGACAATCACTGTGAGATGCCAGAAGAAGAGTGGAAAGCTATCTTTGGTGTTCTAAATATCACTGCTACTTGCTTTCCAGTACTCACTAGAAACAACATTCTATCTTTTATATTTAATAACCTGATCATTACCAAATATAGGAAACCTATCCAAGTAATGTCTGCAAAATGTATTTTGTGCTTCCTGGCATCACACACTCAAGGCCTGGGAATTATCCGTGTGGGTACAAGTAATCGCTCATAGAAAGTCACTAGATTAAATCCAGTAGGTCCCCCTGCCCCATCCCCCTGTTTTTTTTTTTTTTTTGTAACTAAATATGGTTATACATCCTTACAACGTTTTATGAAAGGGCCACAAAAAAGTAAATTTTCCACTGGACTTTGTTCAGGAGCTAGGCAGAACAAGGGTGAAAAATTTAACTAACCCTTGCTCAAATACAACTAGATGGCCCTCTTTTCCAATCCCTTAGGGACTATATTTGGTCTGCACAGAATTTCATTCTACCTCCTTGCTGGTTTGGATCTTGCTATTTGGTCTGGCTCACTCCTGCCTTTTAAATAGCTTCTCGTGAGAGTTCCTGTAATAGCTCCTATGATCAGAAACCAAAGCAGTCAATAACTGAAATTAGCACCAATCTTGAAATAGATGAAAGATAAATTAGATTCTACTGAGGAGACATTCCATCGTGGTTCCTGGGGACTCACTCTTGGTGGTAGTGGGTACTAGTTGTATGGAATTTAAAGCTAATTCATAAATTGAGAGAAATCTTGAAGTTTATAGCCAATCAGACTTCCCACGGTTTGAGGTGCGTAGGAGCCACTCTCTGAAAGGTAAATGATACCATAAGTGTTCAACAAAAACACATCATGCAGCTTTATGTTTCCTTTTAGCTCAAGTTGAGGCCTTATGTTTGCTATTGAACAAAACCGAATGTTGGACCTATCTTTCCCCTAATTTTATTACTACAGAAGGCTTAATTAAAAATCTGGTAGATACTATTCTTTCCTTAGACACTGCCACCAAATAAATTAAGGAAATCTTTCAAGAGAAAGGAACATAGAATGTGTTCGTGGGAACAACTAACAGTTGGTTTGCAGATATCCTAAATGGTGGATAGCAACCTGGTGTTTTCCAAAGTTTTCTTATCTTTATATTTCTTCTGGTAGGTCTCCAGGTTATTATAACTTGTGTGACCAGGATAACAACAAAAATGGGTACCTCTTTAAATCAGAACATTTTACAGTGAATGATGGTCCTTAATTACCATGGCACCCTGAACAAAGACTATGACCAATTAGACTCAAATACTGTTGAACTGCCTATATTGCTGAACTTTGACTTGTTTGATTTGACTTGGTTAATTTCATAAGAAATCTGTTTAAGAAGTACACTTTGGTTTTTTGATATTACACTCTTGATAGTAATTTTAATAGTCCCCCTGGTAACACTGTATCCTCTCAAGTCTTAAATGTTTTGTATTTAGCCATCCATTGAGTATTGAATGGTCTTATGATTTTACTTTGACTAGATCAGCAAGAACATAAAGAATTATTCAACTGGTGTGACACTGTGACGTGTGAATTCCACAATGAGACCAAAGAAGATGTGTGAATTTCATACTGAGACCAAATAAGTTATTTATGATGGTGACAGAGAGTGGCACCAATGTCCGAAGTTTTGGTTAATATCTAAAGTTGAGAGGCTGACCAAAAGGAGGGAAATTGTTAAATCAAACCAAAGTCTGGCTTGAGAAAGCCTCCATATTTGCATACTTGAGTTCTTATGTATGAATCACAACCTAACCTAGCACATATACAAACTGAAAACCTCACTTAGGAGAATGTGTCTGTAATAGTAGCTGACTTTCAGCCAATCATGACAGTCATACTTCAGCCACTCACAGTCAGTCAGTGATTTAAATGGTGTTCAAATAAGGCAAACACCAAGCTGCAACCAATCCAGCTGTTTCTGAACCTCACTTCTGTTTTCTGCATGTCACTTTCCTTTTTCTCTTCATAAATCTTATCCCACCATGTGGCAGCCCCAGTGGCCGCCTGATTCACAAGTCGTTTTTGTATTTTTTCTTGCTCACTTAAACTCTGTTAAATTTAATTTGTCTAAAGTTTTTCTTTTAATACAAGAGAAAAACAAACAGAGGTTTACTAACATGTATATTTCATATATACCTGAGAGAAAACTCAGGGAAAGACTAACTCTTAAAGAGGTAGCTTAGAATGGTGGCTTATGCGGTGTCTTCAACAAAGAACAAAACATTTTTAGAGAACTGGCAACATAAAGCAGAAGGACCTTGACTCTCTAGGGGCAGAAAATTGTGAGGTGGGAAATATGTGGGAAACTGATGGTAGATAGAGGCTAGTCAGTAATTTTTTTTGTTTGTTTTTGAGATGGAGTTTTGGTCTTGCTGCCCAGGCTAGAGTTCAATGGCGCAATCTTGGCTCACTGCAACCTCCACCTCCCCGGTTCAAGGGATTCTCCTGCCTCAGCCTCCCAAGTAGCTGGGATTACAGGCACCCACCACCACACCAGACTAATTTTGTATTTTTAAAAGAGATGGGGTTTCTCCATGTTGGTCAGGCTGGTCTCGAACTGCCAACCCCAGGTGATCTGCTCACTTTGGCCTCCCAAAGTGCTGGGATTACAGGCATGAGCCACCATGCCTAGCCCCTTGTCAGTAAATTTTTTAACATGGATTCCTTTGGTGCCATCTCTAGGCTGATAAAGATCACCTCTGGTGATCAAACTTTGTTATACCTGGTAGAAATGCGGAGGAAGGGACACCTTTGTTTCCTTAATGCCTTGCTTTTAGGCAATTAGGAAGAGGGCAGATATTTTGTTTTTGTATCTGTTTCTTCTCAATTGCTTTCCACTCAAAATAATCCCTACATCAAAGTGGTATATTTTGGGGAGGCAGACTCTGCTGTCCTTTAACGTTAGGCACAGATCATTTTTGGAAAAGACCAAGAAGTATATGTTCTGAATTCTAATAAAAATGGAAGAAAATACAATTATTAAAAATCACCGGGAGCCAAGATGGCTGAATAGGAACAGCTCCAGTCTACAGCTCCCAGCGTGAGTGACGCAGAAGATGAGTGATTTCTGCATTTCCAACTGAGGTACCAGATTCATCTCACTGGGGAGTGTCGGAAAGTGGGTGCAGGACAGTGGGTGCAGTGCATCGAGCGTGAGCCGAAGCAGGGCGAAGCATCGCCTCACTCGGGAAGTGCAAGGTGTCAGGGAATTCCCTTTCCTAGTCAAAGAAAGGAGTGACAGATGGCATCTGGAAAATTGGGTCACTCCCACCCTAATACTGCACTTTTCCAATGGTCTTAGCAAACGGCACACCAGAAGATTATATCCTGAGCATGGCTCGGAGGGTCCTATGCCCACGGAGTCTTGCTGATTGCTAGCACAGCAGTCTGAGATCAAACTGCAAGGTGGCAGCGAGGCTGGGGGAGGGGTGCCCACCATTGCTGAGGCTTGAGTAGGTAAACAACGTAGCCGGGAAGCTCGAACTGGGTGGAGCCCACCGCAGCTCAAGGAGGCCTGCCTGCCTCTGTAGACTCCACCTCTGGGGGCAGGGCATAGCCAAACAAAAGGCAGCAGAAACCTCTGCAGACTTAAATGTCCCTGTCTGACAGCTTTGAAGAGAGTAGTGATTCTCCCAGCATGCAGCTGGAGATCTGAGAATGGAGAGATTGCCTCCTCAAGTGGGTCCCAGACCCCCGAGTAGCCTAACTGGGAGGTACACCCCAGTAGGGGCAGACTGACACCTCACACAGCCGGGTACTCCTCTGAGACAAAACTTCCAGAGGAACGATCAGGCAGCAACATTTGCTGTTCACCAATATCCGCTGTTCTGCAGCCTCCACTGCTGATACCCAGGCAAACAGGGTCTGGAGTGGACCTCCAGCAAACTCCAACAGACCTGCAGCTGAGGGTCCTGACTATTAGAAAGAAAACTAACAAACAGAAAGGACATCCACCCCAAAATCCCATCTGTACATCACCATCATCAAAGACCAAAGGTAGGTAAAACCACAAAGATGGGGAAAAAAACAGAGCAGAAAAACTGGAAACTCTAAAAATCAGAGTGCCTCTCCTCCTCCAAAGGAATGCAGCTCCTCACCAGCAATGGAACAAAGCTGGATGGAGAAAGACTTTGATGAGTTGAGAGAAGAAGGCTTCAGATGATCAAACTATTCTGAGCTAAAGGAGGAAGTTTCAACCCATGGCAAAGAAGTTAAAAACCTTGAAAAAAAATTAGACGAATGGCTAACTAGAATAACCAATGCAGAGAAGTCCTCAAAGGACCTGATGGAGCTGAAAACCATGGCACGAGAACTACGTGATGAATGCACAAGCCTCAGTAGCCGATTCAATCAACTGGAAGAAAGGGTATCAGTGATGGAAGATCAAATGAATGAAATAAAGCAATAAGAGAAGTTTAGAGAAAAAAGAATAAAAAGAAACGAACAAAGCCTCCAAGAAATATGGGACTATGTGAAAAGACCAAATCTACGTCTGATTGGTGTACCTGAAAGTGATGGGGAGAATGGAACCAAGTTGGAAAACACTTTTTGGGATATTTTCCAGGAGAACTTCCCCAATCTAGAAAGGCAGGCCAACATTCAGATTCAGGAAATACAGAGAACACCACAAAGATACTCCTCGAGAAGAGCAACTCCAAGACACATAATTGTCAGATTCACCAAAGTTGAAATGAAGGAAAAAATGTTAAGGGCAGCCAGAGAGAAAGGTTGGGTTACCCACAAAGGGAAGCCCATCAGACTAACAGCTGATCTCTCGGCAGAAACTCTACAAGCCAGAAGACAGTTGGGGACAATATTCAACATTCTTAAAGAAAAGAATTTTCAACCCAGAATTTCATATCCAGCCAAACTAAGCTTCATAAGTGAAGGAGAAAAAAAATCCTTTACAGACGAGCAAATGCTGAGATTTTGTCACCACCAGGACTGCCCTAAAAGAGCTCCTGAAGGAAGCACTAAACATGGAAAGGAACAACCAGTAGCAGCCAATGCAAAAACATGCCAAATTGTAAAGACCATCGAGGCTAGGAAGAAACTGCATCAACTAATGAGCAAAATAACCAGCTAACATCATAATGACAGGATCAAATTCACACATAACAATATTAACCTTAAATGTAAATGGACTAAATGCTCCAATTAAAAGACACAGACTGGCAAATTGGATAAAGAGTCAAGACCCATCAGTGTGCTGTATTCAGGAAACCCATCTCACGTGCAGAGACACACATAGGCTCAAAATAAAGGGATGGAGGAAGATCTACCAAGCCAATGGAAAACAAAAAAAGGCAGGGGTTGCAATCCTAGTCTCTGATAAAACAGCCTTTAAACCAACAAAGATCAAAAGAGACAAAGAAGGCCATTACATAATGGTAAAGGGATCAATTCAACAAGAAGAGCTAACTATCCTAAATATATATGCACCCAATACAGGAGCACCCAGATTCATAAAGCAAGTCCTTAGAGACCTAGAAAGAGACTTAGACTCCCACACAATAATAATGGGAGACTTTAACACCCCACTGTCAACATTAGACAGATCGACGAAACAGAAAGTTAACAAGGATATCCAGGAATTGAATTTAGCTCTGCACCAAGTGGACTTAATAGACATCTGTGGAACTCTCCATCCCAAATCAACAGAATATACATTCTTTTCAGCACCACACCTATTCCAAAACTGACCACATAGTTGGAAGTAAAGCTCTCCTCAGCAAATGTAAAAGAAGAGAAATTATAACAAACTATCTCTCAGACCACAGTGCAATCAAACTAGAACTCAGGATTAAGAAACTCACTCAAAACCGCTCAACTACATGGAAACTGAACAACCTGCTCCTGAATGACTACTGGGTACATAACGAAATGAAGGCAGAAATAAAGATGTTCTTTGAAACCAAGGAGAACAGAGACACAACATACCAGAATCTCTGGGACACCTTCAAAGCAGTGTGTAGAGGGAAATTTATAGCACTAAATGCCCACAAGAGAAAGCAGGAAAGATCTAAAATTGACACCCTAACATCACAATTAAAAGAACTTGAAAAGCAAGAGCAAACACATTCAAAAGCTAGCAGAAGGTAAGAAATAAGTAAGATCAGAGCAGAACTGATGGAAATAGAGACACAAAAAACCCTTCAAAAAATCAACGAATCCAGGAGCTGGTTTTTTGAAAAGATCAACAAAATTGATAGACTGCTAGCAAGACGAATAAAGAAGAAAAGAGAGAAGAATCCAATAGATGCAATAAAAAGTGATAAAGGAGATATCACCACTGATCCCACAGAAATACAAACTACCATCAGAGAATACTATAAATGCCTCTCCGCAAATAAACTAGAAAATCTAGAGGAAATGGATAAATTCCTTGACACATACACCCTCCCAAGACTAAACCAGGAAGAATTTGAATCTCTGTATAGACCAATAACAGGCTCTGAAATTGAGGCAATAATTAATGGCTTACCCACCAAAAAAAGTCCAGGACCAGATGGATTCACAGCCGAATTCTACCATAGGTACAGGAGCAGATGGTACCATTCCTTCTGAAACTATTCCAAGCAATAGAAAAAGAGGGAATCCTCCCTAACTCATTTTATGAGGCCAGCAACATCCTGATACCAAAGCCGGGCAGAGACACAACAAAAAAAGATAATTTTAGACCAATATTCCTGATGAACATTGATGCAAAAATCCTCAGTAAAATACAGGCAAACCGAATCCAGCAGCACATCGAAAAGCTTATCCACCGTGATCAAATGGGCTTCATCCCTCGGATGCAAGGCTGGTTCAATGTATGCAAATCAATAAACGTAATCCAGCATATAAACAGAACCAACTACAAAAAACACGATTATCTCAATAGTTGCAGAAAAGGCCTTTGACAAAATTCAACAACGCTTCATGCTAAAAACTCTCAATAAATTAGGTATTGGTGGGACATATCTCAAAATAATAAGCGCTATCTATGACAAACCCACAGCCAGTATCATACTGAATGGACAAAAACTGGAAGTATTCCCTTTGAAAACTGGCACAAGACAGGGATGCCCTCTCTCACCACTCCTATTCAACATAGGGTTGGAAGTTCTGGCCAGGGCAATCAGGCAGGAGAAGGAAATAAAGGGTATTCAATTAGGAAAAGAGGAAGTCAAATTGTCCCTGTTTGCAGATGACATGATTGTATATCTAGAAAACCCCATCATCTCAGCCCAAAATCTCCTTAAGCTGATAGGCAACTTCAGCAAAGTCTCAGGATACAAAATCAATGTGCAAAAATGACAAGCATTCTTATACACCAATAACAGACAAACAGAGAGCCAAATCATGAGTGAACTCCCATTCACAATTGCTTCAAAGAGAATAAAATACCTAAGAATCCAACTTACAAGGGACGTGAAGGACCTCTTCAAGGAGAACTACAAACCATTGCTCAATGAAATAAAAGAGGATACAAACAAATGGAAGAATATTCCATGCTCATGGGTAGGAAGAATCAATATTGTGAAAATGGCCATACTGCCCAAGGTAGATTATAGATTCAATGCCATCCCCATCAAGCTACAAATGACTTTCTTCACAGAATTGGAAAAAACTACTTTAAAGTTCATATGGAACCAAAAAAGAGTCCACATCGCCAAGTCAATCCTAAGCCAAAAGAACAAAGCTGGAGGCATCACGCTACCTGACTTCAAACTATACTACAAGCCTACAGTAACCAAAACAGCATGGTACTGGTACCAAAACAGAGATATAGACCAATGGAACAGAACAGAGCCCTCAGAAATAATGCCACATATCTACAACTATCTGAACTTTGACAAACCTGACAAAAACAAGCAATGGGGAAGGATTCCCTATTTAATAAATGGTGCTGGGAAAACTGGCTAGCCATATGTAGAAAGCTGAAACTGGATCCCTTCCTTACACCTTATACAAAAATTAATTCAAGATGGATTAAAGACTTAAATGTTAGACCTAAAACCATAAAAACCCTAGAAGAAAACCTAGGCAATACATTCAGGACATAGGCATGGGAAGGACTTCATGTCTAAAACACCAAAAGCCATGGCAACAAAAGCCAAAATTGACAAATGGGATCTAATTAAACTAAAGAGCTTCTGCACAGCAAAAGAAACTACCATCAGAGTGAAGAGGCAACCTACAAAATGGGAGAAAATTTTTGCAATCTACTCATCTGATAAACGGCTAATATCCAGAATCTACAATGAACTCAACCAAATTTACAGGAAAAAGACAAACAACCCCATCAAAAAGTGGGCAAAGGATATGAACAGACACTTCTCAAAAGAAGACATTTATGCAGCCAAAAGACACATGAAAAAATGCTCATCACTGGCCATCAGAGAAATGCAAATCAAAACCACAATGAGATACCATCTCACACCGGTTAGAATGGCGATCATTAAAAAGTCAGGAAACAACAGGTGCTGGAGAGGATGTGGAGAAATAGGAACACTTTTACACTGTTGGTGGGACTGTAAACTAGTTCAACCATTGTGGAAGTCAGTGTGGCTATTCCTCAGGGATCTAGAACTAGAAATGCCATTTGACCCAGCCATCCCATTACTGGGTATATACTCAAAGGATTATAAATCATGCTGCTATAAAGACACATGCACATGTATATTTATTGTGGAACTATTCACAATAGCAAAGACTTGGAGCCAACCCAAATGTCCAACAATGATAGACTGGATTAAGAAAATGTGGCACATATACACCATGGAATACTATGCAGCCATAAAAAATGATGAGTTCATATCCTTTGTAGGGACATGGATGAAATTGGAAACCATCATTCTCAGTAAACTATCGCAAGAACAAAAAACCAAACACCGCATGTTCTCACTCATAGGTGGGAATTGAACAATGAGATCACATGGACACAGGAAGGGGAATATCACACTCTGGGGACTGTGGTGGGGTCGGGGGAGGGGGGAGGGATAGCATTGGGAGATATACCTAATGCTAGATGACACATTAGTGGGTGCAGCGCACCAGCATGGCACATGTATACATATGTAACTAACCTGCACAATGTGCACATGTACCCTAAAACTTAGAGTATAATAAAAAAAAAAAAAAAAAAAAAAAAAAAGAAAATGTGGCACATATACACCATGGAATACTATGCAGCCATAAAAAATGATGAGTTCATGTCCTTTGTAGGGACATGGATGAAGCTGGAAACCATCATTCTCAGTAAATTATCACAAGGACAAAAAACCAAACACCGCATGTTCTCACTCGTAGATAGGAATTGAATAATTAGAACACATGGACACAGGAAGGGGAACATCACACACCGGGGCCTGTTGTGGGGTGGGGGCAGGGGGGCTGATAGCATTAGGAGATATGCCTAATGTTAAATGACGAGTTAATGGGTGCAGCACACCAACACGGCACATGTATACATATGTAACAAACCTACACGTTGTGCTCATGTACCCTAAAACTTAAAGTATAATAAAAAACAATCACCTAGAATGTATTTCACATTTTTAATTCTTTCTCAGGGATATTATAAAAATGCAGTTGTTCCATTTTTGAAAAATAATATTTCCTGCTGTTGTTAAAAGGGAGTAATGTTGGCAGTAATCACATCAGTGTTATTTTTCATCAAATGTGAGTACTCTCAGACTAGTTATTAGCAAAGTCAAGCTGATATTCCAGGAACCAATGAAGTAGATACTTCTGGAAATGCAGACTAAAGATAGCTGGAGGAGTTGGTCTTCCGCCTTTCTGGAATACCCACTCCTCTAGCCCTACCATACTGTCCTCCCTATCTGTGTGGCTTGCAATATTGCTCAAAGCTTAACTTTTATTACAGATACCTCCTCTGCCATGATGCCTTTTCTGATCTTCCCCAGCGGCCTGTTACTTCTCTGTCTCTAGATTCATAGCTCTAGAGAGTTATGTATTTGTCTTATGGCATTTACATTCTGCCTTGGTTATGGTATTTGTGTTCTTGTCAAGACTCCCTCTTGCAAGCTACGTCCCATCCTAAAATCCTTATTTGTCCTGTTGTACTTAGCCAACATGAAGTTGGCATCTAATATTTGTGATATTGAATCAAATAGGGGGAAAAATCCCAAACCTAATTGGTTTATTTAAATACTCTCATATAGAGGACAATTTGTAGAAACAAAATGGGCATCTGAGGACAGTCCCCTGAGTGTTTTGTGTTGTGTTGGTGTTAGCATTAATGGTCTCTCCAGGACACCACTTTATACCCAAGGAAGAATTTAAAATATGTCATTCCATCATTGGGTTTTTATGAGGCAATGCTAATTTAACTAGCAAAATACTTTCCACTATTTTGATTGCATGAACTGCTTTTTTAGTGTATTATTTTGGGGTGTGTAAATTTTTGGCAACTGTCTGGATTAAGCAAACAAAAACTAAGAATGCTATGAAATAAGACCACTTATAAGGCTCATTACATTTTGACTTTGAGCAACTATCTAATTACCTTAAGTTCAAAGCTAATTACGGAATTCCATGTAATAATGCTTTACATTTGTCTAGTGCTCAGATGTTTACAAAGTGCGTTCATCTGCAGAATTCATTCAACCAATCAACTAGTCAATTAGCAAATTAATCTTTTAACCGAAATTCCTTTAAAACCATTACATAATGAATATCAACAAGCTTGATTTGGGGATTCCTAAAATAAATAAGGGAAAGGTCTTGTTCTCCAAAGGCTTTCAGTTGAGTGAGGGGAGACAGAAATATAAACAAGTAAGTGGACTAAAATGTTGTGATTGAAGTCTGTATACACCACAGTGGGGTCACAAGGCAGGCAGTGGGGGCTGTTCTTATTAGAAACATATAGAGTGAAGTCCTATTTGATTCTTACTAATGTTACTGTTGTCCGCAGTTGGCAGTTGAGGGATCCAACTCAGAGAAGTAAAGCATTTTTTTTCTGAGGTGACCCTACTCTTAAGATTGCTGAAGTGAATTGTCCCACCCTACAGCATCTCTTCTCTACCCACACAGTTGCTACGATGTAAATCCTCATGTTCCAGCTGATATGAGAAAGAGAAGAAGGTAATACCAGTGAGCCTGAAATGGGGGATTATGTTTATTCAGAAAGAGCCTGTTTCCCAGAGTAACAAGAAAAACGACTTGATTGAAAATGTTACTCATCCAGAAAAGAAGCGAGAAAGGCAGACCCAAAGGCAGGGTTTTGAGCTGGAAACAGTGGCTTTGCTAAGATTTACAGGCCTGTGGGATTTCACAGTTGCATAAAGTATTAAGGAAAGTTATTTGAAAAATATTCAAATTACTTTGACATCATTTACCCCTAGGTAATATAGAAACTCATATTTTGGAGATTGGGCTTCTATTAACACAAACTTTTGAAAGGAATGGGGTTTATAAGGATGACCTATTTCTCCTGCTATCACCATCCCCAGACTCCAATTTAATTTTGTTTTTATTCTGGCCACTAAAAGCCACTAGTTTTTTCATGGGAAAGATGCTTCTCTTTAGTCATACATTTACCGTATGGTGCCAGATTTCACTAAGTTGGTGGCGTATTGATTTGCAAAGTTCCTTAAGAAGACATCCATGTGCATTTAAGATAACAATGGCAAAAGCAGCTTTGTATTGGTACATATTTTCTTTGTTCTCCAAAAGAACTCCTAGCATTGGATGTTAGAATGCAGCATTGCTTAAAGATGCCTAATATGAGCTAAAATTGCCCAGAAACTGTGATGGGAGGGGATTGGTCTTTATTTTCTTTCCCTCTGAATTTCATGTAATTACATGAGAATTGTGAGCTGGAGTGCTAAATTTTATAAATTACTAAATTTTAATACCAACAGTTAGGGAAGCAGGTATCTTAACTCACCTGAAAACAAGTTTCTATTTCTCCAATGGACTAAGCAGCTCCTTATTTTTCATGATCCCTTATAGGTTAATAAAGCTTTCAGATGATCTCCTCTGACTCTCAAGAACTCCTAGGGGAAGCATAGGACATATTATCTGCAAAAAATGTGTTTACACTAATGAAGAAACTGAAGCCCAGACTGAGGCTCTAGATAACAATGAGTTTTTTGTTATCCTCTGAACGAGTGCTGCTTAATTCTCCATATTATATTGCTTCTTTATAGAGAAATGCTCTCATGGTCATAGATGGTCCCTAACCCTGACCTATTCTTTTTCAAACACATGTGATTAGTTTCAAGGGAACCTGAATGACAAAATGGATAATTCAGTACCAGCCCATCATACTTACAAGAAAAGTAACAGAAATCATATAACCCGGTGGTACAATAGTTTGAATTACTTTAATATATAAAGAGCAGCAGCTAATTAAATTCAAAGCATCAAAAATTGTATATCTTTGACAGAGAACACCTGCATCAGAAGAGTTAGTTTGTATGAGCACAGCTCAGTAGGGATCCTCATTATAACACTGTATGCAGTTTAAATTGTAGGAAAAGGAAAGGAGGTGATATTACGAATATAAGCTCATTTTCTCAGGCTGCATGAACTTGGAGTTTTAAAAGGGGTCATATAAATGGTAATAACCCATATTTTTTGGCTTTTGATCCTTCTGGCTATTACAAACCTCTATGTCCTTTCTACCCACCCCCAGTGGAGTCCCCAGGGGTGGTGTGTCTGTGCTGGCTAGTTCTATCAACCACCCGTGAATTTCTGATGTTATTTCCCCCCCGCCCTGCTTCTGGCCTCATGTTGATAGGCGCGCTGCCTTCGGAGGGGTGATAGCCTTTGCTCTCAGTCAGTACCCTCTCCTGGTACCATTTTTGCCTATGCCTCTGATTTCTTTCTTGGAGTTCTTGATGTAAGCTGGGTGGAAGTGGGATAATGCCTTCTTCTCCCTTTGGGGATACACGCGGATCTCAAAGCAAGGTTTTTAGTATATATATATATATTTATTTTTAGATGTACAGCCTTCTCTCTTTTTAGTACTGAGATCTGAGGCCATGAGGGCAGGTATGGTATGGACAAAGCTGGAAAAAAGCTTAAATGCTGTGTTAAGACCATCACCTGGTCCTCCGTTTGGCTCCTCATGAAAACAGACTTTAGCTTTACTTGTTCCATTAGTTTGCCAGAGCGGCTCAGAATCCCAGCACTAAATAGAACCTAGACTCAAGCTTGGGCGTCCAAAAATGTCAGTATTTTGTGCTCAACCCAGGGCTGACTTTTTTCCCCTTCTATTTTCTGTTCTCTTTCTTGTATTCTTGACTTCTGATTCTTTGGTTAATTGAATTTCTTTTATCCTTGGTTTGTGAAAGCTGCTTTGAAAGCCAAAACTCCTTAGGTCAGGTCTATCTCACTGACAAAAGGGAAGGAATGAAGGAAAACCCACTGAAGCAGTTATGTATTTCCAATTAGAAGAGGGACATTCTATTTCCTTCTAGTGGTGAGTGACATCAAATCAGCTAAAAAAGGATATCATTACCTAGGGATAAGAAATAAGAACTCTGAAACTCAGTGATGTTGTACATATACAACAAAACAAATCTAAACTTGGATTAAAAAGCAGTGTTTAAAATTAACCCAGGGAGGCAGAGCTTGCTGAATTTGCATTTGTGGGTGGCAAGTATCTAGAGGCCCTGTTCTTGTTTTACTGTCTGGAGAGAGGTGAATGTCCCCTTTCTGAATTGGAACTGCTAAGAAAATTGCTGAGGAGCCACCCTCTCCCTTTATATTCCTGGCATCTCTTCAAGCTACCTCAAGCTCACGAAAATCGCAGAGGATCAGATGCCATCTGACAGTTTGCAAATTATTTGTTGGAAGGTGTTTCTCAACCAAGTAATACTTTTACTTTTATTTTTATTTTGTTTTCAGGTCAGACAGGTAATGTGTCAATGTCATAACAAAGTTCAAGGGTGGCACATCTCTCACACGTGCTTGAACACCCAGTCATCATGCTCATGAGCTACAAGAGGATCACTCAACCAAATAACACTTTTAGAAGGCAGAACAATGCAGTAATCTGGGTGCAGGAGGCCTGGAATTTCTCTTTTTTATTAACTGTGCCACCTCTTCAGGGTTAACTCCCTTCTCTACCTCCCTTGGTCTTTTCTTTTGTAAACAGGCTTCATCTACATGATCCCACCTTCTCCAAAATGCAGAGTCTACAATTGTGGAATAGGCCTTCCTACCCAGTGAGTTTCTTCAGACCCCAGTGGAAAGTTTCTAGTTGTGAGGGGAGATGTTTTCTCTTACATTTATAGAGCACCTCCTAGGTATCAGGTATTGTGCAAGGCACACTTTACGTGTGTCACTTAGTAGTGATGGCGATGATGATGATGATGATGATGATGACAAACACACTGCACATATTCTGTGCTAGACACTGTTCTAATCAGTTTACATATATTACCTGTCTAAATCCTCATCACAAACTCTATGGAGTTGGTACTATTATGATCTTCATTTTGCAAATGAAGAAATAAACAGATAAACAAAAGAGAGCCCAAGGTCCTAGAGCTGGCCTCAGTATTCACAAACAACATAACAGTTGTCCTATGTTTGTAGATGAGGAAATTGGGGTTCTAACTAACTATGGAAAACTGCCTGTGGTCACAGAGCAAGTAAGTAGCGCACCTGGAAATCAAACTCATATCAAAATCATTTCAGATCCCAAGCTCTTTCCACTTTGCTGCTTTGTCTTCCCAGAGGCATTTTTGCTTTGTTTTAAACCACACAGCATGGCACTTTTAATGAAATAAAAGTTTGCCAAATGAAAAGCAGATTAATGAGATATTTGGGATGCTTTGCAGTAAATAAGTCTCTTTCAGAATTCTCATCTTCTCCCATTCAACCTGCTAAAGCCATAACAATAACAATTACCTCAGCCTAGTTAAGGCAGTGTGGGAGTGAACCTCTTAATTTTATTGCTCAGGGTAGACACTGGAGACCAACAACATTTTCCTTTAGCTTGCTGAGGTACAGGTCAGAAATGGGACATATCAGGTGTTGGCTTTCCCCATCAACCACTTCTTGTTCCTCTTGCTTTAGCCATGTCTTGGAACACCATTAATTTAGGAGAGAAGTTGAGCTTAAAGTTGGCTCAACATTAAAAATATAATAAATGTCAATGCCAACCTGTTTGTCAAATAGATTGGACCTAGAGCTTCAACACGACTGTCTGGGACTTGAGGAGGGCATTTTTTTTTTTTTTAAATAATAGTTGATCTTAGATAATCCCTGAAAATCTTCAAACATCCCTTGTGAAAATGAGAGACCAGAACAGAAATGTGATTATTTCTAGATGATACACAACTGAACTTGAAGCCAGATGCTCACATTTATATTCAAGAAGAATGTGGGTGTCTACTTATGCTAGGTGTCGGGAATATGAGGGATATGAAGAAAAGCAAGTCTCAGTCCCTTCTTTATGAGCGAGTAATCTTTTTAAGGGAAATGAGATGTAAGCTGTAATAATCTGTGCTGTGAGGGAAGCATGCCATTTACTGCCTATTTACAAGTATTGTGTCAAGCGCTTTATACAGGAACATGGCAAGGTAAAGGGTATTATCCGCATTTCCAGGGAGGAGGGAAACTTGTGCTGGGCTGATGGCTTGTTTATTAGTGCAGCTGAAATTCAAACCCAGGTGGTTCTAATGCCAGACTTGTGCTCTTTCTCCTACATTTTGCTATCAACCAAACAGAATATTATCTGGCAATTAATGGTTTAACTTATTAGGCATGCCTTCACAGGAGTTAAAGGTTTATGTAGGTAGCTCACCAAGTTGCATGACATTTTGAGACAATTATTTTTGACCTGAGGAGATTTGGAAGACTCTTGAGCAAATCAAATCTAGAAATCAAAGCAAATATGTAATAAACATTTAACAAATATTAGGTATTATTATTGTTGTCAATGTTGCATTAAGATTAGGCTGGCATAAAACATTAGAATCTGTTCAGTGCATGGAACAATTACATTAAACACAAGAGTATACTCTATCACCTACTCAAGAATAGGATAAAGAAATAACCATGAAACCAGGTGGTAAGAGTTTCTACAGCACTGATTGCAAATATTTATCTTTGTGGCCCCAGTAATTTTGAGAGCTGTACATAGTGGGTCCTCAATAAATGCTGAATAAATGAATGTTTTATTTTGCTGATTTTTAAAAGATTTTTCTACTTATAAAAAATAAAAGGAAAGTACACAACAAAACCTTTCACCCATTTATTGTGCCTTTATGTTTCTGGGCTAAGGCTTATGGATGGTCTTCAGGTTGGGGATAGAAGAGTCCTAGTTATCATTTGGCTAGATTACTTGGGAATAAATAATGGTTTTGAATTTTGACTTGGCTACTTCAAAATGCCTAGATCAGGTAAGCAAGAGTTAATGTGATGTGTATACCAAAGAACTAGTCTTAGATGAAGTATTTACGATGGAGAAAGTAAGAATACAACTCTTACTTTGTTTTGGTCAGGGCTTAGTTGGAATGTCGTGGGCAGTTGTGGGAAATGTACATTAAGACAAATATAAAGCAACTAGGACACATTTAGGGGAAACTTGGATGGCAACAGGCTAATAAAATCTGAATGCTTGGAGGATAGGACTGTGTAGCTTATGAAAAGACTTAAAGGGCTGAGATAATAGTCTTGAGATATTAGGAGGGCTGACTTATGGAAGAGGAATGTAGACTTGTTCTCTGTGGCCCCAAAGGAAGCAACTAGAAACAACAGACTCTGGGAAGTAGATTTGGCCTTACAAAGAAAAGTTTTCTATCATACTTGCCCAGAGATATAGTTTTCTTTAGAAAGTGGTGAATTACCAGCCCCTGAAAGTGTGTGAATATTTGCCAGGTAACTACTTGGTGGAGCCATTGTAGAGGAAATTCAAGGGTAGCATGGGGACTGGATTTCACAAACACCAGAGTCCTTCCCAATCCTGAGCATCTCAGCAACTGCTGGATTATCTTTCCAGGCTTTGCCTCCACCTCAATGAGGTGGGACTGGTCACCAGGGTTGTGATATACTTTTGGGGGAAGAATGATGGATGGCAGGAGATGGAAAGAATCCACAGTGATAGAGCAGTTGCTTTGTCCATTCTAATTCTGGTCTGCCATTTTTTATTTTGACTTTTCTATACACTGCACACACCTGCTTTAGACTGTGGGAACTAGGAGGCCCAGAGACTACAACAATGTAATTTGTGATCTTCAACTTAGAACTTCAATATGTCATGCAATTGGGTTCTTAGAAATGTTATTTGACAATGATGTTATCAGGTATTAAATATTGTCAGGCTTCAATGGTATGACAGTCTAACTTGGCTACTCTAATTTTAGGTTTATAAAACTTGTGGCTGCTTCCTTTCTCTGGAGGAAGACAGAACTTGAGTCATTTCCAAAATTGGAATGAGATAGAAATTTTGGGACACCTGAAAGACAGAGAACCAATAAAAAGGTTCCACACATCCAAGCAGTCTTAAAAATTACCCACATGGTAGATGCACTGCTCCCAGCTCTGTGTCAGGTTGGAATCTTCAACTGTTCAGATACTCTTAAGCTTCTCTGACCCCTTTCTACCCACTAAAGAACTGAATGTGAATGACAGAAGGTTTTTGCTCATAGGTTACAGCTAAACTCCTTTAGTGACAAACAGTAAGTATTCCAGCAAAAGGAGTAGGAGGTTGACCACTTTATTGTTTTTCTCAGGGCAGATATTGTGAGCTCATGCAGCATGTAATCTTCAGTGACCTCAGTTATTGCATCTAGGAACAAGTTTCTCTCTAATCATTTATAGAACTATAAACAGCAGGAAGGCATGATTTATAGACCAAGAGGCATTGTAAGCATGGGATTTGCCAGCAATTCATATTCCCCCTATCACTGTGGATACACTGCCCATCTCTTGGAAGGGACACTGAAACCTTGGCCAGAGCCTGTTAATCCCATTTACTTTCATGGATTGATGTCAAGGGTTCAGGTCCATGGAGATTTTCAAACTCTACAAAACAGGTTCAGTGGAAGATGTGGCTCACTTCAGAGTAATCCTTTTGGGCCAGGAGTTTTCCTAGGCACCAGCAATCATCTGAGCCTGCTTTGTAAGGGTTGCTTCTCTTGCTTCTCATTTATACACAGCAACAAAGTGTCTGATGGGAAGGTTTCCTTTACAATTGTGCGTTTTATCCAAATCTCTGGGCTCTTCTATAATTAAATTTTGATTGCTGTGTAGTTATTTGAACTTCTGTGAATCTCTGTTCTACTGAACAGTAATAATGTCTGTTAACATTATTAATTTGGCTATGGGTATATATATAAAATATGTTCCTTATGTTCTTAATACATTGCTTCATACAGGCACACCATCTCAGGAAGATCTAGTCTGTTGCAAATTTACGCAGAAGTTGAATATTTTTGTTGTTTTCTCACCACCACCGTCATCTACCTGCTAACCAGATACTATTCCCTCTCTTCCCTGTTTCCATACCTTTTATTCCATTAAGAAATGGCTTAATTCCTGACTTGTTTTCCTCTAATAATTGCTAAAACATTGGTTGATAATGGTTTAAATTAAGGTATCACTTCTCACAAAAGTACTTGTATTTTAATAAGAAACTTTGAAAGTTAAATATTCAAAGTGCTGACTCTCCATGGTTAAATTTTAGGCAGTGGAAAAAATAGTTTTTGGTAAAGATAAAGGGAGTTGGGTTTATTACGCAAGACAAGCAGCATTCTCACTTTGCTTCAGATACGTGGGTATGGTGACAGGCCTGACAAATCCCTCCTTTTACAGATAAATGCAGAGATTACACTTCTGTGCTTGTGTGAAGAAAAGTAAAAGAGAAACCAGTTGGGACATTGTTTGGGCCAGGGAGAAACAAGATCCAGTACTTTAGCAATTTATTTAGGCTTTCGTTTTTATTTTGAGGGGCAGGTGGCGAGTAGGGGAGCTTAAACTAAGTTCAAGGAGCTGTGGAGAATCCAGAGATGAGAAATTATAGCCTCTACTTTCCAAGGATTTATATCCTGCGTTGTGGGGAAATCAGATACGTTCATTAATAGACTGACCTGAAGGCAGAATATGAAAAGGGCTATCATAGAAGAACAACTAACATGCTATAGATATGTGTAGTCCAGGCTGGGCGTGGGGGCTTATGCCTGTAATCACAGCACTTTGGGAGGCCAAGGCAGGCCTGTGGTCAGGAGTTCAAGACCAGCCTGGCCAACATGGTGAAACCGTGTCTCTACTAAAAATACAAAAATTAGCTGGGTGTGGTGGCTGGTGCCTGTAATCCCAGCTACTTGGGAGGCTGAGGCAGGAGAATTGCTTGAACCCGGGAGGTGGAGGTTGCAGTGAGCTGAGATTGCGCCACTGCACTCTAGCCTGGGCAACAGAGTAAGACTCTGTCTCAAACAAAACATAACAAATCAAAACAAAACAAAAACCAAAACAAACCAAAAAACCAGAAATGTGTAGTCCATTCCCAATGGGATATCTGAAAAGGCTTCTTATAGAAAGTGGAACTTTAAAACAAATTGTACTTTGAACATTTGTGCTATTGAAAGAAATAACTTGAGCAAGGACCTGCACTCTATTTCAAGAGGGAAGCTTGGCTTACTTGAATAGAAGCTAAAGGGGAGTGTTGTGCTGTAGGCTAGAAAATTCAGTAAGGATTCCACCCCTGCAGGGCTTTGAATGTTTGGTTGAATATTTTAGACTTTATTCTCCTCATATTAGGAAGGCATTTAAGATTTGAGCAGGAAAGTAATATTCTTTAAAAAAGTGTCTCCAGCCAGGATGGATTAAAGTGATGGAATGATATGCTCATTTGTCCACCATTTGGGGAACGGTGGAAGACTACCTCTAATTCATAAGATGTGCATTGTATCTACAGAAGCAAAATAAGCAGCATATCTTAATGCATAATCTTCGTCCCATATATGTGTTCCTTTTTTATCTTGGAGCAAATATTTGGCAGCCAAGTCTTTAAAGTAATAAGAGCAAAACATATTTGGAATAATTGTTTCAGAACCATTTGTTATTTTGCACAGAACTATGAGCAAATAGGATTGAGCTAAGGCATTTACCATATTGTGTGGTTCTGCAGAGGCTGCCATGCTATTATATATACTTTTATCTTGGGTAAAACTCTGTGGCTGCTGCTGCCACAATTACTCAAAGACCCAATGTGTCAAAAAAATAATCGAAATAGCAAAGTGAGAGTCAAGAGTTTTTCCGTTGTTTCTTGAAGTCTTAGAAAGATTGTTTCCTTTGTATTCCCTATATTCAGAATATAAAAGCCTCTCAGAAATCCAATCTTTACTAGGTCAAACATTTCAAAATGGAGTAAAATTATTTTGCAGTTGCTTCTCAGTTTAAGGCATGTGCTTTAGGAACTTCCAATCTTCCTCCTATTTATGAATAAGAAAAACAAAACAAAAAACTAAGTAAATGCCATATAATCCCAGCTACATTGTCCTCATGTAAACATCCTAACACAGCATGATGGAAAAAGTTCCAAATTGTGATCTCAGAGATCTGAGTTCCAGCCCTAGTTTTGTGAAAATGTAGCTTGATGGGTTTGTCAAGTTTTGTATTTAATGATAAGGAATTAGGATTTTTTTATCTGGTGTCTGTGCTATTCAGCAGTACTGTTCACAAGCATTTAAAAAAATAGAGACAGGGTCTTGCTCTGTTGCCCAGGCTTCCGTGCAGTGGTGCAATCATAGTTTAGCTCACTGCAGCCTTGAACTCCTGGGCTCAAGTGATCCTCCTGCTTCCTTTCAAGTAATGGATTCTACAGGTGTGCACCACCACATCTGGCTAATTTTTTATTTTATTTTTTGTAGAGACAGGGGCTTGCTATGTTGCCCAGGCTGATCTTGAACTCCTGGTTTCAAGTGACTTTCCCACCTCTGCCTCCAAAGTGCTGGGATTTTAGGCATGAGCTTCTGTGCCTGGTCACAAGTATTTTTGACTCAGGACTCTAGAATATGGGGTGGCACATGATAAGATTGTATTTCCTGGTCAATGATTTTGAGTGGAAGTGATCTGTATGACTTCTAGGTCAGAACATTTAATGCCCAAGTGAGACTTTCCAGAATTCTCTTTCCTTCTGTAATGCCTGGAAATTTTCCAGAAAGTGGTGGTTTTATAAGCCTGGGTGCAAGAGTGAGGACAATGAGGAGCAAGCTCCCAGCTGACCCACAGAGAGCATGCACTAGGAGCAGGAAACCTTGGTTGTTTTAAGCCACTGAGATTTTTATGGGTTATTTGTTAACAATAGAATAAGCAAGCTTATTCTTGATTGACATAGTCTCTAAAGAGTGTAATGGTGATGAATGAGGGAAAGTTTCATACTTAAGAAGATCTTTTTTCTTAAATTAAAATTTTACAGACCTTTCTATAGATAGATGTTAAAACTACTTTTAGGGGAAGCAAGCTTCCTATCAGTGGGAATATTGAAATGTGGACTGGGCAACCTCTTGATGGAGGTTGCTATAGAAATTGAAGAATAAATGGTGGTTAGAGAATTTCAAAGTTCATTCTAGTTTAAAGGTATTTAGATTTGCAATTCCTGAGGGTAACTCTCGCACCTTACATTTTTGCAGCAGGTATAGTTTATAAAATGCTTTCTCCAGTGTTAACTTATTTGCTCTCCTGTGAATAGCAAGAAATTTTATCTACTGTGCCTTCCATGGAGACTTGCACAGGTGTTAAGAAAAATGTATTTTGTAGGAGAAGCAAGATAATTCTTTACCTGAATCCCATAGTGACCAACCTCAATCTTTTAAAAAAAATTTTTTTTTAATTTTTGTGAGTATATAGTAGGTATACATATTTATGGAGTACATGAGATGTTTTGCTATAGGCATACAATGTGGAATAATCACATCGTGGAAAATGAAATATCCATCCCCTCAAGCATTATCCCTGTGTTACAAACAATCCAATTACATTCTATTAGTTATTTTAAAATGTGCAAATAAATTATTATTGACTATAGTCAACCTGCTGTGCTATCAAGTACTAGGTCTTATTTGTTCTTCCTAGCTATTTTTTTTTTTGTACACATTAACTATCTCCACCATCCCCTCAACCTCCCGCGACCCCTCCCAGCCTCTGGTAATTATCCTCCTACTCTCTATCTCTGTGAATTCAATTGTTTTGATTTTAAAATCCCCCAAATAAGTGAGAATATGCGATATTTGTCTTTCCCTGCCTGGCTTATTCCAATTAGCATAATGACCTCCAGTTCCATCATGTTGTTGCAAATAACAGGATCATTCTTTTTTTATGGCTGAATAGTACTCCATTGTGTATATGTGCCACATTTTCTTTATCTATTCATCTGTTGATGGACACTTAGATTGCCTCCAAATTATGGCTATTGTGAGCAGTGCTGCAACAAACATAGGAGTGCAGCTATCTCTTCAATATACTGATTTCCTTTCTTTTGGGTATATACTCAGTAATGGGACTGCTGGGTCATATGGTAGCTCTATTTTTAATTTTTTGAGGAACGATCAAACCATTCTCCATAGTGGTTGTACTAATTTACCTTCCTACCAACAGTGTACAAAGGTCCCCTTTGCTTTACATCCTCACTAGCATTTTTTATTGCCTGTCTTTTGGATTTAAGCCATTTTAACTAGGGAGAGATAATATCTCATTATAGTTCTGATTTGTATTTCTCTGATGATCAATGATGTGATGTTGACCACCTTTTCCTATGCCTGTTTGTCATTTGTATGTTTTCTTTTCATAAATGTCTATTCAAATATTTGGCCCATGGTAAAATCAGATTATTAGATTTTTCCCTTAGAGTTTTTGAGCTCCCTATATATTCTGATTATTAATCCCTTGTCAGATCGGTAGTTTGCAAATATTTTCTCACATTCTGTGGTTGTCTCTTTACTTTGTTGACTGTTTCCTTTGCTGTACAGAAGCTTTTTAACTTGATGTAATCCCATTTGTCCATTTTTGCTTTGACTGACTGTGTTTGCCTCAAGAAATTTTTGTCCAGACCAACGGCCTCGAGAGTTTCCCCTATGTTTTCTTCTAGTAGTTTTATAGTTTGAGGTCTTAGATTTAAGTCTTTAATCAATTTCAATTTGATTTTTGTATATGGTGAGAGATAGGAGTCTAGTTTCATTCTTCGGAATTTGGATATCCAGTTTCCCCAGCACGACTTACTGAGGAGATTGTCTTTTCCCCAGTGTATGTTTTTAGCACTGTTGTCAAAAATGAGTTCACTGTGGTTGTGTAGATTTGTTTTTGGGTTCTTTATTCTGTTCCATTGGTCAATGTGTCTGTTTTATGCTAGTACCATGCTGTTTTGGTTACTGTATCTCAATAGTATAATTTGAAATCAGGTAATGTGATTCCTCTAGTTTTGTTCTTTTTGCTCAGGGAAGCTTTGGCTATTCTGTGTCTTTTATGGTTTCATATAAATTTTAAGATTGTTTTTTCTATTTCTGTGAAGAATGTCATTACTATTTATATAGGAATAGCACTGAATCAATAGATTGCTTTGGGTAGTATTGACATTTTAATAATACTGATTTTACAATCCGTTAACATGGAATAACTTTCCATTTTTTTGTATCCTCTTCAAATTCTTTAATCAATGTTTTATAGTTTTCATTATAGAGATATTTCACTTCTTTGGTTAATTCCTAGGTATTTAATTTCATTTGTGGCTGTTGTAAATGAGATTACTTAAATTTTTTTTCAGATTGTTCAATATTGGTATATAAAAATGCTGCTGATTTTTGTATGTTGATTTTGTATCCTGCAACTTTACTGAATTTGTTTATCAGTTGTAATAGTTTTTCAGTAGAGTTTTTAGGTTTTTCCAAATATAAGAGCATATCATCTGCAAATAGGATAATTTGACTTCTTCCTCTCTGATTTGGATGCCCATTATTTTTTGTCTTGTCTCATTTCTCTAGCTAGTACTTCCTGTACTATGTTGAATAACAATGTTGAAAGTGGGCATCCTTATATTCCAAATCTTAGAGGAAAGGCTTTCAGTTTTTCCCCATTCAGTATGATATTACCTGTGGGTCTGTTGCATATGGCTTTTATTATGTTGAGGTATGTTCCTTCTATACCTAGTTTTTCTAGGGGTTTTATCATGAAGGGATTTTGAATTTTATCAGATGGTTTTCTGATGTCAATTAAAAGGATCATATAGTTTTTGTCCTTCATTCTGTTGCTATGATGTATCACACTGATTTATTTGCATATGTTGAACCATGCTTGCATCCCTGGGATAAATCCCACTTGGTCATGGTGAATGATCTTTTTAACATATCGAATTTGGTTTGCTAGTATTTTGTTGAGGATTTTTGCATCAATATTCATCAGAGATATTGGCCTGCAGTTTTCTTTTTTGATGTGTCTTTGTTGGTTTTGGTAACGGGGTAACACTGGCCTCATAGAATGAGTTTGGAGGTAGTCCCTTCTCTATTTTTTGGAATAGTTTAAGTAGGATTGATATTAGTTTTTCTTTAAATGTTTGGTAGAATTCAGCAGTAAAGTCATTGAGTTCTGGGCTTTTCTTTACTGGGAGAAATTTTATTATGGTTTCATCTTGTTTCTTGTTATTGGTCTGTTCAGGTTTTGGATTTCTTCATGGTTCAATCTTGTAGGTTGTATGTATCTCGGAATTTGTCTATTTCTTCTAGGTTTTCCAGTTTATTGGCATATAGTTGTTCATACTAGCCACTAATGATCGTCTGACTTTCTGCACTGTAAGTTGTAATGTCTCCTTTTTCATCTCTGATTTATTTGGATCTTTTCTCTTATTTTCTTACTCTGGCCAAAGGTTTGTCAATTTTGTTTAACTTTTCAAAAACCCAACTTTTTGTTTCATTGATATTTTGTATTGTTTTCATTCACTTTCACTTATTTCTACTCTGATTTTTGTTGTTTATTTGGTTAATTTTGCATTTGGCATGCTCTTGCTTTTCTAGTTCTTTAATGTGCATTGTTAGCTTGTTTGAAGTTTTTCTTCCTTTTTGATGTTGTAGGCACTTGTAGGTATAAACTTCTCTCTTAGAGCTGCTTTTGCTGTGCCTCATAGGTTTTGGTATGTTGTGTTTCCATTATCATTTGCTTCAAAAATTTTTTCAATTTCCTTCTTAATTTCTTCATTGACCCACTGGTCATTCAGGAGCATATATTTAATTTCCATGTATTTGTATAGCTTCCAAAATTCCTCTTGTTATTGATTTCTGGTTTTATTTCATTGTGATCAGAGAAGATGCTTGATATGATTTCATCTTTTTGAATGTTTTTAGACGTCCTTGGTGACTTAACATATGATCTGTCCTTGGGAATAATCCATGTGCTGAGGAAAAAAATTTGTATTCTGTAGCTACTGGATGAAATGTTCTGTGAATATCTATTAGGTCAATTTGGTCTATAGTGCAGACTAAGTTTGATGTTTCTTTGTTTATTCATCTGCAAGATCTTTCCAATGCTGAATGTGGGGTGTTGAAGCCATCAGCTATTATTATATTGATGTCTATCTCTCTCTTCAGCTCTACTAATATTTCCTTTATATATCTATCTATGTGCTCCAGTGTTGGGTGCATATATATTTAATATTGTTAAATCTTGCTGAATTGACCCCTTTATTATTGTATGGTGGCCTTTTTCGTCTCCTTGCATAGTTTTTGTCTTAAAATCTATTTTGTCTGATGTAAGTATAGCTACTCCTGCTCCTTTTCAGTTTCTATTGGCATGGATTACCTTATTTCTCCCCTTTCTTTTATTTCTATGTGTGTCTTCATAGGTGAATTGTATTTCCTGTATGCAACAGATCACTAGGTCCTGTTTTTTTTAAAATCCACACAGCCATTCCATGTCTTTTGATAGACTGATTTAGTCCATTTATATTCATTGCTAATATTGATAAGTAAGGACTTACTCCTACAATTTTTTTTATTTGTTTTCTGGTCTTCTCTCCCTTCTTTCTTCTCTTTCTGTTTTCCTTTTAGTGAAGGTACTTTTCTTTGGTGATATGATTTAGTTTCTTGCTTTTCATTTTTTCTGTATTCATTGTATGCTTTTTGGTTTGAGTTTACCATGTGGCTTGCAAATAGTATCTTATAACCCATTATTTTAAGTTGATAACAACTGTTTGCATAAACAAGCAAGCCAAAGGAAAGTTAATAAAGATGTTATGCCTTAATTTTGTCTCCTGATTTTTAACTTTTTGTTATTTCTATTTATATCTTATTGTACTTTCTATGTCTTGAAAAGTTGTTGTAGTAATTATGTTTGATTTGTCCATCATTTAGTCTTTCTACTTAAGATAGTTTATACTCTGCAGCCACAGTTTTTTAATATTCTGTGTACTTACTATTACCAGTAAGTTTTATTTTTTTTACCTTCAGATGATTTCTTATTGCTCATTAACATCCTTTCTTTCTGACTGAAGCACTCCCTTTAGCATTTCTTGTAGAACAGGTGTGGTGTTGATTAAATCCCTCAACTTTTGTTTGTCTGAAAAAGTCTTTATTTTTCCTTCATGTTTGAAGGATATTTTCATGGATATATTATTCTAGGGTAAACTTTTCTCCTTCAGCACTTTAAATATGTCATGCCACTCACTCTCTCCTGGTTTGTAAGGTTTCCACTGAAAAGTCTGGTGCCAGATGTATTGGACCTCCATTGTATGTTATTTGTTTTTTTCTTTTTTGCTTGCTGCTTTTAAGATCCTTTTTTTATTCTTGACCTTTGGGTGTTTGATGATTAAATGCCTTGAGCTTGTCTTCTTTGGGTTAAATCTGCTTGGTGTTCTATAACCTTCTTATACTTGGATATTGATATCTTTCTCTAGGTTTGGAAAGCTTTCTGTTATTATTCATTTGAATAAACTTTTAACTCGTATCTCATTCTCTACCTCCTCTTTAAGGCCAACAACTCTTAGTTTTGCCCTTTTGAGACTATTTTCTAGATCCTGCAAGTGTGCTTCATTGTTTTTTTAAAATCTTTTTTCTTTTGTCTCCTCTGACTGTATATTTTCAAATAGCCTGTCTTTAAGCTCAATGAATTTTTTCTTCTTCTTGTTCAATTCTTCTATTAAAGGACTCTGGTGTATTCTTCAGTATGCCAGTTGTGTTTTTCTTGTCTTCAATTTCTGCTTAATTATTTTTAATTATTTCAATCTCTTTGTTAAATTTGACGTATAGAATTCTGAGTTCCTTCTGCATGCTGTCTTGAATTTATTTGAATTTCCTCAAAACAGTTACTTTGAATTCCTTTTCTGAAAGATCACATATTTCTGTTTCTCCAGGATTGATTCCTGGTGCCTTATTTAGTTCATTTGATGAGGTTATGTTTTCTCGGATGGTCTTAATACTTGTAGATGTTCGTCTGTGTGGGCATTGAAGAGATAAGTATTTACTGTTGTCTTCTCAGTCTGGACTTAGTACTTGTCCTTCTTGAGAATACTTTTTTTGAAAGGACTTTGGTGTTGTGATCTAAGCTGTATCTGCTTTAGGGGGCACCCCAAGCCCAGTAACGCTGTGGTCCTTGCAGACTCCTAGAGGTACCACCTTGATGGTCTTGGACAAGATCTGGAAAAATTCTCTGTATTATCAGGCAGATACTTTTGTTCTCTTCCCTTACTTTCTCCCAAACAAACACAGTCTGTCTATTCTTAGCCACCTAGAGCTGGGGATGAAGTGACACAAACTCCCACGAGGCCACCACCACTATGATTGTACTGGGTCAGACCTGAAGGCAGCACAGCACTGGGTCTCACCGAAGGCCTACTGTAACCACTCCCTGGCTACCACTTATGTTCACTTAAGGCCCTGGGACTCTACTGTCAGCAGGTGGTAAAGCCAGAGAGCCTTGTGTCCTTCCCTTCAGGGTGGCGAGTTCCCTGAGGCCCTACGCATTTTCAGAGGTGCTGTCCAGAAGTCAGGGACTAGAGTCAAAAACCTTAGAAGTTTACCTGGTGTCCTATTGTTGTGCAGCTGAGCTGGCACTCAAACCACAAGATGCAGTCTTTCCCACTCTTCTCTCCCCTTTCCAAAGGAAGAGGAGCCACACCCCATGGTGTGAGTGGCAGTGGGATGCTCTTTTATAGCCATATTGCATGTTGCTCTTTTATAGCCACATTTGCTTTTCTCTCACTCTCACCCCCTTTTTCACCACTGGCAACCATTAATTGATTTTTCATTTTTATACTTTCCTTATTCCAGGAATGTTTTATAAGTGGAATTACACGGTATATAACATTTTGGCATTGACTTTTTTCCCCCCTCTCTGCGTAATTCTCTGAAGATTCATCCAAGTTTGATCCATTTTATTGCTAAGTAGTATTCAAAGTAAGAAAGTACCACAGTTTGTTTAATAATTCACCCCTTGAAGGGCATCTGAGTTGTTTCTAGTTTTTGGCTATTATGAACAAGCTGTTATGTAGGTTTTTGTATGCAGGTTTTTCATTTCTTTGGGATAAATGCCCAATAATGTAATTGCTGGGTAATAAGGTAGTTATATGTTTCAGCTGCCATACTTTTGGCTATAACATTTTACATTTCTAGCAGCAATGTATGAATGATCCAACATCCTCATCAATATTTGATGTTGTCACTTTTTTATTGTAGTCATTCCAATAGTTGTGTAGTGATACACTGTGGTTTTACTTTGCCTTTTCCTAATGGATAATGATATTGAATATCATTTCATGTGCTTAGCCTCCCGAGTACCTAGGACCAGAGCCATGTGCTACCACCCCCAGCTAATTTTTAAAAATTTCTTTTGTAGAGAAGTGTTCTTGCTATGTTGTCCAGGTTGGTCTGGAACTCCTGGGCTCAAGGGATTCTCTCGCCTCCTCCTCTCAAAATGCTGGAATTACAGGCATGAGCCACTCTGCATGGCCAGTGGTATTGTTTTAATTTTGGTGTTCATGTGTCTGTTGGTAATATATAGAAATACAATTGATGTAATTTTATCTTCTGCCCTGTAACTTTGCTGCATTCATTTATAGAAGTTCTCTCTCTCTCTTTCTTTTTTCTTTTTTCTTCCTTCTCTACCTTTGTTCCTCCTCTTCCTCCTCCTCCTCCTCCTTCTCCTCCCCCTCCTCCTCCTCTTCTTTCTGTAGATTTTCTGGGATTTTCTACACAATCATGTCACCTGGAAATAGGAAGTTTTATTTCTTTTATTCTCTCTTGTGTCACTTTTGTTTTCCTTTTTTTGCCCTTTGCACTGGCTTGAACATCCAGTTTTATGCTAAGAGCATTATTATTAAGAACATTGAGAGTAGACAGCTTTGCCATGTTCCTGTTCTTAGGAGAAAAACATTCAGTTTTACCATCAATGTTAGCGGTAGGCTTTACGTAGATTCTCTCTACTGAGTTGTGAAATTTCCTCTCTATTCCTATTTTTATAAGAACAACTTTTAAAAAAAAAAGATATGTGGTCTTGCTGTGTTGTCAGGATGGCCTCAAACTCCTGGGCTCAAGTGATCTTCTCACCTCAGCCCCACAGTAGCTTGGACTATAGGAGTACCAAACCAACCCAGCTAGAATGAATATTTTAAAATGCTTTAAAAAGTTTTGCATCAGTTGATTTTCTTTTCTTCTTCAACCTATGCGATTTTTCTTTTTTAGCCTATAAATACAGTGGATTATATGGATTGAATTTTGAAGTTTAATCAGTCTTGCATCCTTGGAATAGATCAGTCTTGCATCCTTGGAATAGACCCCACTTGGTCATGGTATGTAATTCTTTATACATATTGCTGAATTCTGTTTTCTAATATTTTATTAAGAATTTTTGCGTCTATATTTATTAGGAATATTGGTATGTAGTTTTCTTTTTTGTTGCTATCTTTGTCTGATTTGGTATCAGGGTATTACTAACTTCATAAAATGAATTGAGAAATCATCTCTCTTCCTCTTTTTCTGGAAGAGATTGTGTAGAATTAATGTTAATTCTTCTTTAAACATTTGACAGAATTTCCCAGTGAAACCATGTAGTCATGGAGATTTCTTTTTTGGGAGTTTAACAATTACAAATTCAATTTCCTTTATAGTTATAGGGCATGAAATTTACTTATTTCATACTGAGCGAGTTGTAGCAGTTTGTGTTTTTTGAGAAATTTGTCCATTTCATCTAAGTTGTCAAATTCAAGTCCATAGCTCTGTTTGTGGGGTTTCCTTGCTATTTTTTTGATGTCTACAGGGTCTGTAATTATATCTTCTGCTTTATTCTTAATATTGTCAATTTTCTAGGAGTGGCAGGCTCGCTGGTTTGTTCTTAATATGTGTATATTTTTAGTTACACAAGTTATATGTTAGTACATTTTTGTTATAGAATTCTAATCATCCAGAGTATGAAATATAAGGAGTAGAGTTCTCTTTCATTATCTTCTGCACCTGTTCCTCTCATCCTCCTTCTTGACTCAGAGGTAAGGAAAGTGAACAGTTTGGGGTATGTCTTCCAGGACTGTGACTCCTACCCCTAAGTAATATTTGGTCACCTGGTGGACATTTTTTCCCTGACTCTTCAAGGATCAGAAGGAGTTTTGATGATGAATCTGGTGGTGGGGGAAGTCAAAGAGGAACAGAGGAAAGCCAGAGGGGGAGGTCAGAGGGAGGAACAAACAGCCATCTTTGTCGGCTACAAGAGGAGGCTCCTTTGATCTAGTGTCCCCACATGTTCCCCACATGAAGGCTATGACTTCAGGGGCAGATGTAGAATGGCCTCTTTTGGTGGGGTACCAGATGAAGGAGTCCACAAGCCTAGCTTCTGGAAAATATCTGATCTTTCAGCAAATTCTGTTGTCTCTTCCTACAAAATACATCCAGAAGATGACCACTATCCATTATTTTCACATCTAACATTGTGATCCAAACCAGTCTCATCTCTCTCCTGGATTATTGCAATAGGCCCACTGTTCTCTCTGATTCAGCCTTTGCCTTCTAAAAGTCTATTCTCAACACAGTTACCAGAGTGATCTTTTCAAATGTAATTTCTCCTGCAAAACTCTGCAAGCTTCCCATGTCACTGAATCTAAAACTAATCAATTATCTAGACCTAACTACCTGTTTACAAGGCAATTCAGCTCATAGGGGAACATCTAGATAACATCACAAGAATACAATTAACCATTTCCAAACTGTGGAAAATTCTAGAAGATAAATTACTCAGTTTTTTCCAACAGGTGAATGCCTTAAAAAGGGAGGGAGAACTGTTATAGACTAAAAGATGTATCAACCAATCACAATGTGTGGACTTTGTTTGGATCTTGATCTCAACAATACAGTTATACAAAGATATTTTAGCATATTTGGAGGAAATTGAGTATGGCTTGGTTATGAAATTATATAAAAGAATTATGATTAAATTCATTTGGTGAGATAATGATATTTCTGTTATGCTTTTTAAAAGTTCATATCTTTGTAGGTACATACTGCTGCATTCAAGGAGAAATGACATAATGTCTGGAATTTGCTTTAAAATACAGCAAGTCCCCCACTCCTCTATCTCAAACACCTAAATAAAAAGAAATGAACAAAAGACTAAAAGTCTGTGTGTGTGGTGGTTGGAACAAGAATGGCAGAATACTGATAACTGTTGAAACTGGATTATGTGTACATGAAACTGCATTCCTATTATACAATTCTCTCTACTTTAGTCTGAAAATTTCTACCACCCAAAAAAATGCTCTTTGGCCCCTCTTTTTTAGGGATTCTTTAAGAAACTGGAGATTTAATCTCATCAGCAAATTTTTACAAGGCTACATTTGCCCTATCTTCATTCTCCTTCTGCCTGGGGACAGTCTGCAGTGCCCTTTCAAATTTGGGCCCATCTTGGTCCTCTGGGTATTTCTACTGCTTTTTTAATGCAGTGATTTCTGGGAGTCCCCCTCATACTTGTCAACTAATAGTCCCACTGGACTGGGGCCACTGCCCCAAATAAGGTGTCTCTAATTTTAGATTGGAATCAGGAAGATCCAGATGGGTTGCCACTTATAACTGGTATACATTTCAGCCCATGAGCAGAGATGTGCAGGAAATAGTATGCAATTTTCTTATGTAACTCCATTTAATTTGTAATTTAAGCCTTGGTTCTGTTGATGTCCTCTTTGGATTTCCACCCCTCCCTATTTGGAAATCATACAGGGCTGAGGTTTTGAGGGTGGGGTGAGAGCATAGTCTCTGGTTATTGGAGCATACAGCTGAAGTTTAGATGCCCATCAGCTCAGCTGCCAGGGAGTCTTTAGGTGGTGTGGCTCCTATGCCATGTGTGAGATAGGTCGCCATGATTCTGCCTGTACGCATAATACAGGCAGCCCTTCTTGAAGTTTTTGCCACATGTACCTCTTCAGCCACATTTTAGAGGGCTCCTCTCCTCCATAGTTTGAAGATCCCTCTCTCTCTCTGACCTAATCAGTACCTCTCAACACTATAGTAGAGCAAGAAGGGGGCATGCCTAGTTAAAAAAAATCCTGCTTCCGTTATGTTTCTGCTAACTTTCCTCTTTCCTACAGAGTTTGAGATTTTAGAAATAAAAGTCAGGTGGGGTGTGGTGGCTCATGCCTACAATCCTAGCACTTTGGGAGCCTGAGGCAGGAGGATAGCTTGAGGCTAGGAGTTCAAGACCAACCTGGGCAACATACTGAGACCCTGTTTCTCAAAAAAAAAAAAAAAAAAAAAAATTAGCCGGGTGTGGTGCCTCGTGTCTGGTGCCTGTTGTCCCAGCTACTCGGGAGGCTGAAGTGTGATGATCACTTGAGCCTAGGGGCTGAAGTGACCCTATGATCACACCACTGCAATCCAGCCTGGGCAACAGAGAGAGACCCTGTCTCTGAACAAACAAAACAAAATAAAAACAACAAAAAAAAAAAAAAGAAAGAAAAGTCAAGATGATTAACATGCTATTGCTGCTTTCAGCCCTGCCATACCCCTCCTCTGAGCAATGAACACAAAGCCTGCTACCTGCTTGAGTCCAGAAGGGAAAGGGTGAAAAAAAAAGAAGAAAAGAAAAAAATTAAACAGAACATGTTAACATCTCAAAATATTCTGCCACATTTGAAATACGGGAGAGTTGAATTCATTAGAGGACTTCTATTGGAAAAAAGGAATTGTTTTTGAAAATGATGTCTCTGCAGTTGCACAGACTGTGTTGGACCTAGGTCCGTAGAACGCCGTGATGTCATCATTGATGTCAGAGAATCTGCGATGGGCCTGGTGACCTTTGAACCTTAACAGCCCTGCAGTGTAGTGGGCACTGGGCAGTGCTGCTCCTTCACTAAGCGGTCTGAGTTCTTTAGCTATCTCGGAGATTCAACTACGTTTACTCGTACTGAATCTTTTTAATGAATTTCCTGAGAGCCAAGAAGGGCCAATCTACAGGAAAAAGTGGGAGGTGGACATTAAGCATCTTCTAGAAACTCTTCTAGCTGATATCATGAAACGACGACAAAAGAGGAAACATTTGGAAAATGAAGAGTCCCAGGAAACCGCTGAGAAGGGAGGAGGTATGTGCGGGGCAAACTTTCTGGGGCACAAGCGTCACTGGCCAGCCTGAGCCGCCTTCTTTTTCTTTTTTGAGACGGAGTCTCGCTCTATCGCCCAGGCTGGAGTGCAGTGGCGCGATCTTGGCTCACTGAAAGCTCTGCCTCTCGGGTTCACGCCATTCTCCTGCCTCAGCCTCCCGAGTAGCTGGGACTACAGGTGCCCACCACCACGCCCGGCTAATTTTTTGTATTTTTAGTAGAGACGGGGTTTCACCGTGTTAGCCAGGATGGTCTCGATCTCCTGACCTCCTGATCCGCCTGCCTCGGCCTCCTTTTTTTTTTTTTTTTCGTTTCTGAGACAGAGTCTTGCTCTGTCGCCCAGGCTGGAGTGCAGTGGTGTGAGCTCGGCTCACTGCAAGCTCCGCCTCCCAGGTTCACGCCATTCACCTGCCTCAGCCTCCCGAGTAGCTGGGACTATAGGCGCCCGCCACCACGCCTGGCTAATTTTTTTTTTTTTTTTTTTTTTTGTATTTGTAGTAGAGACAGGGTTTCACCGTGTTAGCCAGGATGGTTTCGATCTCCTGACCTCATGATCCACCTGCCTCGGCCTCCCAAAGTGCTGGGATTATAGGCGTGAGCCATCGCTCCCGGCCAGCCTGAGCCTTCTTTAGGGAGGAGAAACTGAGGAGAATGTACCACCTATGCAGTAGGGAGGGGAAGACCTGGCTGTTGGCTGATGCCCGCACATCCATCTTGAGGGTACCCAGATGTGAGACGGACAGGAAGTTCAGATGCCACTGGCACACAGAAAGCCAACCCTGCTGGGCTGAGAACTTTTGCTCTGGGGCTGCTGGTACCTGGAACTATGCCAGTCTCAGGCAGGCGGGGGACCCACTTACAAAGACCCAGTGATGCAGCCTGAGTCTCATCTTTCTCTCGTATTCTCTTTATTTGCTCTTTCTCTGGGGTGACTGAGGTGGAAGGTGTGAAGGGTGCTGGTAGAAGTCTATGATTTGCACTACACCTTTTAGCAGAAACGAGAGTAGCCCAATGAGTTAAAGGCCTTGTTGAAAAATATCTTGAGAAGTGAAATGCTTGTTAGAAAGTAGATTAAACACTTGTTTAGGGATGGCGTCATAGTGAAACCACGGAGGTTTGATTGCTTCAGCGGGAAGAATTAACCAATTAATCCAATAGAGTTTGTGAATCCACAGTGTGGGACTTCCCAGAGGAAATGAAGCACAGGGTAAGGGCCTCAGATCGCTGTCAATTTACTTCCCAGGCTGCATGATAATGGCATGTATTAAATGTAAACAAGCCACTTATCCTGAAAGGGGGATGCTCACATGCAGGAGACAGGGCAGAAAGGAGCCTGCCCCAGAGATGGCCCTGGAGGCTTCTGCCCCGATTAGAGCTCAGCAGCGCCTATGAGGCATAAAGACCTGTAGGTTGAGCCCTGGGAATGGAGGCGTGGAGAGTAGGCATGGAGAGCAGGGGGCTGGGACAGGAAGGGGAAGGCAATGGTTTTCCTCTCCTTCATCTACCCTTACATTTCAGAATGTTTTGTCTGCCTGTGTGTGTGTCTGTGTGTGCACATGTGTGTGTGTGTTGGGAGGGGGAGGACTGGAGATAATGGGAGCACAGTGGTGGGGTCTGCGGGGTGAACTTCCTATCACCATGCCTGGGCCTGGGCAACACTCAATACACATAACAGTGTATACCGAATTTTTGTTAAGGGTATTCCAGGAGACAGTCACTCATATGCCCATATATACTCTGATACAGAGAAAGAGTCACACACCTCCACACACAGTGGATATAGTTATATACACATACCGTTCCTCTATTACATACTCACACAACCCATGTGTGTGACAGTCTTTTCTTCCTACAGAGATTTCTTGTGTGTGGGGAGTGTGTGTGTGTGTCTCCTCAACTCTCACACAAACACATCTATGTTAAACTATCTCTAAATACCTCTTTAAGAGCCAGTCACACATCATACATGCCATATCTGCAACACATTGTGTAGCAGAGCCAGGCCTGCTTTGCATAGACCACAACGAAACAAAGATTCACCACCATCCCCTTATTAGGGTTGCCGGATAAAATACAGGATGTTCAGTTAAACTTGAATATCAGATAAACCACCAATGATTTTTTAGTATAAGTGTGTCCCAAATATTTTATGGAACATACTGACACTAAAAATAAGTATGACAAATATTGCACGGGACATACTTACGCTAAAAAAATTATTTGTAATTTATCTAAAATTCAAATTTAACTTGGCATCAGCTATTTTTGTTTGCTAAATCTGATGACCCTTATAAATTCATAATGAGCTGACCTATGATATACTTATATATTTCTGCTTAATGTCTGTCTTCCTTGTCTAGAATGGAAAGTCCACTTAGAAGAAGGACTGTTTTGTTCAGTATTCCTAGAGCCTAGAAGAGTGGACTGGTGTCTGATTCATGGTAGCTGTTCATGAAAATATTGCCAGATGAATGAATTAATGTACATTATAAATACAAGCCACACCATACAATCAGGAAAAATTACATATTGCATAATTTCAGGGTTGTAAACACAAAACTATGCACACAAACTCCACAGACACAGACACATGTTTCTACAATATACCCACACAAATCTACACATATCAAAGGCTATCTGGTATGTATCACTCTTACGCTTCAGACGTACTCATAGTCACCACACAGGCCTATGTTCCTATTGATACACTATCAAAATACCTGTTGACTGTAATTAAATACTGGAGTATCCACCAGAAGCCTGTCTCACAAACCATGTGTGTTCACTACACCTGACATAGGTCAGCCACTCAGTAAATATTTGTTGGATGGTAAATGATGCACAAACATTACCCATCCATCATATCTCTGTTCCCTTCATACCTTTCTCAGGAATGTCAAAGTCCCAAGAGGATGCCCTGCAGCCTGGATCCACTAGAGTGGCCAAAGGCTGGAGCCAAGGGGTGGGAGAAGTTACTTCTACCTCCGAATACTGCTCCTGCGTTTCTTCTTCACGCAAGCTCATCCACAGTGGTAAGGGTGCAGGGTTCCTTCGGCACGTGGCTCCTTGGCTGTGGGGTTCATTGGGCATGAAAATATTTGAGTGTGGGGCTCTGTGGGCATGAGACTCTTTGGTTGCAGTGCTGCTTGGGTGTAAGACTCTTTGGGAGTGGGGCTTTTTGGGTTTGGGGCTCCTTCGGTGTGACAGTCTTTGGGTGTGGGGCTCCTTGGATGTGACATTCTCTGGGTGTGAGGTTCCTTGAGCATGAGACTCTGGATGCAGGGCGCTATGGGTATGTGACTCTTTGGGTGCTGGACTCCTTAGGCATGGGATTGGGTGCAGGGCTCCTTGGGTAGGGGGCAGGAGGCCCATAGATCCAAGGATGAGGCTAAGAAGAAACCCAGGGCAGTTGGATATGATCAGAGCTCTGCAGAGGTGTCTGGGCAAGATGACAGAGCTGTTAGAAGAGCATGGATATAAGCTCAGTGTAGGAGAGCATGAGCCCTGGTGTGCAGTCAGGCAGTCAGGGAGCAGAGGCCAGAAAAGTCTGCTGTTGGGGTGTAGGGCCACAGGACCAGATTAAGCACTTTCATCGGAACTATTTGGGCTCTGCCTTTGCCTTCCAGAGAAAGACAGATTTCCTCAGCCCAGGCCTCCAGCACTGCAGCGGGACTCTAGCTCAGGCCCACACACCTCACACATACAGCCACACGCTCCACAGGTACACTTTCTGCACACACACCACCCAAATGCATGACCTGCAGTGCCATTCTCCCACACTACCTCCCACATTCCACAAATAACACATCAATGATGGCACCAACTCACATCCTCATAGCACACACATGCTGCCGACATTCCACATATGCTGCAGTCCTCACCACCATACTCCACACCCCTGTATATGGACACCCCACCAACATCCCTACACGCAAATGACACTAGAATCACTACCCCACAATATGAACAACAAATACCAAGCTCACTACACAGCTGCATCTCACCACAGTCCCTGTCTCCTGCACCACACATATTTAACTTACGTTCCCTCAGCTCCTAGCATGGCCCATGCATCTGCTCATGTTTCTAATTTCCTTTCCCAGGAATCCAGAGAATACATCGAGACAGCCCCCAGCCTCAATCACCCCTGGCCCAGGTTCAGGAACGAGGAGAGACTCCTCCCCGCTCACAACATGTCTCCTTGTCGTCCTATTCATCCTATAAGACTTGTGTGTCCTCTCTGTGTGTAAACAAAGAGGAAAGGGGCATGAAAATATACTACATGCAGGTACAAATGAACAAAGGTGTGGCTGTCTCCTGGGAGACAGAGGAAACTTTGGAGTCCTTAGAAAAGCAGCCAAGGATGGAAGAAGTGACCCTTTCTGAGGTTGTGAGGGTAGGTACTCCCCCCTCTGATGTGTCCACCAGAAACCTCCTGTCTGACAGTGAGCCCAGTGGGGAGGAGAAAGAGCATGAGGAAAGGACAGAATCAGACAGCCTGCCAGGCTCACCCACCGTTGAGGACACACCCAGAGCCAAGACTCCTGACTGGCTGGTGACCATGGAGAACGGCTTCAGGTGCATGGCCTGCTGCCGGGTGTTCACCACCATGGAAGCCCTCCAGGAGCATGTGCAGTTTGGGATCAGAGAGGGCTTCAGCTGCCACGTCTTTCATCTCACCATGGCTCAGCTGACAGGCAACATGGAATCAGAGAGCACCCAAGATGAGCAGGAGGAGGAAAATGGAAATGAGAAGGAGGAGGAAGAGAAACCAGAAGCAAAGGAGGAGGAGGGGCAGCCCACAGAAGAAGACCTTGGCCTGAGGAGATCCTGGAGCCAATGTCCAGGCTGTGTGTTTCATTCTCCAAAGGACAGGAAGTGAGCAAAGCCTGGGTTGTGGGTCTGCTGAGGGAGCAATGGCTTCCCCGAGCCAGTACTGTCTCCCCAGTTCAGGCTTAGGTCTCTGTAAGGAAGATTTGGGGGCTTTATTGGCTCAGGGAACAATGGAGGGGGACATAACTGGGATCCCTGCTTCTTGCCTAGGCATCTAATAAAGTCTCGATTGTAAGTCAGGATTTGTCTTGACCTTTCCAGCTCCTGCAGGAAATTCTGAGAATTTCAAAAGTCGCATTAACTAAGAAGTGTCTTTCTTTGGTTTGATTTTCACACAGCAGCTGAGACTTATGGGCCAGAAGATACTGGAAGATGGTGTGGCCTTCTCTTGCAAGAGGTAAGGAGTGAGACTTGCAGTTTTCTGAGGCTGTGTTGTGAGGGCCCAGAGGAATCCAAGGGAAGGAGCTGCAGGGATGCACTGGGTCACCTGGTGGCTCTGCAGCCACATCAACTTATCGTGCACCTGGTGCTTCTGGGGGAATTGTCCTCCATTTGCTTAGATGACAAGGTGAAGAGCATTGACTGGGAACTTTCTCAATGTCTGCATGATTGTCCTCAATTCTAAGAGGAGGTGCTGCAGCTCTTCTAGGCAGCGGAAGCTCAGTGTAACCTCAAGGGCCAGGATTGGCCTGAAAGGACAGGATGCCAGCAAGATCAGAGGTGTGGAGTCTGAGAGCCTTTGGCCTGAGCTGGGATCCCACCTGAGCCCATAGATATAGCCCTTGGGGAAAAGGGGAATTTGGAGAGGTAACAACATCATCCTGATGAGACACCAAGAGAACTGGAAATGTTTCAGAACCTTCATTTTGCTGCATTTGATCTGGAAATGAACTCACTGTGGGTTGCATGACTCTGAGCTTCAAAACAAAGGTGAAGGGTAACTGACTAGCAATGCTTGTATTGTTTCTTGCCTCTTCCTCTTCTGCCTCAATTGTTTTCTTCACTTCCAGGGAGAAGAAAGAGCCATGGAGATAGTAGCAGACAGGCTGCCCAAGGTATGAAGCAGATGAGGGACCAGCACTCAGTCTAACATGTAAACATCATACGTAATAAAGGTTGTGTTTCAAACCTTACCTGGATATATTATTTAATTAACAAATTAATCTACCTATCTATTCATCATTTTCTTTTTTTTTCCTTTTTCTTTTTCTTCTTCTTCTTCTTTTTTTTTTTTTGAGATGGAGTTTCATTTTTGTTGCCCAGGCTGGAGTGCGATGGCATGATCTCGGCTCACTGCAACCTCTGCCTCCTGAATTAAAGTGATTCTCCTGCCTCAGCCTCCCAAGTAGCTGGGATTACAGGCATGTGCCAGCACACACAGCTAATTTTGTATTTTTTTAGTAGAGATGAGGTTTCACCATGTTGGTCAGGCTGGTCTCGAACTCCTGGGCTCAAGTGTTCTACCCGCCTGGGCCTCCCAAAGTGCTGGGTTTGCAGGCGTGAGCCACGGCGCCCAGCCCTATTCATTATTTTCATCTATCTCTCCAGTGGTTTGTGAACGAAGTTTTACATCAGCACTAAAGATATCTACCAGCCTTTTCCAGAGGCAGCAATAGCCAAGCTCCTGGGTTTGATTAGACTTCTGTGTGACAATTTTTTCAAGGCTGGATATCACATTTCATATGAGACCATGACAAACTCCACTACATACCTATGTTTCCATCATCCCGCTTTATTAAGCTTAGCATTTTTCTACGTTTGCTTCAGATGGCTTTGAAGTAAAAATGATTACAAATACAGCCATAGTCCCCTGTTCCATTGCCTTACATATGGATTTTGAGTATTTTTTAATACTTCTGTGCATGTTTTATACTATTATATAAATATATAAAGTGTTTTGAATATCTTGAAAGTTTCACATACTATTGTACTTCATTATTAGTTTTCAACTTGTTTTTATTAAAAAACAGGTTTTTAAGATTATCCATTGTCATACACATATCTGTAGTTAACTAATTTTTACTACTGTATTATAGTTCATTCTATGAATATGCCAACTTTTTATTTATTGTCTTTTTGATGAAATTTCAGTTGCATCCAAATTTCCTCTATTACCACAGAATGTGTGTCTCTCTCTAGAATGTATACCCAGACATCCATTGCTGTGCTGAATTATATAGATATTTCAGTTTAGTAGTTACTGCCGTGGTGTATTTCTTTCTTTGTTCAAGCATTTTTTTTCTTTCTTCATTCTTCAATAATGATTAATGCTTTTCTGCACAAATGTTATATACAATTTTTATTCGATGCAGTCCAAGATATCTTTTCTTTTCATTCTCCTTGTAAATGGTATGTTTTTTCTATTATATCTTAGAATTGGTTATTACTGATGCATATTTTAAATTTTCATTTCACATCTAGCAACCTTTTTGAAATTTTTCAGGTGTAAGTATTTCTATATAGTATTCTGTATTTTTCTATATTCAATCATATTAAATACAAATAAAAAGAATTAGTTTTTTCCTTTTTATTTCTAGACGGCACTTTTATTTTTCTTCTGTTACTGAACAGGCTAGGACCTCTGGTACAATATAAAATAATAGTGACCATAAAAATAACCTAATTTTTAAAAAAAGGTGAGAATGATTGTTGAATTTTATGTGGGTTTGATGCATCTATTCAGATGATTTCATTCCTTTAGTTGTTAATTTTGTGTAATGCGTCAGAGGTTTTTGGATGATGAACCATCCTGGCCTCCCTGAAATAAACCTCATTTTACCATTATTGTTTTCTTTTACTAAACTGTTGAATTCACTCTGCTATTAAGAAATTTAGGATTTCTATGACTATTCACAAATAAAATCAGAGTATAATTTTTTTTCTTACATTACCCTTGTCCATTTTTTTTTTAAAAAAACCAAAATTAGCTATCTCCTATGCCATGATTTTTTTCCTCTCATCCCTGAAAGAGCTTCTGTGGAATGGGAGTTCACTTAGTCCTTTTTTTTTTAAATTTAATTTTATTTTAAGTTCCAGGATACATGTGCAGGCTGTGCAGGTTTGTTACATAGCTAAACATGTGCCATGGTGGTTTGCTGCACCTGTCAACCTATCACCTAGGTGTTAAGCCCTGCATGCATTAGCTGTTTATCCTGATGCTCTCCCTTCTTCCCTCCTAACAGGCCCCAGTGTGTGTTTTTCCCATCCCTGTGTCCATGTGTTCTCATTGCTCAGCTCCCACTTACAATTGAGAACATACAGTGTTTGGTTTTCTGTTCCCGTGTTAGTTTGCTGGGAATAATGGCTTCCAGCTCCATCCATGTCCCTGAAAAGGACATGATCTTGTTCCTTTTTATGGCTGCATAGTATCCTATGGTGTGTATGTACCACATTTTCTTTATCCAGTCAGTGCAGGATTCACACGCTGTGTTGATTCTTTTTGGTGGGAGCCACCGACTTGCAGCTGTTTGTAGTTGGCCATCTTGGCCCCTCCCCTCCCATTTAATGCTTGAAGTTTAGGTAAAGTTTTTCTTTAAAAGCCTTACGTAGGATTTTTCTTTTCTTGGATAGAGAGAGGGTTGAGAATAATTTTTCTTATTATTTCAATTTGTTGTTTAAAGTTTTCAGTTTTTCCGGAAACAAATTTATATTTTTTACAAATTACATTTAATAACACAAAGTAGTTCATAGTTTTATCATGGTAGTCTGTGATTTAAAAATCTTCTATTGTAATTATGTTTGCATTTTTTTCTAATTTTTTATTTGCACATTTACTCACCTAGTTCAACTGATTAGTGTTGCCAGAGATTTGTTATTTTAATAATTGAAAATGAAATCTTTTAGTAGTGTTGATATTTTGTATTATTTCCTTTTTTTGATTTTCTAATCATACCTTTATTATTTCTTTCCTTCTTTTATAGGTTTACTCAATGTTTTCTTTTTCCAGCATCTATTGAACAATTAACTTACTGATTTTTAATCATTCTTATTTTTAAATAAATGCATATGAAGCTATGCAAATTTTCTGAAATGCCATTTTAGTAGTATTCCACAAGTTTTGTGTTATACTTTCATTGTTATTTATTTCTAAATGTTTTATAATTTCTATTCTGATATTCTTTTTAATCTGTGATCACATAGGAATACATTTTAAAGTTGCCAAAGTTTTATTGTAACCTGGTGCATAATCAATTTAAAAAGTGTTTCATATGTACTTGAAAAGAATGTGTATTCTCTATTGGATTCAAGTTCATATGCATATCTGTTAATCAGTCTCCTTTATTTTATTCAAATATTTTTTATCCTTTCTATTTTTAAGTCTGATCTTCCAGTTTCTGGTAGCCTGAAGTATTTTACAATGATTGTGAACTTGTCAATTTCTCCTTATATTTGTACAGATTTAGCTAATATATTTTGAAATTATATTACAAGTCATGTGAAAATTAATGTTTTGTACTTTTTTTGGTGGGTTTTCTTATTGTCAAATATTTCCCCCCACTTTTTCTCTATTAATTCCTTTCTTGCTTTAAATTCCATTTAGTCTGCTTTAATATGCTTTTTGTCTAAGAACTGTTTTGCTGTATTTACAATATTCAATCTGCTTTTTAGTAGGTGAGTTTAGCTGATTATACTTATTTCAAAGACTGAGAGGTTTGGAATGATTTCTACATCTCCATCTGTGTTTTTCACTTACCATCTATGGTAGATCATGTCCTAATATCACTCTCTGCTTCCTGCTAGCTGAATTCTGATTTTGTTCAGGTTTTGAGCTTTACTGGGCACAGCCTCAGGAGATGAATCTTGATTTACTGAAGCTGGTCATATTGCTTCATTCCACTTTTTTAGTGATTGATTTTACCAAATAAGTAGTAAGGGGAAGTTGGCTGGGGAACTTCTGGCAGAGATTTTCCTCTTTGATAAAAGGGGAGTGGCTCACGGTGAAAAACCCTGACCCCCTCCTTCTTGTTTTTGAAGGTAGATGTTGGAAGGTGTAATGCCTACAGGTATGACAACTGTCTTTTAAACATGAGGGGATAGCCAAAAGAATTACAGAAAATCCAACTCTGGGACCCATAGTCATTGAGTCACCTACCTCTCAAATCTGAACTTTATGAAACAGTAATGTCATTACTGTTGAAGATGCTTTTAGTTGGGCACACCATACTGATATGCCATCTGTGGCTGTCACACTGCTATGTGCTCATAAAATCTGTATTTCTTTTCCTCCTGAGCATTTACATAAAGTATATTTCCTATCCTCTGTTACAGTTAGGTGGGGCCATGTGGCAGAACTTTCTGATAGTATATGGTAGAAGAGATAAATGCCACACTTCCAGGCATGCCCCCCCGACCCCCCAAATCTTCCACATGATCTAAGTCTTCTCTCTTCTCCTTTTTGCTGAAGTATGTGGAGGATTTAGGTTTCTAAAAGATGGAGAGTTCAACAGAAGGGTCTAATATAGTTCTTGCTTGTTCTGCAGGCATAAAATGCTTAATGGAATGGGTTCCAAACGAGCTGCAGGCAGAGTTCTCTAGGTTTCTCCAAGTGTCTGTGATTGGGAGTGGTGGCTGGAGTACAGGTCAAGTGCAGGCTGGCTAGTCTGTAGATACTGATTCTCTTCTTGTATGTATAGTCTTTAAAGTAGTTTTCCTTGTCCCTGGCCATGCTAACCTTTCTCCCTCAACACTTTTCTCCCTCTCTCTGACCTTCTAGTACAGGGAAATCTTTCTACAATTGAGGTGAGATTTATTGTTTGTTCACAGAAGTCTTTTCTGTTCTCCTGTGGTTTCTGCTTTTGACATTCCATAGCCAAGAATTTTCCTTTTTTTCTCCTTTGTTTCTGCTGGGTCTTTATCTTCCTAATGCAATGAACTTGAAGTGCTTAGCTGACTGGATGGGGAAAAATCCAGCAGCAAAGAGAAGTGATAAAAAATATTTCAGTTAATTTTTCAAAGTAGCATCCAGCTACATATTTTTAAATTTTAGGAGCAATATAGAAATATTGTCATCATAAAAATGCAAATGATATTAAAGTAATCAACGTATAAAAATAAAATTAAAGTCTCCTTCAAATTATCCCTACTCTCCTCCCAAGCCTACTTCCTTTTGCAGAGATTTTGTTAGTTGTTTAGTTTCAAGATCTTAGGTCCATGTATTTACATACATAGCTGTTTTATATGATATATGTAGCTTTATAGAGATTTTTGATTCATAAATTGTATCATACTATGTGTAATCTAAATCAACATTTTTGTTGAAGATCTTTTAATGCCTTTAATATAGATATTTAACATGGATCTTTAATATAGATTCATCCCATTTTTTTAAGCAAGTGTAATTTATTTACTTCCAGTGAGAAATCATAATATAATTAACTATCCCCTAATTGATGGCCATTTTGAGAAAGGTGTTCCTTTCTCCTGCAGTTGTCTCTCGACTTTGTTAACCAGATTGCATTTCTCCTAAGTATTCAATGGTTATCACCATTGTCTAATAAAATACTTTAAATGGTCTGCAGTTTCCCTACGGATTAGTAAAATTTTAAACTCTGCACTTCAATTCTCTCTCAATATCTAGAATTTTGTTAGCTATTTCTTCACTTAAGTTTGAGTAATTACATGATTCATATAATTACTTTCTCCCTCCAGGGTACTAATTTTGACTGTGTCTTGTGAATTACTGAAAAATGCTAGTCTTGCAGTCAGGACATTGGGCCCTTGATCAAAGAACTTAACTTCTCTGGCCTCGGCTTTATGTGTTATCAAAAGGTTTGGGCTAGCTCACATTTAGAATGCTGTGTGTCTTTGAATCCCCCTCATTTAATTGTCTGCTATTTGAGAAGAGAGTGTTTTCTCATGAAGCATGAGCATCATAATAGTTAACATTTATTGTTGTGTTTAACCTTGAATTGGGCAGAATTTAATCATACACAGCTTTTTAGTTATACGTTATGTTACATACATTTTTAGCTCTAAATACTTTATATAGCCCTTGGTACTATTTTAAATAGCATTGTATTTTCTCTTACATTTTCTAATTTGCTATTTCTATTGTAGAGGGACTTGATTGATTTTTAAATTTTTGATCTGGTAACCATCTGCCTTGGTGAACTATATTATTAGTTTTTACTATTTTACCTGTGGATTATTTTGGATTTCCTAGATAAATGATGATATCAAATGTAAATAATGTATTCCATGAAGAAATTTAGCTCATTATAGTGCATCTTATATACTTTTAAAACTCATGATAACTGTTTTTCATACATTTTTAGGACTACCCCCCCCCACCCCCACACAGAGGTAACTAATATAAAAGATCTGCATATATCCAGTCCATGTTTTAATTATTTTCTTGCATGTATATATCCATAGCAATATTTAGAATTCATGTGACTATTTACATGATTGTTATAACATTATGAAACATATTTTATTTCAATCAACATGTTTTCAAGATTTATCCATGTCAATCATGGATCAAGACCCATTTAACAATTTGATACTGTTCCATCATATGCATGTAGACTAATTTATTTTCCATTAAAATATTATCGAACAATTGAATTGTTTCCATTACTTCTCTGGAACACACAGGATTTAATAGAACACTGTGTAGACTTCTCCTGAGACTCAGAAAGTGTCAGGCTGTTTGAAGGATTGCTGCTTGCCTTTAGCCCCCTTCCATAGGCTTCCTCCAGTCAGACACTTCAAGCATGGATGACAGTTGTCAGGAATTTGAAGCACAGATGAAAGGAAAATTCACCCACATGGGGAGATCTAAGCCACTGCCCAGAAGGTAACAGGTTAATTTTAGGCATCCTGTTGGGCCCTCGGGAGAATCTGGGCTGGCCTGCGCCTCCATCCTTCTGCCTCTCCTCAAAACAAATGTGGAGAAAAGGAGAATCCGAAAACCATGAGCAGACCAAGGGAGTGATCTTGGGGGCTGAAGCTGTTATTGAGATCTCTGAGTGGAGTGTGAGGGCACTGTGCAACCAGATGGCCTGGCTCTGCCTTCTGAGAACTTCTTTCCCAGGAATGCTAGTAATTAAGGTGGTGCCAGACACATACAGCTGACATGGACCATATTGTCACAAAAATCTGCTGCTTTATGCGTATCTCTTCTTATTCATACACTCTTGTTTCTCATTATTTGGTCACTGCCTTTTGTACTTCACTAATGTGAATCATGATAGCTAGAGGACCAGGGACACGAATGACTCTTCTTGCTAGGCAGCATTAGTCCATAGCTTGAAGGTGAGGGAGGAGGTCAAACTAAACTCAAGAAGGAAAGATGGTGTTGAAGAGATAATCTCAGAGCTGGGTGTATTTTCTCAAAAGTTGATGAATGATCGATAGCTCCAGGGCTGCAAGTGTTTCCTGGAGGCCTGCTGGCCATGGGGCTGGGTTCACTCAGTGAAGGAACCAGGTACCCCCTTTATTTCATTCCTTGCTCATGCTTGTCCTTTTGCCAGCTTCTCTGCTGTTGATACACACTCTACAAGAGTGATCTTCTCCTGAAACCACTTTCTACTTGTTATTCTAGTCTTATGAGCATTTATTGTCCCTTTCCAGTGTTCCCCTAAAATGCCACTGCAGGGAATTTATAATTTGATGATCATGCTTCTGGGTCCCCAGACCCTTCTCTTCTCATTCCTGGGGAATATTTGTCCAAGTCTCTTGGCCAAGCTCTTCCTCTCCAAGGCATTCTACTTCTTCTTCAAAACTGTAAAGTCCCCTATTTTTCAATAGTAGTTTTGATGGCTCATTAAACCTAGGGCTAAAATCACTGTCAATAGGTAAACTAGTTTATCTTTTTTTAGAGGTCATGGGAGTTTGATCTTCAAACCTCTCTGATAAGGAGGGACATATAATAATAAATTTAGCTAGATATTACTGAGAACTGATCATGAGCCAAGCACTCTTCTAAGCTTTGTTTGACTCATGCAATCAGTCTGAAGAATGACTCTAGGAGGCAGATGCTATTTTCATCTTAGGATGAGCACCTTAGTGGTCTAAGGAAATGTGGGCACAACTCCTGGAACCATCTGGGAACTTTGTTCTTTTTCTGCAGACTTGAATTCATCTGAGACCGGACCACACTAGTCTGAAGCATACAAAAGGTGGAGGAAGAGTTTGTTCATGCCTGAGGTTACTGTACAGTGTAGTCATGAGGTTACTGTACACTGTAGTCATGAGGTTACTGTACACTGTAGTCACATCAGCTACTAAGAAAAAATTCTAAGATCAGTGAGGTGCACCTGTTCCAGATAAGGCACATGATTTCAGACAGAAATCATGTGCAGAAAACCTCTGGCCTGGGGGAGTTCTGAGGTTGTTCTGTTTCTTCCCATGAAGTTTGGGTTCAGGCGATCCCCCTTTATACCATTATCACCCCTATAGGTGTTGGAGCCATCCACAACTCTGGGCTTATAAGTGTCCTGACATAGTGGATCCAGAATAAGTTGGATGGGACACCCCTGAGTGTCATTCTTGCTGGGGAGTCACGGGTGAAGTGCTGGCTGCTGGAAATGCATGCTTGCATGGGGGCAAGCAGAGTGTCTCAGGATGCTTGCTCTGCACTTATTTGTGTGTCCTTTTCTGCCTGGCTCCCTTGTTCAGCCACCTCTGACCTTCCTCCATCCTCAGCCCAGGGAGTCCCTATCTTCATAAAGGTAGGACATTTGCTCATTTTCCCTCATCATATCCTTTCTCCAAAATACTGTCATTGTGAGTTTTTCCCATTTCCTAGACTCCTTTCTCTCCATTCATTTTTGTTCTGTCATCTCTTTCCTGCAGCCTGCTAACTCAGTGGGGTATTTCTTTCTATCCAAAGATGAAAGAAATACCAGCCATTCCAAAAAAAAGAAAAAAAAAAAACACAGACATACCAGGAAAACTTCAAAACATTTATCCTGCCACATTTTAAAAAAATCACACAACCAATATATTGAAAGTCTCACTGTAAAAACTCAAACGATTTAAAAATTGAGTAAAATTTAACTTTTTTCCATACTCCTTCCCCAATTTATTTTAGTCCTCAAAGTTGACCTCATTAACCATTTACTATGCTAACTTTCAGACATTTTCCTATGCACACATATAATTTTCTTTTTTCACATAGAGTATGAACTAGGTCACCTCCAAAATGCTGTGATTCTGTGATTCACTGTCTCTCACTGAGTCATCCACTGATAATATAGTCCTTTTCATGGAGAAATAATTCCAATAGCTAATAGTTAATATCTGCCGAGTGCTTACTGTGTGTCAGGCACTCCTCTAGCTACTTTATATATACTATATATATTATATATACTTTATATTTGATAATATTACATATTATCACATGTAATTTTCACATCCTTATAAAATAGGTATAATTATTGACCCCATGTGACAGATAAGTGCAGATAAGTACAGACAATACACAGATGTCAAGTGACTCCTCCAAGACATAAGAGCAAGTCAAAATCCATGCCTTTAATTACTTTGCTCTATTGCCGCCATCTGGGAGACGATGGTTTTGCCACAAAAACTGTTAAAAATCATGTTAGATTTTTACATCTCTTAAGACAAGCATGGTACTGTTATATGGAAGAGGTTAACTAAGCTGACCCTTTATTTTATAAAACTCCATGTAGCTGGATGAAGGAAAACAGCTACAGATTCAGGGTTCCCACTACCCCCCCTCCCCTTTTATAGAAAATAGCTTCTTGTATGCAGTTCACGTAATGTCAAGTCTAGGATGTAGTCCAAATAATCAGGGAAAAATGGAGATACATAGAAAAGTACTTAAAGTTGGCAAGTACTAGGAGCTTAGTATTACTGGGGCCCAGGTGGAAATGCACAGAAGTAGCTTGCCTGGTTCCATTTCAGGCCTTTGGATATGCTCCACCAACTGCCATGGTCCCTGGGTCAGCTACTCGGCCCATTTGTTGATATAGTAGTATCCTCAATTTGATAGAATCGTAAGGACGCCTTAAATTTGGTTAGCAGTTCTACATTCTTGATGCAATAATATTTTCAGAGTGTGGGAGAACATCAAACTATGGAAATATCCCTGGAGAGATTTGCTTATTAAGTTAGTTTTCTTCCGCCTTCCTGGTAGTTTTTGTTTTTTTGCTAAACACCAGGGGTTTTGCCTTCATTTTTCAGATACATGTTTTTCATTTGTCTAGTGAACTTTTGAATACTTTTTGATGAGATATTAAGGTTGGAAAAAATAACCATCTCTTTAAAATAAGAAAGATTGTGATAATGATAAGTATATAAAGCCCTAAAACTGAAGATATTCATTACAGCCTGTTAATTGGAATGAAAAGCTCATGCTTACTAATTCAGAGTCTATAAATAAAAGACAAGGATTATTTGGGGCATCTTTGGGGTCCTTATTACTGATCCTGGTGAGCCTCCACCATTTCCAATGAGTAGGGTTGACACATAAAATACAGGCTGTTTAGTTAAATTTGAGGGTCAAAAAAATAGTGAGTCCATTTTTAGTCTAAGTATGCCTAAGTATTACAAAGGATATACTTATATTAAAATAATTATCTGTTGTTTATCTGAAATTCAAATTTAACTGGGTATCATATTTTTATTGGTCAAATCTGGCAACCTACTGATGGACCACAGCAGAGGCAGCTAAGGGAAGGTACAAATAGTCACAAGTTGCTTGAGGAGTTCGGGGAACAATGTGAAATCTTGACTGCAAGTACTTCCTTGTGCTTCCCTGAGTTAAGGTGACCTTTCCTGACCTTCCTCTTACGAGCTTTCTAGTAAGTCTGGAAGCCCACATCTAAGGGGGACCCTCAAAGTGACTCTCACCCTCATGACTTTGTTTCCAGTTCAAAATGGAATCTTCCTAAAAATAGCTGCATGTGGCCAACAAGAGATGATGAGGCTTGTGAAACTGGATGAACACAGCTTTGATGCCTATGTGGTTTTTCTGTCTTGGGAGATTTAATGGGATTGATGTGAAAGATTCCAGGTTCCCAGATAGACAGAAAAAGTCCTGTTATACATCTAGATGCATGATCAGGCTCTAGTGGGTCAGAGTGCACAGACAGATGCAAACTTAGATGTTTATAAGGATCAGGTACATACCCAAGTTTCAAGATGGGACCAGGTACAGACTTGAGTTTGAAGATCACCTTTTATGGCCTGTGGAAACAACAATGAACTACACAGTTTCCAGAAGGGAAATCACAGAGGAGATCTTGGCTTCATCACATGTAGGCTCTTATATTTGGTTCTGTCTAGATGGTATTTCAAAGACGGAGTTTGTTTACAACTCTGGAGGTCCAGGAAATTCTCTGATATACTCTTTGGACTCTCTCACTTTCTGAGAAAAAGAAGGGCTGAGGCTATAGAAAAGACATGAATTTTCTGGGCTGACAATGGCACTGCCCAGACCCTGAAGATGTGGTGCTGCTCCCTGTACAGTGCAAAAGAATTTTCATCTGTTTTGTTCCCTTTCATGGCACAAATAGCCGATATTTATGTAACACTGGTATTACAGGAGCCAAGGAGAGCAAATTATTAGGGATATTTTGGACCATAGTAGAGGCAGCTAAGGGAAGGTAAAAACTGGTTTTTGAATAGTCACAAGTTGCTTGAGGAGTTCTGGGAACAATGTGAAATAGGGATGTGTGGAATGGGAAGAATGTTGCTGGAAATTCACAAATGGCACATGAAGAGGGATGGTAGTGGTCTGTGATTTGGGTTGCAGGCCAGGGAGTGAGGAATAGCATTAGGGATTGGCCAGCTTGTCATTCATTCATCTGTTCCTAGGTATTTACTGAGTAACTGTCATGTGTTAGGTAGTATTCTGGGTTTTGAGATACAACAGTGAAGAAAACGAATTATTAGGCTTTAAGGAGCTTATAGTTCAGTCAGAGAGACTGATAAATAGGCAATGACAATATAGGAGATAGAAGAGGTAAGTGTAAACTGTGGAGGCAAACAGGAGCGTCAGCTAATTAAGTCTAGTTGTTAGGGTAGGGAATGGGGGACCCAGGAAAGGCTCTCAGCGGAAGTGACATTGGAGTTCTGCAGGGTGACTAAGAATTTTCAAGGACTTTCTCAGGCAAAGATGGAGAAATGGAAAAGTTTTGGACAGAGGGAAAGTCTGTACAGAATCTCTAAGATGAAGACAATGTGCACATTCTTCAGTATGGCTGGGCATAAAATCCAAGGGAGAGAGTGGCTGGGAAGAAAGACAGAGCTCTGTTGACTGTGTTAACAAGCTTGGACTTGTTCTGTGGGCTAATAAGCAGAAAAGGGACATCATCAGATGTGTGTTTTAGAGAAGTCACTAAGGTACCTGGGTATGGAGTGGATTTAACTGAGCATCAGCCAACATGGAGTAAGCTCGAATTCTTCTGTGTGTGGACCAGTGTCCCATATGGGACTAGGTAGGTCGCTGGAGCTAAGGTGGAGGGTAGGGGGCAGTGAGTTTTGTTTTTTGTTTTTCGGTTTCTTACAGGAGGCTACACCACCACATTGATTCCACTAAGAGTAACATGCTCAGTAAATTTCCTGATTCTGCAAGGCAGATCTTTCTTTGTATTATTCTAAATTACCTTAGGATCCAAAAGGGCCATCACTGTAGAAAAAGGGTCTGGTGGCTGGGTGCAGTGGCTCATGCCTGTAATTCCATCACTTTGGGAGGCTGAGGCAGGTGGATCAGGAGGTCAGGAGTTTGAGACCAGCCTGGCCAACATGGTGAAACCCTGTCTCTACTAAAAATACAAAAGTTAGCCAGGCATGGTGGTGGGCACCTGTAATTCCAGTTACTTGGGAGGCTGAGGCAGGAGAATTGCTTGAACCTGGGAGACAGAGGTTGCAGTGAGCTGAGATTGCATCATTGCACTCCAGCCTGGGTGACAGAGTGAGACTCTATCTCAAAAAAAAAAAAAAAAAAAAAGAAAAATGAAAAAGGGTCTGGTACATGTAGTAGCCTGTTAGGGTGATCGGGTCCCAACACCAGGTCTTGGGGGTGACAAAGTCTGGCAGAGTCAAAGGAATGAGGAAAGACAGTTTGAGAGAGCAAGTGGGTCCAGGTGGCCAAAGCGAGAATGGAGGCTGTGAAGGCCCCGAGCTCTGGAAGCCCAGACTATTTATTGGTGATCAAACAAAGAAACAGGTGATGAGAATGTGGGGGTCGAAAGGGCAAGCACATGATCTACAGTTGTGATGGTTTAGCATTTCCTTTGAAGCATGTGGAACATATTCTGCTACTTGAGATGATGGGGAGCATGTTCTTCTAGTTTAAGCTAGAAGCAAGGAGCCTGCAAGTCTGGACTAACGAGTCCAGGGGCCACGAGGGGTTTTATGCCCCAAGTCCTGGGCATTATGTCAGACCCACAAGTCCTGCCTCAGCTTTTTTCCCAACACTCGGCTTTTTCCCAACAGTAGCCAAGTGAAAATAACAACTGATGGAAAAAAATGAAATTTAAGGAATTCTGGGGCAGGGACCTAGAAGTATATAACAGTAAGGGCCAAGACACTTGCAGAATTTCTAGCTTTATGACTCCTGGTCCTCTTTACCTTCTTTTCTTTCTATCCCCCACAAGCTTGTGAGGATGAAAGGGTATTTTAGTGACCTTTGATCATATTCCTTTTTATGGGCCCTTCCTACACATTCAATAGCTTCTTTCTTTGTTATGAGAAAAAGATTAAATTAATGATCGTGATGATAAAATGAGTTGCACCGCCTGAGGCAATGTATGCCACACGTTGTAAGCAGTGGCGAATGTGGAGTAGTTGTAAATTTCTTGTAAGAAATCTCTCTGGTCCAAATCTGCACCAGCTCAGCATGCAGTGCTGCTCCCCTAGAACAGAGCAGGACAGACCTTGTGGGCTCACCTCAAAGGAGGCAATGGAGTTTTGATTGGACCTCACCACAGGTAACCATTTTTTGCTTCAGAAGAAGTTATCAAAAAGCCAGAAAACATCTCTCCTCTTAAAACTAGTTGCTGAATACATCACTTATTTAATACCTCTCTTCTCCACCAAAGGCTGTGTGTGTGTGTGTGTGTGTGTGTGTGTGTGTGTGTGATCCAGATCTACTCAAACAGTTCAGAAGTAATGTTAAATAAGAAATGAATTCTGCATATGAATGAATTTCAATGCATTTTAGTGTATAGACTGGTCTAAGTCTCTTGGCTTTCTAAAATATTTACCTTGTTTTTATTTTAAGAGAAGAAAACTTAGGCCTACCTCAGGGGAGGAAGCCACTCCTGGAAGACTCTTTAGCTTCACTTTTGAGGAAGGTAAAATATTCCTGTGGAATGAATTCCAGGGTGTAAAGGAAGCCTCCAGTCACATTGATAAAAGACCTTCAGTTCTGTCAAGCACAGACTGTATGAAAGGTTTCCCTTTCTCCATATGTATGCGTACGTGTGTGTGTGTGTGTGTGTGTACGTGCACACACACCTATGTCTACATTTAGATTAACACTGAATTGTGTTTCACAACCAAGGTGTAAGAAGGAAGACTAATCGTGGCAGACACCCCCACTGCCTCCCTGCTACCCCACGTGGTTTGAAAGTAACAGAATTCCCTGAACGGTAATATGCTACTTATCTTCCTGTCAGTCATTCAGTACCATTTATAAATTCTAGAGGGCTACTGTTAGTAAAACCCTCTTGCTTTCTATTCCTGAGCATGTTTCATCGTTGTCCATTTTGATCTTGGAAATGTAATCTTTAACAAGGTACCAATGTCTGTGAAATGTCACTCCAACAAAGGATATCAGTATTCTCCATGGCTTTTGTTGTACTCGGATTTGACCTTCATTGCTAATTGTTGGTCTGTGTTCCTAGCTTATGGCTTATTTGGACATACATTTCTTCTGTTACCACTTCAAAGCTTTTGTCTAGAAATTAGACTGGTAAAATAATATAGAAGGGTTTTCCCCTATGATATCCTTTTCCTTTGATACAAATAATTGAAAATTGGGTATGATAGCATAAAAGGACTTAAAGTTTGAAAGTTTTAAGAAAGATTTGGAGAATCAGGAGTAAAAGAGAACAAATGCATGTGAGTATGAAATATTATTTTGCCCAAAATGCTACTTAAAATGGATTTGAATTTAGGTTTATTACAGAAGATGGTTACACATTAGGTCTTTGAAGTTCTAACATCCAGATGTTCTTTAAAAATCTATTTTAAAGTTCTAACTGGAGATTTTAGAATAAAATTGCCAGAATGTGAAGAGGTAAAAGAAAAGTCAGATTGGAAGGATGCTACAAAAAATAAACTTCACCATCAATGACCAGGCAGTGTGAATGGAAGTCAGATGGGAAAGGAAACAGATGCAGAGATGGTCTTGTAATTAATGGAGCTTGCAGCTCTTTAAAAATGTTAAACTTGGCTGGGCGTGGTGGCTCATGCCTGTAATCCCAGCACTTTGGGAGGCTGAGGTGGGCAGATCACTTGAGGTCGGGAGTTCAACACCAGCCTGGTCAACATGGTGAAACCCCATCTCTACTAACAATACAATAAAAATTAGCTGGGCGTAGTGGCACACGCCTGTTATCCCAGCTACTTGGGAGGCTGAGGCAGGAGAATCGCTTGAACTCGAGAGGTGGAGGTTGCAGAGAGCTGAAATCGCACCAGTGCACTCCAGCCTGGGTGAGACAGTCAGACTCTGTCTCAAAAAAAAAAAAAAAAAAAAAAAGAAAAAAGAAAAAGTGCTAACTTGAAAGAAGCAGGTACAGTGTGTGAAATGAGAGACTTCTCATAAAAGTCTACCCTTCCGGCAGGGCCACCAGGGTGGGAAATTTCTTCATTTTTGGTACACAGGCTGGCATTTCAAAGATGTGAAGACACAGGTCTTTCTCTGAAGGTTGTGGATGGTCACATTCTTTAGATACAATTTCTAGAGCTTAGTGTATACTCATTCTAAGGAAAATATTTCTCTCTCAATCTGAGGACCTAAGAAAGCAATGGGAGGCAGAAAGAGAACTTACTCTGGTTTGTTACTTCAGGAAATTTCTTAATCCCTCTAACCCTAACTTCCTCATTTGTAAATTGGTGATGATCATAATAGGGTTGCTATGAATTTTAAATGAGATCATGGATATTGGTTGCTCAGAGCAATACCTGGCACATAGGAGCTGCTTAATAAATGGTAACCAGCAATTATTATTAAAATCATAGAGAGTAATTCATCTTAGGCTTTTGTCAAAAGAGACTTATTATCTTTGCTCAGTTGCTTAGATGACTTGTGAACCCCTCTGAATTTACACTTGGCATTTGTCTTTTATTGGCAATTCTTTCAGTGTCCCTCCAGTATCTCTTAGACCTTACCTCTTTGGTGCACTCTGGCAGACTTCCAACTGGCAGATGGTGTCTGCCATCTTCCAGCCCAAGAGCTTCCATAAGCTATTGACGTCTGCTCTGTCTGTGTAGATGGCAGGGAGGAAGGGATGGGAGCTAAGAACCCTCCAGGAACAGCCCTCAGCCAGGGATTGATGGGAGGGATACGCAAGTGCCCTAGCACCCTTCTCCTTCACGTGGAATTTTCTGATTCCCAGAGTTTCTCTGCGGATTAGCTCCGGTTGCCTATAATATTACCCAGTGAATAACAGACCCTTTAATGATTTTTTTTTCTCTTCTCTTTCTCACCATCTTACTCCCCTGTTGGATTCCCCCTACCCCATTTCTCACATTTAACTACTTGAACTAGGATGCTTAGTGAGGTTTTTTTTGACACTTAAAATGGAATTATTACTTTTATTGACAATTTAGGGATATAATGGACATTTTCACAGAACAAAAATGAGACAGTCCCAAGACAATGGAGTATAAAAGTATAGCACACAGGTTAATACTCTTCACTCTCATCCTTTCCCTCAGCACTATCTGCTCCAACCTCCTCATAATCCTTTTCAAGGGCAGCCATGTCCTCAGGGGCTCCAGAAAACTCTTCTTCCTCCATCCCCTCACCCACGTACCAGTGAACAAAGGCATGCTTTGCATACATCAGGTCAAAGTTTTGGTCCAGGTGAGCCCAGGCCTCAGCGACAGCTGTGGTGTTGTTCAACATGCACACAACTTTCTGTACTTTGGCTAGGTCTCCACTAGGCACCACAGTGGGAGGTTGGTAGTTAATACCAACCCTGAAGCCAGTGGGGCACTAATCCACAAACTGGATAGTACACTTGGTCTTGATGGTGGCAATGGCAGCATTGACATCTTTGGGAACCATGTCACCATGGTATGACAGACAGCAAGCCATGTATTTACCATGGTGAGGGTCACATTTCACTACCTGGATGGCTGGCTCAAAGCAAGCACTGGTGATCTTGCTAGTTACCTCAAAGCAAGCACTGGTGATCTTGCTAGTTACCTCAAAGCAAGCACTGGTGATCTTGCTAGTTACCTTTATGGTTAACTTACATTTCCCTATACACGTTATTTACTTACAGTATTGTTTAAATAATTATACAGTGTAAAGGTGATATAAAAAGCATAATGGCTCTATTAAATTTATAATTAAATGCATTCACTTTAAGCATATAAGAGTAGGTGATATGGTTTGGCTCTGTGTCCCCACTCAAATCTCATCTCAAAATTATAATCTTCACATGTCAAGGGAGAGCCCTGGTAGGAAGTGATGGGATCCTAGGGATAGTTTCCCCCATGCTGTCCTATGATAGTGAGTGAGTTCTCATGAGATCTGATGGTTTTAAAAGTGGCCATTTCCCCTGCTCCCTCTCTCTCCTGCCACCGTGGGAAGATGTGCCTTTGCTTCCCATTTCCCCACCATGATTGTGTAAGTTTCCTGAGGCTTCCCCAGCCACGTGGAACTGAGAGTCAATTAAACCTCCTTCCTTTATAAATTACCAGCCTTGGGTAGTTCTTTCCAGCAGTGTAAAAATGGACTAATACAGTAGGCATCACTTATGTGAAATGCTAAGGGGTAAATAATCTAAGATAAACAGGTCCAATGTCATTTAATTCCAATATCATCTACAGTCATGGAGTCTTGCTGAATTCAATTGTCTGCACACAGTAGTGATCGGTAACTTAGGAACACTAGATTAAATTGACAGCTATTAACAAAGTTTAGAAGAATGGATATGGGAGGGGAATTGACTGTCAGTTCATATTCTTTTACTACTTTATTATTTAAAAAGCAAAGTAAAAAGTGCGACTCTACATTTCTCACTTTGTTCTCTTATTTGAGGAATAAAAGGAGTGAAAATGGAAGCAAAGTATAAGTTCTTTCTTAGTAAAAAGCAGATTATATTCTCAATACAACTTTAATTAGAAGGTTATACCTGCATAACTTATTGGAGTAGCTTGATTTTGAATTTGGAGCCCATCTCTAGGAGGCAAATGAATAGAGACCAATAGGAAGGGACTGAAGGGGACAGGACGGTTAAGGGCTCAGCTGGAAACCATATATAATCACAGATCAGTATCTTACAACTGCTTCCTTATCGTAAATATAAAAGCGAGGCCAGAAGCACCCCACATTTATAGTACATGTTGATAACATATTATCATCATGACACCTATTTTTCATTCTTTCTGAGGTTTCATGTCTTCCCAGGTTTACTTTTCTAGTTTCATGCATTGACTGCACATTTGATTCTGGGGAGCTGTTCCATCTGTGTGTCAGGTTGGCAAGAGGTAAAAAGTCTCTCACTAGTGTTGCCTACTCACAGGATGATTCTGCCTTCCAAATACACCTGGGACCATACATTCAGTGTTTTGTGTTTGCCTATCAGGATGGTTTGCAAATGATATCAGTGGTTGTACCTTCAAAATAGCAGTTTTCAAACTCTTATTTTCCCAGCAATTGAATAATTTTTTCAGATATAATATTCTGTAGAACTCCAAAACATAATTATATATGAAAACACTGATTCAACAGAAAGGTAGCTGAAAATGGTAACAGCCTGCTATATACTCTCACTGCATTCATTATTTATCCAGAAACATGAAAGAGATGGTAAGAAATTTTCATTTCAAAATTTAATCACCAACAATATCTAACTGCTGCTTGTATTTCTTATTGTAAACATCAAAGTCAGACAGGTAGCACATAAAACTTGTAATACGTACTAAAATTTATAATTCAACAAAACTGAGACATGACCTGCTAGAAATTAAATTCTTATTGAAAAATTGACTATTACATGATAAGACTATGTTCCAAGCAGATGAGTCTGAATATCATTTGGTGTAAACATGGGAGGGTCATGTTATTGCATGACTGGGTTACTGATATGGGAAAAATGAGTTATCATATAAATCTTATAGAAATACAGTTTACTGTGATATGCTCAAAGGATGTGCACTTAGCAAATCATACCAACAGGTATCAGATCAGGCTGGGGGATATTCAAGGATCATGGATTCTCTATTCTCCTTGGTTCTCCCTGTACACAATTCTATCTGGTTGCAAAAAACCCAGAATAGGGCCTCTTCTAACCCTTTATAATTCAAATTTGTCACCCTGAAACTCCAGCATGATTCCCTAACATGATTGCAAAATCCCATTAACCAACCCTTGTAGTAACTTAGTCACATTGTTTTTTTTACTTCACCACTAGCATCATCTTGCTACACTGCCACAGATTATGTAATAATGGCCAGGTGTTGCGCATGCCCACTATGGGCTGGCCTAGCGTATAGGCCTCAATAAAGCCATTCACATATGTGGGGACTTGCTTGTACATCTGAAGAATGAAAGTAAATCAGGCACTGACTTTGAAAAAAGAAAAAGACCAGGGCTAATCTATATTTTTACTAAGAAATACTTAACAGAAGGTCATCTATACATACAGATTTTTACAGAAGCTTTTTTTTTTTTGAGATGGAGTCTCATCCTGTCCTCCAGGCTAGAGTACAGTGGCATGATCTAGGCTCACTACTACCTCCACCTCTTGGGTTCAAACGATTCTTGTGCACCAGCCTCCTGAGTAGCTGGGACTACAGGTGCCTGCTACCATGCCTGGCTAATTTTTGTATTTTTAGTAGAGATGGGTTTCACCATATTGGTCAGGCTGGTCTTGAACTCCTGAGCTCAAATCAAGCAATCTGCCCTCCTCAGCCTCCCAAAGTGTTGGGATTACAGGTGTGAGCCACCATGCCTGGCCTATAGAAGCTTTATACTGAGATGTGCACACAAGAATGGGTTAACAAGGCAATACCTTGAAAGGATGTTCACCAAAATGTGTTCAAATGTCTATAATACATGTGAGTTAGTATTTTCTGGTATATTCCCAAAGTGTTAAAATATATTAAAATAAAAAATTTGAGTGAAATTGTTTGTATGAAACATGTTGAACTATGCAGAATTTTAGAGCTTCTAGAAACATAGCTTGAAAATATATCCTAAAATGAGGTCCCTGACTTTGGGTGGCTGTTTGCAGATTGAATTTGGATTATTGCCATTTTACAAATGAAGAAAGAAAAAACAAACATCTCCCCCTAAAAAAAAAAAAGTCTAAGGAATTTCAGTTGACACAGGCATGATTACTCAGGAACTCAGTGGCAGAAATGAAAAGTGGAACTGAGGTCTTCTGTGCTGAAGTCCAGGAATCAAATGAACTAAACTTCCAGTAAGTAGAGCCTAGCACAGAAGTTACAGATTAGAGCTGCATTATTGTAATTTGGTGTAAAACAAAATTCATTTAACTCAGCTGGGAACTATTAATTGTTTAAAAATAATACTAAGATATAATTTCCTATTACTTTGACTTTTTTCCTAATCCATGTCTGATGGCTTGGGAATGATAAACAATTGAAATGTAAAGCTATGTGTAGAAATAATCATTAGGCTATGAAGGCAGAACCAGTACTGGCAGAAATTGTAAGCCACTGTCTTTGGCTATAAAATCATCCATAATAATCTTCTTAATAGTTTTTGAGCCATCAGGTAGATTATAAAGGGTTTGTAAAAAACCAAGTGTCATTTGCTTTTCCTTAACAAATGCTAAAGTACATTCCCAATAGATGATCATTTTACATGACCATCATTTAAAGAAATCCTTTTCCTCAAAGTAAAATTTTGAACAATCTACTGTAGACTGAAGGTTTGGGTGGTTATTTGCATCTAATCTCATTCTCATGGGAAATTTTGAGCCACCCCCTCTCCCTATCATGGGGATTTAAGGGGTGGCTCAGGCAAGGTGCTCACCTTGGAAATGCATGACAAGGTTTCAGTAGTGGAGGAAGGCATGGGGTGAGTATTCAATAAAGCCATTTAGTTTGCTCACTCAAAAGATAAGTTGAAAGGATGAAAAAGGATCTAGAAATGGAAGACAAAGTCAATAGTAGAATTGAGACAATGTGAAAGCAGGTGGACACGGAGCATAAAAGGGTCTCGTACATTTATTGATTTTCAAGCATGTGATTTTATTAGTTTTGGAAGGTAGGTATAAACATATGTTTATGTATGTGCAATCATTCTTTTCCTTTTACTGAGAGTCCTTGATATAATGTAGGGATTAGGGTCAGTGATAGTTAGTGGGTATAAATCAACAAAGGAACAGATCTTATAAACCAGTTCAATTAAAGAATATTAATAACTAATAATCACATGAGAAGATAGGGCATGTTTAGGCCATTGCATACAAACAGAGGATACATTTTAAAAAATTTTAAGTTCCAGAATACATGTACAGGATGTGCAGGTTTGTTACATAAGTAAATGTGTGCCATGGTGGTTTGCTGCACCTATTAACCCATTGCCTAGGTATTATGCCCTGCATGCATTACCTCTTTATCTTGATGCTCTCCCTTCCCCAACCCTCCCAACAGGCCCCAGTGTGTGTTGTTCCCCTCCCTGTGTCCATGTGTTCTCGCTGTTCAGCTCCCACTTATAAATGAGAACATGTGGTGTTTGGTTTTCTGTAGCTGTGTTAGTTTGCTGAGGATAATGGCTTCCAGCTCCATCGATGCCCCTGCAAAGGACGTGATCTTATTCCTTTTTATGGCTGCATAGTATTCCATGGTATATATGTACCACATTTGCTTTATCTATTATATCATTGATGGGCATTTGGGCTGGTTCCATGTCTCTGCTATTGTGAATAGTGCTGCAATGAACATAGGCGTGCATGTATCTTTACAATAGAATGATTTATATTCCAAAGGAAACATTTTATGTCAAAAATATACTATCCCTATAATATGTATTTGCCCCCAGTGGGATAATTCTGGGAGTAAGACAGTGTAATGCAGTTTGTTGGGTTGTTGCAGGGCTTCAAACGTTCTGCTCCCAAACATGACTTTCTTTCTTCATTCTTCTTTTTGACAAGAATACTTACAGACTTGGCAGAGTAGAAACAATGACAGAATATATATTCTTAGTAGATAAACAGGTTATTAAAGTAGCTTTTGATTGGATAGGGCCAAAAAGTATCACGAATAACCAAGTGTTCATTTTATTCCAGGGAGGATGTTGGGTAAATGACTCTGATTTAGGGCCAGGTGTTAACAACCTGAGCTAGTGGCAAAAGAGACTTGCTGTGTCACTTCGGAAAGCACGTGTTGACGAACATTGTTGCTCTTTCTGATGGCAGTCTTTCTCATCATTTGCCACAGCTGAGAAGGCAGGCATCTCCCACAAAGTTGTTTAGATGACAGGTGCTTCTTGCATGGACTCTCTGAGTTAACTACTTTTATAGAGATTCCTTTCCAGCTCAAGCTGGGATTACAGAAACCATTCAGCAAATGAACTTTGACTGAACCAGCTGCTCCATATATAACATATTGAGGCTCTTCCACTTGTTTGAAGCCTGGTACAATTTATCTGCACAGGTGCTGCAGTTGGAAAGCTATTAAATTTTCATTTATGTTGGCATTTCACAGGCATTCAAGCTTTCCAGAGCTGGAACAGGCTGCCATCTTAAATGACAGGATTTATAGGAAGTTCAAATCTTATGGAGAGAAAAGGGAACATGTAGGCAATGACCTTGTTGGCTCATAATGTCTCCTTGATTTCTGAACTTATTCAGTATTTTGTCCTTCCTGCATTCCAGATGCTGTTGTGCCAGATTCATTAACTGACTAACCCTGCTTTTCATTTTAATGACAAACATTTCTAACGTCCAAATAATAAGCTCTGGTCTCAATAGTGACTGCTGACTTTAATCACTGGTCATCTGCTAGTCAGCTCTAGCTTAGTCTTAAAGACTTGCCTGAAGTTAGCGTTCTGTGGTGCTATATGAAAAAAACTGATTAAAAATGGCCCAAAAGACTAGATTAACATATGAATGGATTATTATTTTCACCCAAACACAGATGAAAGTGACACAAATAGGATAAATACATCCTATTCTGGAGCAGGGCATGTCTAGAGTGAGTAGAAAAGAGACAAAAATATGAAAATTGGTTAGCCCTTACACTAGAAGCTGGGAGTAAAGTGACATATTAAAAATTCCTTTAAGTTTCTTAAGAAATGATTTTATCCTTGAGTCTGAATGTTAAACACAATGGAACCCGTTGGACTCTTGATTATACGGTGGGAGTCCTATACTTACTTTATAAGATGGCTACATACATTGGGTCTTTTTATCTAGCCTGAGTTACTGTATTAGACAGAACATTAAGATAGTAGTTACATGTCATAGGGGATTTACAATATTACAGTGCACTGTGCTGTGATACTTCTCCCCTTTTATTCTCTCCCCATTCTCCTCCTTCTCCTTAGAACATACAGAAGAAGGCGGAAATTTTCTAAACTCCTTTTATCTTTAAATATTTACCATGTGCCTGGCCCTCTGCTAAGCATATAGTCTTAATCACCTCACTTAATGCCCTCAACAAACAACAGAGGTAAGCATTATTGGCACCATTTTACAGAAAGGAAACTGAGGCTAAGAGAGTAAAGAAACTCATGCAAGTTTCTGTAACTAGTAAGTGATACAGCTGAGGTTCAAATCCATGTCTCACTGCAAAAGCCTTTTACTCCCACCTGATTGATACGCATCAACTTTAAATCAATGTTTTCTTTAAAAAAGTTTAGAGAAAAAGAGACCAAGTCTTTGACTTGAGTTAAAAAGGAATTCCATAAATCTGAATCTCAAAATACCTTTAAGTTAATGAAATAAGAAACAATATGAAGAAGGGAAGGCATTCTCAGGGATTGGAATAGTTACTATTCCCATAGCATTGTGCCTGTTTCATCAAATATGAATTGATGATGATTCAATAAAAAAAGACCCCTGAGCCCTAAAGCTGAAGAATGTAAAGACACCTTTTGAGACTTGACAGTCAGTGAATGTTTGATTCTTCACCATTGCTATGTATTAAGGGCAAATATAGATCTAATTACAGAATGTAATTTTATTCTTCTCAGTATTCTAGACAGAAAGTGCATTCAGCAGCAGTGACGTCTACTCCAGAGAAATGTGGCTGGAGAGTCACAGGCAGTGCCAGCAATTGCTCCCCCAAGAAGCACTGTTCCTGTGGATTGGCAGATGTCTTTGGGATCAAATGTGGTAGTTGTCTTGGAGGGCTTAGGAAGGTTGAATGCTGAGAAATGATGGCCCTATGGATGGTTGTTGTGAAATAGATCTTTGTTAGGCAGGCAGGGATTTGTTTAAGATCCCAAACACTGAAATGGTTGTCTTACCACATGGAACATGGCTTTTATGATGGGAATGTTCAGCAACTTGAGGTCAAGAGGAGTTTCAATAAAAAGAGGAAAAGCACATAGGTCAATTACATTTTGCTCATCTGGACAGGTGTTTGCCTCTGAAGCTTGGCATGTCTTTGGACACAGTGCATCCTTCTGTCATGATGTGCTTTAGCCATTGTGGGCAGGTATTTCGTTACTGCTATGCTGCCAGTGGATTAGGGGGACTGTTTGCTGATGGAGCTCACTGGCAGCTCCTTGTGCATCTTCTTACTGTTCTTACCCTCCAGGAGGTGTCATGCCTTCATCTTCTTCTACTGCTCACCTCAGGCACAGCAGATGCTTTATCCCCTGGCACCACCGTGAACCTGGGAGCATGGCATCTGTCCTTGAAGCTGATTGTGTCAAGCATTTAATATTTGTACACTTAAACCTTGCCAGAAGCTAAATGAGCACAACATTTTCTTAAAACTTATTCTTAACATTTGACAACTAATTTTTTTAAAGGTTTAACCAGCTTATTTTGTTGGCATTTTCTATTATTGTTTTATGAATTTTCTATTAATTCTCCATTCACACAAGTGCCAAAATTGATGTGCCCTTTATTTGTCATTCATTTCATGTAACTCAATATCTATGGATATTTAAACTTCTTTAAGCATGTTTCATGGTGGCAGTGGCCATTACAAACAATTTTGAGGTTCTTAGAGCCCTCCATAACAGGGAAGATGGAAAAAAATAAGAATCTTCACTTTTCTAGAGGAAGTGGGACCAGACCTTCCAGTATTCTAGAATGTGTAAAATAATTGCTGTTTAAAACCACAAGACTGTTTAAGCATCTATAGTGCAGTTTTGTTTGTTTCAGAAGGACATCATTTAGTTTCTCTGTATTACATACAGTGTCTGATAAATAATCCCCCGTGCCTGTACATTCATTCTGTTAGGAGTTTAAAGACTTTATTCTCACAAATTATACAGGCTGACTTTTGTTTATGCTGTTATAATAAGGACTTTTGTTTATGCTGTTATAATAAGTAGTTTGGTGCCTGTTATAAGTAGCCTTGCAAATAATGTTCTGGAATTATCAGGTCCACTAAAATCTTTTTGGCCTGGAATGTATTCATTGATCCTACTCACCTCATTGTGCTCAACTTAGCCTGTCTAAGCTTCCTTACTTGTTTCCACAGATTTCCCTCCAAGTCGGAGTCCCTATAACCAGTACTGCCAAAGCAGGTACACTCAAAGTTCATTCACCCTGATGGATCATAGATATCCATGTCTACCAGACACAGTGGGAATATACTGTGAAAAGAGAATATGTCAAGTTCTTCTGGCTGGCATCTCATGAGACTCTCTTGGCATATTGGCCAATATGCTTTTAAGATTCTCATAGTCTTTGTCTTTAGAAAAAACAGTTTTAAGTTGTGGAAAAAGTAATACATAACATAAAAGTTACCATTTTATCTATTTTTTAAAACTATACAGTTTAGCGACATTCACATTTAGAACATTCACATTGTTCTGCTTCCATCACCACCAACCATCTCCAAAACATTTCTTATCTTGCAAAACTGAAACTGTGTACCCATTGTATAAGAACTCCACATCTCTCCCTTCCCCTAACCCCTGGAAACCACTATTTTACTATCTTTATGAATTTGACTGCTTGATATACCTCATATAAGTGGAATCATGTGGCTTTTGACATTTTGTGACCAGGTTATTTTACTTGGCGTAATGTCTTCAAGATTCGCTCACGTTGTAACACGTATCAGAATTTCCTTCCTTTTTAAGGCTAAATAATATTCTATTTTATGTATGTACTACATTTTTTTTTATTCATCATCTGTTGATGGACATTTTAGTTGCTTCTACCTTTTGGCTACTGTGAATAATTCTGCTATGAACATGGGTATACAAATATCTGCTCAAGTTCTTGTTTTCAATCCCTTTAGGTATATACCCAGAAATGGAATTGCTGGATTATATGGTGATTCTATTTTTAGCTTTTGAGGAACTGCTATGCTGTTTTTCACAGTGCCTTCACTATTTTACGTTCCCACCAAAAGTGCACAAGTGTTCCAGTTTCTCTACATCCTTGCTAACATTTATTTCTGTTTCTTTTTTTGATAATAGCCATTTGAATGGATGTGAAATGTTATTTCATTGTGGTTTTTAATTTGTATTTCTTTAATGATTAGTGATGTTGAGCACTTTTTCATGTGCTTATTGGCCATTTGCATGTCTTCTTTAGAAAAACGTCTATTCAACTCCTGTGCCCATTTTTAATTTGTTGTTTTTCTTGTTGTTGAGTTGTAGGAGTGAGTTCTTTGTATTATCTGAATATTAACCCCTTCTCATATATATATATATAAAACCCCTTATCATATATATATATAATATTATGTACATATATATATATTTATTTTATTTTTGAGACAGGATCTTGCCCTGTTTTCCAAGCTTGGAGTCCAGTTGTGTGATCACAGCTCCCTGCAAACTTCAACTCCTGACCTCAAGTAATCTTCCCACTCTGGCCTCCCAAAGTGCCAAGATTACAGGCATGACACATCATCCTAGCCTCAGATATATATTTTTTTCCTTTCCATGGGTTACCTTCTCACTCTATTGATAGTGTCCTTCGTACATAACAGTTTTAGATTTTGATGTAATCCAATTTATCTATTTCCCTTTGCTGGCTTTGCAGCCTTTATTATTATTATTATTATTATTATTTTTATTATTATACTTCAAGTTTTAGGGTACATATGCACAATGTGCAGGTTAGTTACATATGTATACATGTGCCATGTTGGTGTGCTGCACCCATTAACTTGTCATTTAGCATTAGGTATATCTCCTAATGCTATCCCTCCCCCATCCCCCCACCCCACAACAGTTCCCAGAGTGTGATGTTCCCCTTCCTGTGTCCATGTGTTCTCATTGTTCAATTCCCATCTATGAGTGAGAACATGTGGTGTTTGGTTTTTTGTCCTTGCGATAGTTTACTGAGAATGATAATTTCCAATTTCATCCATGTCCCTACAAAAGACATGAACTCATCATGTTTTATGAATGTTGACTGTCTTCATAGTGTTTTTATCCTGATGGAAAAATTTTGGTTACTTCGCTGTTTTCTTAAGCTTTATGTTACAGACCTTTAATTAACCTCGCTGTCTGAGATGCTTTTCATTCCTGTAGATTTTGATGTCCAGCCTGAATTGTAGCTCCTTATGGAGTGCCAGCAAGCAGACAATGGGGCCAAGGGACCTTACAGGCCAAGTTGACTTCTATTTATGTTCTCTTCAAAATTGGAGTTCTATTCTAAAAGGCAACACTTTATTTGGTTGGCTTGATAGCCTCAGGATTCCACCATCTTTTACATCTATTTATTCACCATTCCCTGGTGCTTATAATTTCAATTTGTGCAGTTTGTTTAATCCCTATTTGTGTCATCTGAAAAATTAATGATCATACCTGATACTCTCATCTAGGTCAGGTTTGGTTTTTTTTTGAATATTTTATTATTTAAACTTTTTCCACATCTTTCTCCCCTACTTAATGATTTCTTACCACGTTGTTTCATAAATAACCTTTTCAAATCTGTAATTTGAACTAACTCTTAGATAACTTCTGAATTAGACAGAATTATTCTTTTTTTTTTTCTCACTTATAACCCTTTCTGGCACACTTTGCGTACAGAATTACGTGTTAACTAAAATTTTTATCCTTAGTAACCTAAAACTTTAGTGGAACCCTAAAAAGGAAGAAATCCTGAATAATAGTGGGCATTTATAGGTAAGAACAATTCACAATTTTAGAAACATATTTTCCCCATATTACAACTCTTCTTAATTGGAAATGACCCAGATATTAAATGAGCATTAAAAATAACTTTAAGATTTTAATTTATGCAAAAAGTTTACCGAAGACATTTATCCCATTCACTGTACTTATTACTTTTAACAAACGAGAAATGAGACATCAACTAACGTATGTAAAATAATCATTGGTTTGTTCTGGAAAGGTGGGACAACTTGAGGTGAGGAGTCTTGGGGGCTTTCAGATCACAGGTTGGAGACAAATGGTTGCATTCTTTTGAGTTTCCAATTAGCCTTTCCAAAGGAAGCAATCAGACATGAATTTATCTCAGTGAGACTTTGAATAGAATGGGAGGCAGACTTACCCTAAGCAGCTCCTAGCTTGCATTAATACTGATATTTTAAAATATTTAGCAAAGACAAACATAAAATTCAGACAAAATGTATCCTGAAAATTCTGAAGGCATTTCTATTTTTATTCCATCAATAATTTTAAGGCTAGCTTGTTTAGTAAAGTTTTACTTTAAGTCACATTAACTTGAAAGTTGCTTAGACTTACTTAATTTATAAGTGTTCTTTTACTTATAAGCCAATTTGGTAGACATAACATATAACAATAAGTGTACATACAAATAAACACATCTAGACATGTATACACACACAAAGATCCAATAGCTTGACACCTTAGCCATGAGATAGCAATATAAGCTTGCTGGTTTTACTTTGCCCTAATAGATAATCCAAAGAAGGCTGTGAACCAAAATTTTGGGTAAAGCAGTCTCCATGGCCGTTTGATTTTTAAAGGCTAAAACCTCCCCAGACTCCAGGAACACTAGGGCCAAACTGTACAAAAGGAGGGCATCACACATTAACCAGGCTTCCTGCTTACAACAGGAGCACAAAAGCACATGCAATGCCATCCCACTTTCCCATTAGACAGGAAACTTCAGATTTTAAACAAATTTGGGGCCAAGCAGTATTGCAACTGCAAGAGAAAATTCTAAGGAGGGTTTAATACTAGGCCTCAGAACCTCTCCCAAGAGCATCTCCTTTTGAGAGTTTGAGGTCCACAGAACCCACGGAGCATCCTCCTGTGGGGTTCAATCTTAGAGTTCCAGACATCTCTGACCTTAGGTGGGCGCCACATGCAGGTTTCCCCTCCAAAGCATATTATGAGGTTTATAAGAACAGGAAACAGCCACTGTAAGACTCTTTCTCTGGGCTGGCTCGCCAAAATATGTTAACGGTGGAGGGTGTCCAGGTTCTTGGCATCTTGAACAAATAATTGGACAAAATGCACAAACAAAGCAAGGAAGGAATAAAAGGATTTATTGAAAATGAAAGTACACTCCACAGTGTGGGAGTGGGCCTGAGCATAGGGGCTGTAAGGCCAGGTTTTTTTTTTTTTAAATATATATATTTTAAAGCAGCTAAACCCACTTTTTCAAACAGAAGCTTAAGCGAAAACTCAGTACAGCTGATAAGAGCAGCAGCTGCTCTGTTTGGGGCAAGGGATAAAGAAGTTCAGACGCCCGCTTTCCCTCCTCCAGTTCCTAAAGCTTTTCTTCTGAACTTCGATAGAGGCTTTGTGGAGTCTACTCAGAAGAGAAAGACCCACTGATAAGGTAGGAAATGGAACACAGTCATTCACTCCTTCTTTCCCAGCCCTACTTACATCAAAGCAATTCTGCTTTCATATGTTAAACGGGTTTAGAAGTCCATGTAACGTTCAACTTAAACAACAGGATTCTCCGTGTGAAATAGCTGTTCAAAGACCTCCAATCTAGTTCACAGGCCAAAACGTCAATCCATATAGAGCTGAGGACTTGTAACCATGATACAGCTCTATGACACCCCAGTGTGGATACTAACCCAGGTGAATAGCTCACACAGGGAAGATTCAAAACTCAGAGGAGGGTCACCTGGCAAAGAGACCAGTTACTAAGACACACAACTCTTAGTTTTGATTATAGAAATTGTAAACTGGAAGGGAACTCAGAGATCACCTAGCCCAGAAGCTGCAAATGATGTGTTGGTATACATAGCATTTAAAAAATTAGTCAACAGCATTAAAAAAATCAGAAATTAGACATAGCGCTTTTTGAAACCTACAGGGTTGGTCCAGTGGGAGGGGGCGGGACAGAACTGCCACAGCTTGCAGAAATCATACAGATTATATAGCAATGTCACTTATCATCCTTCCCTCAACTACCTCCACCTGACAATCTTTGTTAATCCAAAACAGAGGGCCTTGATTGCCTGTATGGCCTGTGTTCCATGGGATGGGCAAGGGCCTCAGATGTTTCTTATAGATAAGGAATGAATCTCCAGGTTGGTGATGCTCAAAAGTCTGAACTCACAATGCCCACCTATACATCTGTCATACTTGGGCATTCTCAGAATAGGCTTAAGTTATCACTGTCAGGTTCTTCTATCATCTGCCATAAACTTTTTGTGCTTAACATAATACCCTTGAGATTCATCCATGTTATAGCATGTGATCAAATTTCCTTCTTTTTAAAAATGGTGTAATATTTGCAGTATGAACATCATCAAAATATACAGTCACCAGACTATCCAAGGTCAATGCTAAAGAAAAAATCTTAAAAGCAGCTAGATAAAAAGGTCAGATCACATACAATAGGAACCCCATCAGACTAACAGCAGATTTCTCAGCAGAAGCCTTGCAAGCCAGGGGAGATTGGAGGCCTACTTTATTTCTTTTTTTTTTATTATTTTTAATTTTTTTATTATTATTATACTTTAAGTTTTAGGGTACATGTGCACAATGTGCAGGTTAGTTACATATGTATACATGTGCCATGCTGGTGTGCTGCACCCATTAACTCGTCATTTAGCATTAGGTATATCTCCTAACGCTATCCCTCCCCTCTCCCCTCACCCCACAACAGTCCCCAGAGTGTGATGTTCCCCTTCCTGTGTCCATGTGTTCTCATTGTTCAATTCCCATCTGTGAGTGAGAACATGCGGTGTTTGGTTTTTTGTCCTTGAGATAGTTTACTGAGAATGATGATTTCCAATTTCATCCATGTCCCTACAAAGGATATGAACTCATCATTTTTTATGGCTGCATAGTATTCCGTGGTGTACATGTGCCACATTTTCTTAATCTGGTCTATCATTGTTGGACATTTGGGTTTGTTCCAAGTCTTTGCTATTGTGAATAGTGCCACAATAAACATACGTGTGCATGTGTCTTTATAGCAGCATGATTTATAGTCCTTTGGGTATATATCCAGTAATGGGATGGCTGGGTCAAATGGTATTTCTAGTTCTAGATCCCTGAGGAATCGCCACACTGACTTCCACAATGGTTGAACTAGTTTACAGTCCCACCAACAGTGTAAAAGTGTTCCTGTTTCTCCACATCCTCTCCAGCACCTGTTGTTTCCTGACTTTTTAATGATCTCCATTCCAACTGGTGTGAGATGGTATCTCATTGTGGTTTTGATTTCCATTTCTCTGATGGCCAGTGATGATGAGCATTTTTTCATGTGTCTTTTGGCTGCATAAATGTTTTCTTTTGAGAAATGTCTGTTCATATCCTTTGCCCACTTTTTGATGGGGTTGTTTTTTTCTTGTAAATTTGTTTGAGTTCATTGCAGATTCTGGATATTAGCCCTTTGTCAGATGAGTAGGTTGCGAAAATTTTCTCCCATTCTGTAGGTTGCCTGTTCACTCTGATGGTAGTTCCTTTTGCTGTGCAGAAGCTCTTTAGTTTAATTAGATCCCATTTGTCAATTTTGGCTTTTGTTGCCATTGCTTTTGGTGCTTTAGACATGAAGTCCTTCCCATGCCTATGTCCTGAATGGTAATGCCTAGGTTTTCTTCTAGGGTTTTTATGGTTTTAGGTCTAACATTTAAGTCTTTAATCCATCTTGAATTAATTTTTGTATAAGGTGTAAGGAAGGGATCCAGTTTCAGCTTTCTACATATGGCTAGCCAGTTTTCCCAGCACCATTTATTAAATAGGGAATCCTTTCCCCATTGCTTGTTTTTGTCAGGTTTGTCAAAGATCAGATAGTTGTAGATATGCAGCATTATTTCTGAGGGCTCTGTTCTGTTCCATTGATCTATATCTCTGTTTTTGTACCAGTACCATGCTGTTTTGGTTACTGTAGCCTTGTAGTATAGTTTGAAGTCCGGTAGCATGATGCCTCCAGCTTTGTTCTTTTGGCTTAGGATTGATTTGGCGATGCGGGCTCTTTTTTGGTTCCATGTGAACTTTAAAGTAGTTTTTTCCAATTCTGTGAAGAAAGTCATTGGTAGCTTGATGGGGATGGCATTGAATCTATAAATTAAGTTGGGCAGTGTGGCCATTTTCATGATATTGACTCTTCCTACCCATGAGCATGGAATGTTCTTCCATTTCTTTGTATCCTCTTATTTCATTGAGCAGTGGTTTGTAGTTCTCCTTGAAGAGGTCCTTCACATCCCTTGTAAGTTGGATTCCTAAGTATTTTATTCTCTTTGAAGCAATTCTGAATGGGAGTTCACTCATGATTTGGCTCTCTGTTTGTCTGTTATTGGTGTATAAGAATGCTTGTGATTTTTGTACATTGATTTTGTATCCTGAGACTTTGCTGAAGTTGCTTATCAGCTTAAGGAGATTTTGGGCTGAGACAATGGGGTTTTCTAGATATACAATCATGTCATCTGCAAACAGGGACAATTTGACTTCCTCTTTTCCTAATTGAATACCATTTATTTCCTTCTCCTGCCTCATTGCCCTGGCCAGAACTTCCAACACTATGTTGAATAGGAGTGGTGAGAGAGGGCATCCCTGTCTTGTGCCAGTTTTCAAAGGGAAAGCTTCCAGTTTTTGCCCATTCAGTATGATATTGGCCGTGGGTTTGTCATAGATAGCTCTTATTATTTTGAGATACGTCCCATCAATACCTAATTTATTGAGAGTTTTTAGCATGAAGGGTTGTTGATTTTTTTCAAAAGTGGAGGCCTACTTTCAACAATATTAAAGAAAAGATTTCAACCAATAATTTTATATCTTGCCAAACTAAGCTTCATCAGTGAAGGAGAAATAAAATCTTTTCCAGACAAGGACGTGTTAAGGGAATTTGTTACCAGTACACCAGCATTACAAGAGATATTTAAGGGAGTTCTAAACATAGAATCAAAAGTATAATACCTGTTACTGCAGAAATGTGCTTAAGTAAATAGTCCATAGATCCTATAAAGCAACCACCCAATAGAAAATATAAAGCAACCACCTAACAAGTTTGCAATAGGATCAAACCTCACATATCAATATAAACCTTGAATGTAAATGGTCTAAATGCTCTACTTAAAAGGCTCAAAGTGGCAATTTAGATTAAAAACCAGGACCCATCTGTCTGCTATCTTCAAGAGACCCATCTCACTGACAACATTCATAGGCTCAAAGTAAAGCTGGAGAAAGATCTATCGTTCAAACACAAAACAAAAAAAGAGACGAGGTTGCTATTCTTGTATCAGATAAATCATACTTTAAACCAACAACAGTAAAAAAGACAAAGAAGGACATTACATAATGATGCAGGGTTTAATTCAACAAGAAAACAACTATCTTAAATATGTACGCAACCAACATTGGAGCACCCAGATTAATAAAACAAGTACTTGTAGACCTAAAAAAGACTTACACTGCCACTCAATAATAATAGGAGACTTCAACACCCTACTGACAGTATTGAACAGATCATCAAGGCAGAAAACTAACAAATAAATTCTAGACTTAAATTTGATGTTTGACCAATTGGACTTAAAAGACCTAGTAGAATACTCCACTCATCAACCACAGAATATACATTCTTCTCATCTGTATGTGGTAAATACTCCAAGATTACAACATGCTGGCCAAAAGCAAGTCTCAATAAATTTATAAAAATGAAATAATTCCAACTGTAGTCTCCAATCACAATGGAATAAAAATAGAAATAAATACCAAGAAGATCCCTCAAAACCACACAATTGCATGGAAATTAAACAACTTGCTCCTGAATTAATTTTGGGTAAACAATGTAATTAAGACAGAAATTAAAAAAAGTCTTTGAGATAAATGAAAATAAAGACCCAACATACTAAAATCTCTTGGATGCTGCAAAGGAAGTGTTAAGAGAAAAGTTTTTTGCACTAAATGCCTACCTCAAAAACTTAGAAAGATCTCAAATTAAGAATCTAACATCACACCTAATGAAATAGAAAAAAGGAACAAACTAACCACAAAGCTAGCAGGAGAAAAACAACTAAAATTAGAGAACTGAATGAAATTGAGACCCCAAAATCCATACAAACCATCATAAACCAAAAGTTGGTTTTTGAGAGGATAAACAAGATTGATAGACTGCTAGCTACATTAACAAGGAAAAAAAGAGAAGATCCAAATAGGCATAATCAGAAATGGCAAAGGTGATATTACAACTGATCCCACAGAAATAGAAAATTCCTGGAAACACACAACTTCCTAAGACTATACCATGAAGAAACAGAAATCCTGAATAGGTCAACAATGAGTAATGAAATTAAATCAGTAATAAAAATTCTACCAACCAAATAAAGCCCTGGACAAGATGTATTCATAGACCAATTCTACCAAACATACAAAGAGGAGCTGATATGAATCCTACTTACTATTCCCAAAAATCAAGCAGGAATGACTCCTTTCTAACTCATTCTATAAAACCAGTATCATTCTGATATCAAAATCTGGCAAAGATACAACAAAAAAAAGAAAAATCTGGCAAAGACCCAACAAAAAAAGCAAATTTCAAGTGGATGTTCCTGATGGTTTGGATGTGTGTCCCCACCAAATCTCATGTTGAATTGTAGGCACCAATGTTGGGGGTGGGGTCTGGTGGGAGGTGGTTCAATCATGGGGGTGGATTTCTCATGAATAGTTTGGCACCATCCCCTTGATGCTGTTCTCATGATAGTGAGTTCTCATGAGATCTGGTTCGATAAAACTGTGCAGCAACTCCCTCCTCAGTCTCTCTTCCTTCTGCTCCAGCCATGTGAAGGGTCTGCTCCATTTTATCTTGCACCGTGATTGTAAGTTTCTTGAGGCCTTCCTAGAGGGCAAGCAAATGCCAGCATCATGCTTCATGTACAGGCTGCATAATTGTGAGCCAATTAAACCTATTTTCTTTATAAATTACCCAGTCTCAGGAAACAATGTGAACACAGACTAATACAGAAAAATTTTATAGCAATTTTTGTAGCCACTTGAGATCAGACTAATACAGAAAATTGGTACTGAGAAGTGGGGCATTGCTATAGATAAACCTGAAAATGTGAAAGTGACTTTGGAACTGGGTATTGGGCAGCGGTGGGAAGAATGTGTGGGGCTCAGAAGAGGACAGATGAGGGAAAGTTTGACACTTCCTAGGGACTAACTGGATGGTCATAATCAAAATGCTGATAGTGATATGTACAATGAAGTCCAGGCTGATGAGGTCTCAGATAGAAATGAGGAACTTATTGGGAACTAGAATAAGGTTACTTTTGTTATGTCTTAGCAAAAACTTGGCTGCATTTTGCCCCTGTCCTAGGGATCTGGAACTTTGAAATTGATAGTGGTGATTTAGGGTATCTGGTAGCAGAAATTTGTAAGCAACAAAGCATTCCAGAAGTGGCCTGGTTGCTTCTAAAATCCTGTTCTTATATGTGTTAGTAAAGAAATGACCTAAAGTTGAACTGATACTTAAAAGGGGCACAGGATGTAAAAGTGTAAAAAATGTGCAGCCTGGCCTTGTGGTAGAAAAGCCCATTTTCATGGAAGGAATTCAAGCAAGTTTTACTTATGTAAAAGTTTGCGTAAGTAAAAAGGAGTCAAGTAGTTAAGACAATGGGGAAAAGGCTTCAAAGGCATTTCAGATAATATATAAAGAACTTAAGCAATTGAGCAAGCAAAAAAACAAATAACCCCATTAAAAAATGGAGAAAAAGATAAGAATGGACACTTCTCAAAAGAAGATGTACATGTGGCCAAGAAATATATAAAATGCTCAACATCACTAATCATCAGAGAAATGCAAATCAAAGCCACAATGAGATACCATCTCACACCAGTCAGTATGGCTATTGTTAAAAAGTCATAAAATAACAGATGCCAGTGAGGTTGTAGAGAAAAGGAAATGCTTATATACTGTTGGTGGGAAGGTAAATTAGTTCAACCACTGTGGAAAGCAGTTTGGAGATTTTTCAAAGCACTTAAAACAGAATAACCATTGAACCCAGAAATCCCATTACTGGGTATATACCAAAGGAATATAAATTATTCTACCAAAAAGACACATGCACTTGTGTGTTCTTGAAGCACTACTCACAGTAGCAAAGACACAAAATTAGCTCAGGTGCGTATCAGTGGCAGATTGTTTAAAGAAAAATTGGTACAAATACACCATTGAATACTATGAAGCCATAAAAAAGAATGCAGTCATGTCTTTGCAGCAACATGGATGCAACTGGAGACCATCATCCTAAGTGAATTAACTCAGGAACACAAAACCAAATACTACATTTGGTTTTCTCACTTATAAGTGGAGCAAAACATTGGGTACTCATGGACATAAAGATGGCCACAATAGACACCGGGAACTATTAGAGGAGGGAGGGGATAAGAGTTGAAAAATGATTTTGTACTATGCTTACTTCCTGGGTGTTGGAATTATTCATACCCCAAATCTCAGCATCACCCAACATACTCATGTAACAAACCTGCACATATACCTCCTGAACCTAAAAGTTGAAATTATTAAAAATGGCATAATAGTCCATTGTATATACCACTTTATCTTTATCCATTCATCTTTTTTCTTTCTTTTTTTTTTGAGACGGAGTCTCGCTCTGTCACCCAGGCTGGAGTACAGTGGTGTGATCTTGGCTCACTGCAATCTCCGCCTCCCGGGTTCACGCCATTCTCCTGCCTCAGCCCCCTGAGTAGCTGGGACTACAGGCGCCCACCACCATGCCCGGCTAATTTTTTTGTATTTTTAGTAGAGACGGGGTTTTACCATGTTAGCCAGGATGGTCTCGATCTCCTGACCCTGTGATCTGCCCACCTCAGCCTCTCAAAGTGCTGGGATTACAGGTGGGAGCCACTGCGTCCGGCCCATCCATTCATCTTTTAATGGACATTTGGATTGCTTCCACCTCTTAGCTATTGTAAAAAATGCTGCTATGAACATAAGTGTGCAGAGATCTCTTTGAGATCCTGCCTTGAATTCTTTTAGATATATACCCAAAAGTGGGATTGCTGTATCATATGGTAATTATTTTTAATTTTTTAAGGAAACTTTACACTTCTTGCCACAGTGGCTGCATTGTTTTACAATCCCAGCCAAGTTGCAAAGGTGTTCCATTTCTCCACATCCTCACCAAGACTTTTTTTTTTTCATTATTTTGATAATAGCCATCTTAACAGGGGGTGAGGGTATTTCACTGTGGTTTTAATGTGCATTTCTCTTGTGATTATTGATCTTTTCATATGCTAGTTGGCCATTTGTATATTTTCTTTGGAGAATTATCTATTCAAGTTATTTATCAATTTTTAAATCAGGTTATTTGTTTTTTTTTTTTGTTGAGTTGTAGAAGTTCTTTATATATTCTGGTTATTAACCCCTTTTCAGAAAACAATTTGTGAATATTTTCTCCTGTTCCCTAACTTTCCTTTTCTATCTGTTGATTATTCTTTTGATGAGAAATTGTTTTAAATTGTGACATAGTCCTATTTGTCTGTTTTGCTTTTTGGTCTGTGCTTTGATGTCATATCTAAGAAATCATTGCCAAATTCAATATCCTGTAGCATTTCCCCTATGATATCTTTTAGGCGTTTTACAGTGTTAAGTCCTGTGTTTAGGTCTTTAATTCATTTTCAGTTAATTTTTATATATGCTGTAAGGTAAGTGTCCAACTTCATTCATTTGCATGTGGCTATCCTATTGTTTCAATACCATTTGTTGCAGAGATTATCCTTTTTCCATTGTATATTCTTGGCACCCTTGTCAAAGACGACTTGATCATATACATGTGGGTTTATTCTGGACTCTCCTCTGTTTCATTGGTCTATATGTCTGTCTTATGGCCATAACATACTGTTTTGCTTACTGTCACTTTGTAATAAATTTTGAAATCAGGAAGTGTGAGGCCTCCAATCTTGTTTTCTTTTTCAGGATTGTTTTGGTTATTTGGGTTTCCTTGAGATTCCATATGAATTTTAGAATTCTTTTTCTGTAATACATCCATAAAATATGCTATGGCAATTTTGATAGGAATTGCATTAAATTTGTAGATCACTTTGGGTAATATGGACATTTTAACAATATTAAGTCTTCCAATCCATGAGCATGAGATGCCTATTTGTGTGTATTTTCTTTAAGCAATATTTTGTAGTTTTTGGTGTCTGTTTTACACCTTCTTAGTTAAATTTATTCTTATGTATTTTATGCTTTTGGGTGCCATAGTAAATGGGATTTTCTTTATATATTTATATATTTTTATTATACTTTAAGTTCTAGGGTACATGTTCACAACGTGCAAGTTTGTTACATATGTATACCTGTGCCATTTTGGTGTGCTGCACCTATTAACTCGTCATTTACATTAGGTATATCTCCTAATGCTATCCCTCCCCCCTGCCGCCACCCCACAACAGGCCCCGGTGTGTGATGTTCCCCACCCTGTGTCCAAGTGTTCTCATTGTTCAATTCCCATCTATAAGTGAGAACATGTGGTGTTTGGTTTTGTGTCCTTGCGATAGTTTGCTGAGAATGATGGTTTCCAGCTTCATCCATGTCCCTACAAAGGACATGAACTCATCATTTTTTATGGCTGCATAGTATTCCGTGGTGTATATGTGCCACATTTTCTTAATCCAGTCTATCATTGTTGGACATTTGGGTTGATTCCAAGTCTTTGCTATTGTGAATAGTGCTGCAATGAACACACGTGGGCATGTGTCTTTATAGCAGCATGATTTACAATCCTTTGGGTATATACCCAGTAATGGGATGGCTGGGTCAAATAGTATTTATAGTTCTAGATCCCTGAGGATTTTTTTGAGGATTTTTGCATCTATGTTCATCAAAGATATAGTCCTGTAATTTTATTTCCTTGAAGTTCCTTGTCTGGCCTTGGTATCAGGGTAAAACTGACATTTTAAAATGAGTTTGAAAGAATTCTCTTCCTTCCAATTTTTTGGAATAGTTTGAGAATTAGCGTTAGTTCTTTAAAAAATATTTGCTACAAGTCAGCAACAGCGAAACCATCCAGTCGTGGTCTTTCTTTGTTGGAAGACTTTTTAATACTGCTTTAATCTCATTACTTGTTATTGATCTGTTCAGAAATCTCTTTCTTTCTGATTTAATTTTGATGTATTGCGTGTGTCCAGGAATTTATCCATTTTCTCTAGATTTTCCAATTTTTTGGTGTATAGTTGTTCATAATAGTCTCTGACAATCCTTTGTATTATTGTGTTATCAGTTGTAATGTCTTTTTTGTTTCTAATTTTATTTATTTTGTTCTTCTCTTGTTTTTTAGTCTAGATAATGATTTGTCAATATTGCTTAATTTTTCAAAAAATTAACTTTACTCTGGTAAAAATCAATTTCAAAATGTCCATGTAATGTAGTACCATGCAGGTATTCAAGATAATTAGGTATATATTTTTGTGATGCTATGTTGCAACATTCAGGATATATCATTGAGTGAAGAAAGGAAGTTATAGAATAACATGTTCAGTATAATATCATTTGTTTACAAAAAAATGAAGACAAGAAAGGAAATATTGCTTATGTATGCTTGTTTATGCATACTTTATGGAAGGATACACAAAAAATTGTTAATAATGATTTTAAAAACAAAACTAACTTTGCATTTCTTATTTAGTATTTTTTAGTCTCTATTTTTTATCTTTTCAAAAAACTAATTTTAATTTTGTTGATCTTTTGTATTATATATTTAATTTCAATTTCATTTATTTCTCCTCTTATCTTTATTATTTGTATCCTTCTAGTAGTTTTGGGTTTGTTTTGTTCTTGCTTTTCTAATTCCTTGAGATACATTATTAAGGTGTTTCTTTAAAAGTTTTCTACTTTTTTGATGCAGGAATTTAGTGTTATAAACTTTCCTCTTATCTGCTTTTCCTATACCCCATATGTTTTACTATGTTGTATTTATATTTTTATTTGTTTCAAAAAGTTTAAATGGCACATTGGCTATTCAGGAGCATGTTGTTTAATTTCCATGTATTTGTAGTTTCTAAAGGTCTTCTTGTTATTGATTTTTAGTTTTATTCCATTAAGTCCAGAAAAAATACGTAACATGATTTATATTTTTGTAAACTTGTTGTGACTTTTGGCCTAACATATAGTCTATCCTGGAGAATGTTTTATGCTGATGAGAAGAGTGTGTATTCTGCCCAAAGTGAATGAAATATTCTATAAATGTCTATTAGGTCCATTTGTTTTATAGAGGAGTTCAAATCTAGGGTTTCTTTGTTGATTTTCTGTCTAGATGGTCTTCCTAATACTGAAAAGTGCAATGTTGAAGTCCCTTAGTATTATTATATTAGGGCTTATCTCCCCATTTAGATCTATCAATATTTGCTTCATGTGTCTGGGTGCTTCATTGTTGGGGGCATATATATTTATTATAGTGTCTTGATGAATTCATCCTTTTATCATTATATAATGATCTTCTTTGTCTCTTTTTTACAGTTTCTGACTTAAACTCTATTTTATCTCATATAAATATAGCTACTTCTCTTTGGTTTTGGTATACATTTGCATAGAATATCTTTTCCCATCCCTTTACTTTAAGCCTATGTGTGACATTCCAGGTGTATGTTTTTGCAGGCAGTATTTATTTAGTTTTTTTTTTCTGGTTGTTTTGAATATTCTTTGTTCCTTTATTCCTTTTTTATTGTTTATTTTTGTGGTTTGGTGTGTTTCTGTATTGATAAAGTTTGATTCTTTTCTTTCTCTCATTTGTGTATCTGCTATAGCAGTGAGTTTTATACCTTCACTTGTTTTCCTTATGGTAATTATCATCCTTTTTTCCCCAGATACAGGATTTCTTCTAGCTAGCTCAAAGGCCTTCTGAAACAAAAGACCAGAGATTCTCTTATACAAGTGTAAGAAAGTGGAATTTATTTTAAGACTACGTATTATAAGAACTAGAAATATATTTGAGTTCTAACGCATCTTTAAAGTCCAGTTAGTCTTTTATAGCCAAGTTGGCAGGGCTAATTTTTTCACAAAGATAAAAGGGAGAGGTATTGTGGATAAGCTGTAGAATGCTTCAAGACTTATCCATTACAGATTTATATGGAAGCTAGCCAGGTATCTTTAGCACTTTTACAAAATTGTGTCAAACAGTTTCTTCTTTATTTTAGTGTTGTTTAAAACTTGTTTCAGCCTCTATTTTTTGCATTATTGAAACATTCTATAATCATTGCACTTCACAACAGACTGTCTTTTAAAGTCCTTTAATATGTTTTATAACTAAATGAAATATAGAATTAACTGGAAATGAGGGAGATAGTTTAGGATTAAGAAGAAGTACCATTACTAAAATTTGTAATTTTATTTAGTGTAATTATTTACAGAAAATGGACTATTATCTTGGGATTTGGTGTTAACTATTCAAATTATGACATGCACAGAGACTTAAAATATTGCAAATTAAGCAAGTTATCTAATTTAGTAGAGTTAATCAGCTATTGCACAAATTCCTGTCATTTTTATAAAAATCATAGCTGGGTATAATAATTGAAGATAGAAATTATTTTCATGGTATCCATCCACATTCATCCTGTAACGATGCTGTGGGTTGTAAAAATCCTGACAAAAGGGCTGTATTTTGTGTACTTTAAAGTGACTTTTTGTAGCAAAGTGTTTACTTGTATAATTTAAAAGCAAGTTCAGGTTTAAAAACAAGTACGTTTAGATATGTATATGTGAAAATCAGTTTTTCACTTTAGGATTTTATAACTAGGTTCAATGACTGTATATTCTTTCAATGCTCAATGGCTTCTATTTTGTATGTATATTTACCTTTATATGCCTAACAAATCTCACATACCTAACAAATCTTACATATACTATATATTCTTTCAATGCTCAGTGGCTTCTATTTTGTATATATATTTACCTTTACATACCTAACAAATCTTACATACTTAACAAATTTTAAAAATCAAGGCTTTTACAGTGTGTTAGGTTTTAATATTCTGTATAGTCATATGAATTGCTTTCAACTAGTTTTAGCAACAAAAATAGTATTTTACATTTTCATTCGGTGCCTTCACATCTTCCCAATAATACACTTTTTTTTTTCTTCTCTACCTCTTCTGAAACGAGTCTACTTTTTGCCTACTAAACAATAAAGAACATGTTTTAAGTATTGTTTTCCTTTACCTCAGCTTTGGCCCAGACTGTTTTCTCAACTCTGATTATTATTCGTGAATTTGCTCATGGGTTTGTCCTTACTTTTAAATTTTCCTCAGCTTTCTTTTGCTCTTCTCTTTAATATGTGCCATTAACACATATATGTAAATACTTATATTCTTCAGAAACAATAAAATTGTATTTTCTGCCTACTTTGTTAATAGTCTCTGAATATTCCCTGCCAGACACTGTGGCCACGGTAGGTCTTTAAGAACCCGTGGGAATGAATCACACCTGGCAAGCAGGTGTTCGCTGAGCTGATTTTCCACTGTGCTCATTGTTTATACCCTTGCTTTATGACCTGGTTACTGACCTCAGATATTGGCTACTTTCTAAGACTCTGCTTAACTTTGGTGCCAGTGTGTCCCTTGATCTGACTTTCGTCTTTAATTGTTGCTATCTTGAATGGGGTTTTGCGGATAACCCCTTTCTTGTTTTGAACTCTAGTAAATTAAACTCCCAATGGCTAAATGATGACATATCCCTAACCTGGAGCTTTTACCAAGCAGCAGTTCTTTTTGGATCTCTCCTATCGAGGACTCTCTTTTTTCCCCAGGGCAGTCATTATGATTAATTCACAGGATCACAGGAGAGGAACTTTTAAGTCCATTTAGGTACATTCTGGAATGTAAGACTATCCTGTGGAATAGTGGGATAAAACGTGTAAAATGCCCTCACAGGCATGCTTTATCTGTGAGAACCTGAGAGCAGAAAAGCTTTGGTAATTAATTTGATAGGTTCTGGATGGGTATTGGACTTCGGTGGTGATGAGTGAAGAGATTGTTATTTGAATGTGAAGAGAGCTGTATGTGCTTTTCCATCTCTGAGCAGGGAGTGTAAAATCTATTTAGAGATGCAGCCATCAGCCAAAAGTGAGAAGTCTCTTTTTTTTTTTTTTTTTTTTTGAGACGGAGTCTCGCTCTGTCGCCCAGGCTGGACTGCGGACTGCAGTGGCGCAATCTCGGCTCACTGCAAGCTCCGCTTCCCGGGTTCAACGCCATTCTCCTGCCTCAGCCTCCCCAGTAGCTGGGACTACAGGCGCCCGCCACCGCGCCCGGCTAATTTTTTGTATTTTTAGTAGAGACGGGGTTTCACCTTGTTAGCCAGGATGGTCTCGATCTCCTGACCTCATGATCCACCCGCCTCGGCCTCCCAAAGTGCTGGGATTACAGGCGTGAGCCACCGCGCCCGGCCGAGAAGTCTCTTTAACAAGCAAAAAAGGCACTGCTAATAATTTTGATTCCTGCACCAAGTGCTCTATAAAAGTGGTGCTAAAAATGCCACTCTTAAAAAATTGTATTTCATTATATTTTAAAGCATGGTACAACTTTCTTCTAGTGATAAAGCCAGAGAACATAGTGTTTGAGAATATTTAATATGGGGATTTATATTTGAGTTAACTAAGCTAAAAAAAATCCCCACAGAATTGAAATTATTGATAACTGATGTGATTACCATGGAGGCTTATTGCGATTCAGCCTGAGAATACTACTTCCTAAGATGCAAAGAAATGTAGATTATTGACATTAGATAAATCCGTATGGAAGATATGTGGATTCTACTGGCCCTTAAATATTTGCTTTTTAAAAAGTTACTCTTCTGTCCATTCTTGGGGTGGAGATGGCTGCGGCTGTGGCGGGGCTGCTGCGAGGGGGTCTCCTGCCCCAGGCAGGCCGGCTGCCAGCCCTCCAGACTGTCCGCTATGGCTCCAAGGCTGTTACCCACCACCGTCGTGTGATGCACTTTCAGCGACAGAAGCTGATGGCTGTGACTGAATATATCCCCCCGACACCAGCCGTCAACCCAACATGCCTGCCATCTCCTCCTGGCCCCCCACAGGAGGCATCACTGGAAGCCCTAGAACTTACCCAGAGGGAGCAAGGTTGCCAGGAGCAGTGACGGCTGATGTACCCTTGGTTATTGCTTTCCAATTTCAGGAGACGGGCCTCATCAGGCTTCTCTGCCGGGAGAGAGCAGCAGTTTTCCAGGACAACCGAATGATAGCTATCTGCCAGAGCGTGGCTCTGAGCGTAGCAGACAAGCTTCTTATGCGACACCAGCTGCGGAAACACAAGATCCTGATGAAGGTCTTCCACAACCAGGTCCTGAAGCCCTTCCTGGAGGACTCCAAGTACCAAAATCTCCTGCCCCTTTTTGTGGGGCACAACATGCTGCTGGTCAGTGAAGAGCCCAAGGTCAAGGAGATGGTAAGGATCTTAAGGACTGTGCCATTCCTGCTGCTGCTAGGTGGCTGCATCAATGACGTAGATGCCATCCTCAGCAGGCAGGGCTTTATCAACTACTCCAGCCTTCCCAGCCTGCCCCTGGCATAGGGGGAGCTTGTGGGAGGCCTCACCCTACTCATGGCCCAGACCCACTCCCTGCTCCAGCACCAGCCCCTGAAGTTGACCACCCTATTGGACCAGTACATCAGACAGCAAAGCGAGAAGGATTCTGTCGTGTCGGCCAATGGGAAGCCAGATCCTCCTGACCCTGTTCCGGACTCGTACCCAGCCTGTTTAGCCAGCCCTGCCCATAAATACACTCTGTCCTATTGGCTGTGCTGTCCTCCATGGGAGATGTGGAAGAACTTGGGGTGGGGGAGTGCATTTGTCACTGGGCTTTCACTAACAATGATATTGTCAGGTATAGGGCCACTCGGAGATGCAGAGGATTCCATTTCAAATGGAGGCTGTCAGTCACTGGCTTCGTCCTTAGTTTTCCTAACTTGGGACCCAATAGAAGCAAAGTCCAAGGCAGAGAGGCTGAAAAGATAAGGCTACTACTCCCTGCCGCCTTGGTCACTGCCCCTTGCTGCACGGGCTCCTGAGCCCACCCCCTTGGGGCACAACCTGCCACTGCCACAGTAGCTCAACCAAGCAGTCGTGCTGAGGATAGCACCTGGTGAGAGCCTGCTGTGTGTCAGGCTTTGTGCTGAGCACTGCATATGCATTAGTTCCTTTATTCCTGACCACGTTGTACCCATGTCACAGAGAAGGAGCCGAGAAATTAAGTAGCTTGCACAAGGTTATGCAGTTAGTAAGTGGCAGAACAGGGACTTGAACCAGGCCCACTCTGCTCTGAAGACGGCATCCTGAATTTCTACACTATAGTTTCCTCATCAGGTTACCCAGAAGTGGGTCCCATCCACCATCCAGGTGTGCTTGGATGTTAGTTCTCCACCCTTGTGCCATGCTATGGAAAGTTTGGGAGCACTGCTTTACGATGAAAGGAAATACATTCTACTTCCTCTATTTTGTGGTTTACATGGTTGTCCTTCCTGTAGGCTTATTCTCAGGGGCTTCTCTGTCCTCTGACTTTCCTCACTCTCACTTCCCTTCCTAGGAAAATCCTCTTCCCCTGTATCTGTTCCCACAAATGGCATCCCGCACATGCTTGCTCTATTAAAGGCAGCTGACAGCTGTGCCCACTAGCTAACATTTCTCTGGTGGTTCTGAACAAAAGGGCTGGGGGGAAACTAGGATTCTCTGTTAATGGAGGATTCTGAGGGCTCTAGAGTAGGAGGCCTCAAGCAAGTCTTCATGAACCAGAAATTCCTAATAAAGGAGATAGGGTGCTTAACTTGAAAAACAAAGACAAACAAACAAACAAACAAACAGCAACAACAACAACAAAAAAGTTACTTATTTGAAACTTGAAACAAGTTATGTCTGAAAGAGCAAATAAGGTATAAACTCTTAATTTGGGGTTATATTTCAGTGTAAGATGTGTACATTAAAGTCTCTTGATGTGTAGATTAATTTTTTATTAATTAACCACTGTCCACAAATCATAGCAAACAGCTGCTTGCTACAGAAATAGAACTACTTTAAATTCTGGAAATGTGGCCACCTTGAGAAGATTGTTCAATGGAAGATATTAAATTGCAGGTTTACTTACCACACCTGGGAATGTTTCTTCATTGGAAAATATCTAACTTAAAGTAAATTAAATTAATTCATACTCTGTTTAGTTCCAAAAAGTGTAAAGTCAGCATTGATGTAACTTTTCTGTAATTTAGGATAATTCAAGGTTGCCTAAGGAGACAAAGTGCATCCATTGTGGAACCATCTCTGTGCCATCTGCTGACGTTTACTAGTAATCACCAGAATCATTCACATTTCTATAAGCAATATTCTTCTACACTGGGAAAGAATTCCAGTCTGCAGTTAGACATTTCTTGGCAGTTGTGAAAAACGTAGTAATCAGAGTAGTTGTCAGGCACCTTAATTGAAGGTCTCCTTGTGACTACTTCGCATATGCAAATTATGATCAGTGTTTATCATTTGGGAGGAAAGGTTAAGGCGAATGAGTTAGCATTTAGACTATTGATTAAAAAGAAAGAGAAGATCTTGCCAATGAATCAAAGAAAGGGTTTATCTAATTAACTTGATGTTTTTGCCCTGTACCTCAGACTGTAGCCAGCACACACACTGCCACAAAGACACAGAACAGCATGGAGGAGGTCTTTTTTGTTGGTCCCTTTTGATCACTGGAGAGTCTCCATTTACATATTGAGAGATCTGATAAACTCTGATTGTGTTTGTGCAGGTAGGTTGGGGTGCTTTGTCATAAATACCACAAAAACATTTATTCTAGTGAGATTCTGAAGCGAATGTCATGAAAGTAAACTATCTCTGATGTTTCTCATGCTGATCTGTCAATGGTTGTGAAATTGAGAAAAATGAGATTTGAAAGGAAGCAATGGGAGAAGTTGGAGAAGGCAACTGGGGATGAGGGACAAGGAAAAGATAATATATCAACAAGTCAGAGTGATGGAAGGGCCCTAACAAACATTTTAATGGAAGAGAGTCCAAGAAAAGAAGAAATTAGAGAAACAAAGATAAATGGACCGAAAAGAAATATTTGGTGCCATTAAAAAAATCAGGTTTCAAACTTTGTTTTTTCTTTTGTTGATTTTTGTTAGAAATTTCTGTGCACCAGGCACTGTACTAAATGCTTTGTCTTTTAATTTATTATTACATTTTCTTGTTACAACCATATAAGGAAGCAGTGAAGCTAATAGTGTTTGTTTATGTATTTATTTGTTTAGAGACAGAGTCTTGCTTTGTTGCTCAAGCTGGAGTGCAGTGGTATGCTTATAGCTCTTTGCAGCCTTGACCTCCTGGGCTCAAGCGATCCTCCCACCTAAGCCTCCTGAGTAGTTGGACCTGCTGGTGTGTGCCACCATGCCTGGCAAATTTTTAAACCTATTTATCTTTGTATGTTGCCTAGGCTGGTTTGGAACGCCTGACTTCAAGCAATCCTCTCACCTCGGCCTCCCAAAGTGCTGAGATTACAGACATGAGTCACTGTGTCTGATGGCTAGTAGTGTTAAATGTGTGAACCCTAGAGCTTGAATATCTGGGTTGGAATCCCTGAGGTGCCACTTACTGGCTTTGTGATCTTGGGCATAGTAAACTTTCTGTATCCCAGTTTCTTCATCTGTAAAATGGTGATAATACTAATGGCATATACTTAACAAGGTTATGGTGAGGTTAATAGGCTGGTGAGGATTAATTGGATTAATAGGTGGGTGAGGATTAATATACAGAGCATTTAGAGCAGAGTCCACACATGGAAGCACTCAATGAAGGTTGACCATTATTTTTATTTTTATTAGTATTCCAGTTTAATAGTTGATATTACAAAAGTCAAGGCATGTTCTCAGGGGGGTCTTAACAAGTGTCAAATCCAGGTGAATTTGTCTTAAAGATCCATGCATTTAATTCATGTATTCCGTATTAGTCTGTTCTCATGCTGCTATGAAGAAATACCCGAGACTTGGCAATTTATAAAGAAAAGAGGTTTAATTGACTCATAGTTCCGCATGGCAGGGGAGACCTCAGGAAACTTACAATCATGGTGGAAGGCAGCTTTTCACAGGACAGCAGGAGAGAGAATGAGAGCTAGCAGGGGAAATGCCAGATTCTTATAAAACCATCAGATCTTGTAAGAACTCACTCACTATTATGAGAACAGAAGGAGACTGCCCCCAAGATTCAATTACCTTTCACTGAGTCCCTCCCATGACACGTGGGGATTATGGAAACTATAATTCAAGATGAGATTTGGGTGGGGACCCAGTCAAAGCATATCATTCTGCCCCTGGTCCATCCCATATCTCATGTACTCACATTTCAAAACACAATCATACCTTCCCAACTGTTCTCCAAATTCTTTTTTTTTTTTTAATTTTTTTTTTAATTTTTTTTTTTTTTTAATTATACTCTAAGTTTTAGGGTACATGTGCACATTGTGCAGGTTAGTTACATATGTATACATGTGCCATGCTGGTGCGCTGCACCCACTAACGTGTCATCTAGCATTAGGTATATCTCCCAATGCTATCCCTCCCCCCTCCCCCGACCCCACCACAGTCCCCAGAGTGTGATATTCCCCTTCCTGTGTCCATGTGATCTCATTGTTCAATTCCCACCTATGAGTGAGAATATGCGGTGTTTGGTTTTTTGTTCTTGCGATAGTTTACTGAGAATGATGGTTTCCAATTTCATCCATGTCCCTACAAAGGACATGAACTCATCATTTTTTATGGCTGCATAGTATTCCATGGTGTATATGTGCCACATTTTCTTAATCCAGTCTATCATTGTTGGACATTTGGGTTGGTTCCAAGTCTTTGCTATTGTGAATAGTGCCGCAATAAACATACGTGTGCATGTGTCTTTATAGCAGCATGATTTATAGTCCTTTGGGTATATACCCAGTAATGGGATGGCTGGGTCAAATGGTATTTCTAGTTCTAGATCCCTGAGGAATCGCCACACTGACTTCCACAATGGTTGAACTAGTTTACAGTCCCACCAACAGTGTAAAAGTGTTCCTATTTCTCCACATCCTCTCCAGCACCTGTTGTTTCCTGACTTTTTAATGATTGCCATTCTAACTGGTGTGAGATGATATCTCATAGTGGTTTTGATTTGCATTTCTCTGATGGCCAGTGATGATGAGCATTTCTTCATGTGTTTTTTGGCTGCATAAATGTCTTCTTTTGAGAAGTGTCTGTTCATGTCCTTCGCCCACTTTTTGATGGGGTTGTTTGTTTTTTTCTTGTAAATTTGTTTGAGTTCATTGTAGATTCTGGATATTAGCCCTTTGTCAGATGAGTAGGTTGCGAAAATTTTCTCCCATTTTATAGGTTGCCTGTTCACTCTGATGGTAGTTTCTTTTGCTGTGCAGAAGCTCTTTAGTTTAATTAGATCCCATTTGTCAATTTTGGCTTTTGTTGCCATTGCTTTTGGTGTTTTGGACATGAAGTCCTTGCCCACGCCTATGTCCTGAATGGTAATGCCTAGGTTTTCTTCTAGGGTTTTTATGGTTTTAGGTCTAACGTTTAAATCTTTAATCCATCTTGAATTGATTTTTGTATAAGGTGTAAGGAAGGGATCCAGTTTCAGCTTTCTACATATGGCTAGCCAGTTTTCCCAGCACCATTTATTAATTAGGGAATCCTTTCCCCATTGCTTGTTTTTCTCAGGTTTGTCAAAGATCAGATACTTGTAGATATGCGGCATTATTTCTGAGGGCTCTGTTCTGTTCCATTGATCTATATCTCTGTTTTGGTACCAGTACCATGCTGTTTTGGTTACTGTAGCCTTGTAGTATAGTTTGAAGTCAGGTAGTGTGATGCCTCCAGCTTTGTTCTTTTGGCTTAGGATTGACTTGGCGATGCGGGCTCTTTTTTGGTTCCATGTGAACTTTAAAGTAGTTTTTTTCCAATTCTGTGAAGAAAGTCATTGGTAGCTTGATGGGGATGGCATTGAATCTGTAGATTACCTTGGGCAGTATGGCCATTTTCACGATATTGATTCTTCCTACCCATGAGCATGGAATGTTCTTCCATTTGTTTGTATCCTCTTTTATTTCCTTGAGCAGTGGTTTGTAGTTCTCCTTGAAGAGGTCCTTCACATCCCTTGTAAGTTGGATTCCTAGGTATTTTATTCTCTTTGAGGCAATTGTGAATGGGAGTTCACTCATGATTTGGCTCTCTGTTTGTCTGTTGTTGGTGTATAAGAATGCTTGTGATTTTTGTACATTGATTTTGTATCCTGAGACTTTGCTGAAGTTGCTTATCAGCTTAAGGAGATTTTGAGCTGAGACGATGGGGTTTTCTAGATAAACAATCATGTCATCTGCAAACAGGGACAATTTGACTTCCTCTTTTCCTAATTGAATACCCTTTATTTCCTTCTCCTGCCTGATTGCCCTGGCCAGAACTTCCAACACTATGTTGAATAGGAGCGGTGAGAGAGGGCATCCCTGTCTTGTGCCAGTTTTCAAAGGGAATGCTTCCAGTTTTTGCCCATTCAGTATGATATTGGCTGTGGGTTTGTCATAGATAGCTCTTATTATTTTGAAATACGTCCCATCAATACCTAATTTATTGAGAGTTTTTAGCATGAAGGGTTGTTGAATTTTGTCAAAGGCTTTTTCTGCATCTATTGAGATAATCATGTGGTTTTTGTCTTTGGCTCTGTTTATATGCTGGATTACATTTATTGATTTGCGTATATTGAACCAGCCTTGCATCCGAGGGATGAAGCCCACTTGATCATGGTGTATAAGCTTTTTGATGTGCTGCTGGATTCGGTTTGCCAGTATTTTATTGAGGATTTTTGCATCAATGTTCATCAAGGATATTGGTCTAAAATTCTCTTTTTTGGTTGTGTCTCTGCCCGGCTTTGGTATCAGAATGATGCTGGCCTCATAAAATGAGTTAGGGAGGATTCCCTCTTTTTCTATTGATTGGAATAATTTCAGAAGGAATGGTACCAGTTCCTCCTTGTACCTCTGGTAGAATTTGGCTGTGAATCCATCTGGTCCTGGACTCTTTTTGGTTGGTAAGCTATTGATTATTGCCACAATTTCAGAGCCTGTTATTGGTCTATTCAGAGATTCAACTTCTTCCTGGTTTAGTCTTGGGAGAGTGTATGTGTCGAGGAATGTATCCATTTCTTCTAGATTTTCTAGTTTATTTGCGTAGAGGTGTTTGTAGTATTCTCTGATGGTAGTTTGTATTTCTGTGGGATCGGTGGTGATATCCCCTTTATCATTTTTTATTGTGTCTATTTGATTCTTCTCTCTTTTTTTCTTTATTAGTCTTGCTAGCGGTCTATCAATTTTGTTGATCCTTTCAAAAAACCAGCTCCTGGATTCATTGATTTTTTGAAGGGTTTTTTGTGTCTCTGTTTCCTTCAGTTCTGCTCTGATTTTAGTTATTTCTTGCCTTCTGCCAGCTTTTGAATGTGTTTGCTCTTGCTTTTCTAGTTCTTTTAATTGTGATGTTAGGGTGTCAATTTTGGATCTTTCCTGCTTTCTCTTGTAGGCGTTTAGTGCTATAAATTTCCCTCTACACACTGCTTTGAATGCATCCCAGAGATTCTGGTATGTGGTGTCTTTGTTCTCGTTGGTTTCAAAGAACATCGTTATTTCTGCCTTCATTTCGTTATGTACCCAGTAGTCATTCAGGAGCAGGTTGTTCAGTTTCCATGTATTTGAGCGGCTTTGAGTGAGATTCTTAATCCTGAGTTCTAGTTTGATTGCACTGTGGTCTGAGAGATAGTTTGTTATAATTTCTGTTCTTTTACATTTGCTGAGGAGAGCTTTACTTCCAAGTATGTGGTCAATTTTGGAATAGGTGTGGTGTGGTGCTGAAAAAAATGTATATTCTGTTGATTTGGGGTGGAGAGTTCTGTAGATGTCTATTAGGTCTGCTTGGTGCAGAGCTGAGTTCAATTCCTGGGTATCCTTGTTGACTTTCTGTCTCATTGATCTGTCTAATGTTGACAGTGGGGTGTTAAAGTCTCCCATTATTAATGTGTGGGAGTCTAAGTCTCTTTGTAGGTCACTCAGGACTTGCTTTATGAATCTAGGTGCTCCTGTATTGGGTGCATAAATATTTAGGATAGTTAGCTCCTCTTGTTGAATTGATCCCTTTACCATTATGTAATGGCCTTCTTTGTCTCTTTTGATCTTTGTTGGTTTAAAGTCTGTTTTATCAGAGACTAGGATTGCAACCCCTGCCTTTTTTTGTTTTCCATTGGCTTGTAGATCTTCCTCCATCCTTTTATTTTGAGCCTATGTGTGTCTCTGCACGTGAGATGGGTTTCCTGAATACAGCACACTGATAGGTCTTGACTCTTTATCCAACTTGCCAGTCTGTGTCTTTTACTTGCAGAATTTAGTCCATTTATATTTAAAGTTAATATTGTTATGTGTGAATTTGATCCTGTCATTATGATGTTAGCTGGTGATTTTGCTCATTAGTTGATGCAGTTTCTTCCTAGTCTCCATGGTCTTTACATTTTGGCATGATTTTGCAGCGGCTGGTACCGGTTGTTCCTTTCCATGTTTAGTGCTTCCTTCAGGAGCTCTTTTAGGGCAGGCCTAGTGGTGACAAAATCTCTCAGCATTTGCTTGTCTATAAAGTATTTTATTTCTCCTTCACTTATGAAGCTTAGTTTGGCTGGATATGAAATTCTGGGTTGAAAATTCTTTTCTTTAAGAATGTTGAATATTGGCCCCCACTCTCTTCTGGCTTGTAGGGTTTCTGCCGAGAGATCAGCTGTTAGTCTGATGGGCTTTCCTTTGAGGGTAACCCGACCTTTCTCTCTGGCTGCCCTTAACATTTTTTCCTTCATTTCAACTTTGGTGAATCTGACAATTATGTGTCTTGGAGTTGCTCTTCTCGAGGAGTATCTTTGTGGTGTTCTCTGTATTTCCTGAATCTGAACGTTGGCCTGCCTTGCTAGATTGGGGAAGTTCTCCTGGATAATATCCTGCAGAGTGTTTTCCAACTTGGTTCCATTCTCCACATCACTTTCAGGTACACCAATCAGACGTAGATTTGGTCTTTTCACATAGTCCCATATTTCTTGGAGGCTTTGCTCATTTCTTTTGATTCTTTTTTCTCTAAACTTCCCTTCTCGCTTCATTTCATTCATTTCATCTTCCATTGCTGATACCCTTTCTTCCAGTTGATCGCATCGGCTCCTGAGGCTTCTGCATTCTTCACGTAGTTCTCGAGCCTTGGTTTTCAGCTCCATCAGCTCCTTTAAGCACTTCTCTGTATTGGTTATTCTAGTTATACATTCTTCTAAATTTTTTTCAAAGTTTTCAACTTCTTTGCCTTTGGTTTGAATGTCCTCCCGTAGCTTAGAGTAATTTGATCGTCTGAAGGCTTCTTCTCTCAGCTCGTCAAAATCATTCTCCATCCAGCTTTGTTCCGTTGCTGGTGAGGAACTGCGTTCCTTTGGAGGAGGAGAGGTGCTCTGCGTTTTAGAGTTTCCAGTTTTTCTGTTCTGTTTTTTCCCCATCTTTGTGGTTTTATCTACTTTTGGTCTTTGATGATGGTGATGTACAGATGGGTTTTCGGTGTAGATGTCCTTTCTGGTTGTTAGTTTTCCTTCTAACAGACAGGACCCTCCGCTGCAGGTCTGTTGGAATACCCTGCCGTGTGAGGTGTCAGTGTGCCCCTGCTGGGGGGTGCCTCCCAGTTAGGCTGCTCGGGGGTCAGGGTTCAGGGACCCACTTGAGGAGGCAGTCTGCCCGTTCTCAGATCTCCAGCTGTGTGCTGGGAGAACCACTGCTCTCTTCAAAGCTGTCAGACAGGGACACTTAAGTCTGCAGAGGTTACTGCTGTCTTTTTGTTTGTCTGTGCCCTGCCCCCAGAGGTGGAGCCTACAGAGGCAGGCAGGCCTCCTTGAGTTGTGGTGGGCTCCACCCAGTTCGAGCTTCCCGGCTGCTTTGTTTACCTAAGCAAGCCTGGGCAATGGCGGGCGCCCCTCCCCCAGCCTCGTTGCCGCCTTGCAGTTTGATCTCAGACTGCTGTGCTAGCAATCAGCGAGATTCCGTGGGCGTAGGACCCTCTGAGCCGGGTGTGGGATATAGTCTCGTGGTGCGCCGTTTCTTAAGCCAGTCTGAAAAGCGCAATATTCGGGTGGGAGTGACCCGATTTTCCAGGTGCGTCCGTCACCCCTTTGTTTGACTAGGAAAGGGAACTCCCTGACCCCTTGCGCTTCCCAGGTGAGGCAATGCCTCGCCCTGCTTCGGCTCGCGCACGGTGCACGCACACACTGGCCTGCGCCCACTGTCTGGCACTCCCTAGTGAGATGAACCCGGTACCTCAGATGGAAATGCAGAAATCACCTGTCTTCTGCGTTGCTCATGCTGGGAGCTGTATACCGGAGCTGTTCCTATTCGGCCATCTTGGCTCCTCCTCTCCAAATTCTTAACACATTCCAGCACTAACTCAAAAGTTCACGTCCAAAGTCTCATCTGAGACAAACAAGTTCTTTCCACTTATGAGCTAGTAGAATCAAACACAGGTTAGTTCCTTCCAAGAGACAATATGGGTACAGGCATTGGGTAAATACACCTGTTCCAAGTGGGAGAAATTGGCCAAAACAAAACGGCTACAGGCCCCAGGCAAGTCTAAAATCCAATAGGGCAGTCATTTAACCTTAAAGTTCCAAAATGATCTTTGACTCCATGTCTCACATTCAGGGCACGCTGATGCAAGAGGTGGGCTCTCATGGTCTTGGGCAGCTCTGCCTCTGTGGTTTTGCAGGGTACAGCCCCCCTCACTGCTTTCATAGTTGACATTGACTGTCTGTGGCTTTTCCAGGTGCATGGTGCAAGCTGTTGGTGGATCTACCATTCTGGGGTCTGGAGGACAGTGGCCTTCTTTTGACAACTCCACTAGGCAGTGCCCCACTGGGGACTCTGTGTGGGGACCCTGACCCCACATTTCCCTTCTGCACTGCCCTAGCAGAGGTTCTCCGTGAGGGCTCTGCCCCTGCAGCAGACTGCTGACTAGATATCTAGGCATTTCCATACATCCTCTGAATCTAGGTGGAGGTTCCCAAACCTCAGTTCTTGTCTACTGTGCACCTGCAGGACCCACACAGTGTGGAAACTGCTAAGGCTTTGGGCTGGCATCCTCTGAAGCAATGGCCTGAGCTATACCTTGGCTCCTTTTCGCCATGGCTGTAGCAGCTAGGATGCAGGGCACCAAGTCCAGAGGCTGCACACAGCAGGGAGGCCCTGGACCCTAGGCCTGGCCCAGGAAACCATTTTTCCCTCCTAGACCTCTGGGCCTGTGATGGGAGGGGCTGCTGCCAAGTTCTCTGAGATGCCCTGGAGACATTTTCCCCATTATCTTGGTGATTAGCATTTGACTCCTCATTACTTAAGCAAATTTCTACAGCCAGCTTGAATTTCTCCCCAGAAAATGGGTTTTTCTTTTCTTCTGCATTGTCAGGCTGCAAATTTTCCAAACTTCTATACTCTATCTTCACTTGAATGCTTTGCTTAGAAATTTCTTCTGCCAGGTACCCTAAATCATCTCTCTCAAGTTCAAAGTTCCACAGATCTTTAGGGCAGGGGCAAAAAGCCATCAGTCTTTTTGCTGAAGCAGAGCAAGAATGACCTTTACTCCAGTTCCCAACACATTTCCCACCTCCATCTGAGGCCACCTTAGCCTGGACTTCATTGTCTGTATTACTATCAGCATTTTGGTCAAGGCCATTCAACAAGTCTCTGGGAAGTTCCAAACATCCCCACATCTTTCTTCTTCTGAGCCCTCCAAACTGTTGCAATCTCTGCGTGTTACCCAATTGCAAAGTCACTTTCACATTTTCGGGTATCTTTACATAATTGTCCTATTCTCTGCAGTAGCAACGTACTGTGTTAGTCCGTTGTCATGCTGCTATGAAGAAATACCCAAGACTGTGTGATTTATAAACAAAAGAGATTTAATTGACTCACAGTTCTGCATGGCTGGGGAGGCTTCAGGAAAATTACAATCATGGTGGAAGGCACCTCTTCACTGGGTGGCATGAGAGAGAATGACACAGTGGGGGAAATGCCAGATGCTTATAAAACCATCAGAACTTGTGAGAACTCATTCAGCATGGGGAAACCGTCCCCATGATTCAATTACCTCCCACTGACACGTGGGGATTATGGGAACTACAGTTCAAGATGAGATTTGGAGGGTTGGGGGCACAGCCAAACCATATCATACTCTAAGGAGATAGAAGACCTGGTTTGTAATTCTAATGCTAATATTAGCAGTCTCTTTTGTAAGTTACTTAAATGCTCTGATTTGGCTTGAATTCCTTCATAAAGCAGATCCTATGTCAATGGCTTGAGAAATAGTTCCCATGTATATAGTGTATATATATATATGTACACTGTTAACTATCATAACCTAATCCAATAAAGCAGAATAAGCGTGATGAATTGGGAAGAGTGAAATGGGAAGGAAGACAGCCCATCTAAGGATGCATTTTTAAGAAAACGTCTGGGGGGAGATGGAGGTCAAAGCTTCTCTATACAATGTGCTTCAGAATCATCCATCCATGGGGATGTGTGCACCTCTCATGGGGAAGATGGAAATATTTATCTACCAGTTACTATCCTCTTTGATCGAAGGTTGTTCCAGGGTTGTTAATGCTCTCACACTTCTAGGTTTGCTCATGACTCAGCATAGACCAAACCTCACTGGACAGAGAAGCCTGGGGCAGAAAACAAATGAGAGGCAGTGCAGCTTGAGGGTCATTTTATCAAGATGTATCTGAGGCACCACTGATTGCCACATAAATGGCTTGAGTAAAGTGACAGGCCAAGGGGATGTAAGATGGGTTATAAAATGTATTTGGCACACTCCTTTACATTAGCATACACATAGTTTGATTATGTAAGTTATTTGCTCTACATGTGTTGATGTACATTTTCTGTTATTAGAACTATGTCAATGAGGAGATTAAATGAGATGTGTGTGAGAGTGCCCTGAAATATAAATCATATATAGAACTGTTCATTTTATATTAAGTTCTCCAAAGTTGAAAGTTAAACAGTGGTTGAACTTTTTTTTTTTAACTCATCAGTCTGTAGTTACTTGTGAAATCAGTGCCTCCTCTTAGTTCACTATATAACTGTACATGGATTTCAGCACAAGAAAATTGCTTTGAAGACCCAACAGGGCATACAGGACTAAATTCCAAATTGACATTGATGTGATCATTGAATTGTAAAAGCTCAAATAATTAATCTGTTTAATGCCTACTCATTTGGCTACTTACTTTCTTGGATGCTCTACCCCTAATATTCTGAGGTAAAAATTAAATAGAACAGAATAAAAGTTTATCCTAACTAGGTTAAAATGAGAGGCAGTGTGGCACTTCCTATTCTTTAGTTTAAATCAATCTGTGTTTTCCAAACTAAAATACAACTTTGAAATGTTTAATCTAATGCGTTGTCTTCCTGCTTTATGCTTGAATTCTCACTTCTTCACTCAGCCACTATGGGATGTTGGTCATATTGTTGAACCTTTCTGGGCTTCAAGTTCCTCATTGCAAAATTGGAATATTAATATTTAATCCAATGACTTGTTATGAGGATAACTATAATGTCTTTGGAAGAGTTCTCGAAACTTAAAGACATTCAATAAGGGTTAGCTGCTATTATTACAATTATTATCACCATTTGTTTGACAAAGATCTGCAGCTTTATTTTCTGAGGGTTTAAATGTAGTGGTTATTTCTATTAATTCAATTAAATAATGAGCTTCTCTAATCTAACATTTTATATAAAACATAAAGGCTCTGAGAGTTGTCTTAATGTCCTGACTGAGAGATATTAAGTATAAAATCTTTTGACCCTTTGATAATACTTCTGACATCGTGAAAGCACTTAGCCTTTCTAAAGTTGGTTTTCTAAACAGAAAAATGATATCCCTGCCTGTATTAGTTTGTTTCAGCACTGTTATAAAGAACTACCTGAGACTGGCTAATTTATAAAGAAAAGAGGCTTGAGTCACAGTTACACATGGCTGGAGAGACCTCAGGAAACTTTCAGTCATTGTGAAAGGCAAAGGGGAAGCAAGGCATGTCATCTTACATGGTAGCAGGAGAGAGAAAAAGAGAGAGCAAGTGAGGGGGAAATTGCCACACTTTAAAACTATCAGAGCTTGTGAGAACTCGCTCACTATCATGAGAACAGCATAGGGGAAATCCACCCCTATGATCCAATCATCTCCCACCCGGTCCCTCCCCTGACACGTGGGGATTACAGTTCTACTTGAGATTTGGGTGGGGACACAAAGCCAAACCTTATCGCTGCCCGTAGCTGATTTAGAAATGACTTAAAAAGTCAAATACCTTGAAGAGGAATAATGATTTTGATAATGCTGTGTATTTATAAAAGTAGTTTTCCCCCCAAAGAGTTTGATGTGCCCTTATTTTTATTCCATTTAAGCCACATGTTCTCTTTGAAGGAGATTAGGGCACACACAGCATCTATGTAACAGATCTCTGTCTCATAGCCTTATATAAAAGATCGTAAGTGCAGCCCAATGTAATGAAGAGCTTGATTCATTTTTTTGAAGATTGACTGCTGATAGCTTAAGCCCCACCCCTCCCTCTTTCCCTTCTGCCCCAGTTTTGTGCACATTGATAAGAAAGCCTGGATACTTCCTCCTTTGGCCCCTGTGGGAAGTTCAAATCACATAAGCCCCTGCCTGGGCACAGGAACCCTCACGCCAGCCTCAGCCCCTAACCACCATAAAAACCTCATGCCAGTCTCCTTTCCCTGTTCTTGCAAGCCATTTTCAGTTCAGCTTGGGAAGCCAGCCCTGCTTCCCAGAAAGCCTCAGGTAAGTAATAAAGCTTCTCATAGCCTCATGGTATGTGTCATCAAACTTGGCATTCCAACTAAATATATTCTTCCACTCAACAGGCTGTCTCTTTACTCGGTTGATGATTTTCTTTGCTCTGCAGAAGATTTCAAATTTGTAGTCCCTTTTCTCTATTTTTGTTTTTGTTGCCTGTGCTTTTAAGTCTTAGTCATAAATTCTTTGCCTAGACTGAAGTTCAAGAGGGTGTTCTCTAGGGTTTTCTCCAGCATATTTATATTTTTGTGTCCTATGTTTAAGTATTTAATCCACCCTGAGTTGATTTTTGTATATGTTGAAAGATAGAGGTACAGTTTAATTCTTCTGCACGTGGTTATATAACATATTTTCCCAGTACCATTTATTGAAAATGGTGGCCCTTTACAAGGGGTGTTCCCAATATAAATTTTTATCAGCTTTTTCAAAGATCAGTTGGCTGTAAATATGTGGCTTTATTTATAAGTTCTCTATTCTGTTCCATTGGTCTATGTATCTGTTTTTATAGCAGTACTATGCTGTTTTGGTTTCTGTAGCCTTATTATATATTTTGAAGTCAGGTAATTTGATGTTTCCAGCTTTATTCCTTTTGCTCGGAATTGCTTTGGCTGTTTGCCAGGTTGGTTATTTGCCCATTTTTTTTCTATTTCCTTTAAGAATGATGTTGGCATTTTGATAGCAATTGCAATGAATCTCTAAGTTGTTTTGGGGAATATGGTCAATTTAATGATATTAATTCTTGTGATCCACGAGCATGAGAATTTTTCCATTTGTTTTTGTCATCTCCAGTTTCTTTCACCAGTGTTTTATAATTTTCGTTGTAGAGATCTTTCATCTATTTAGTTAAATTTACTCTTAGGTATTTTACTTTTTTGGTAGCTATTATAAATGGGATTGCTTTCTTGATTTCTTTCTTGACTGGATCATTATTGGTGTGTATAAATGCTACTGATTTTTGTATGTTGAATTTGTATCTTTCAACTTTATTGAATTCATTTATCAAATTTAAGAGGTTTTTTGGTGGAGTCTTTAGGTTTTTCTAGATGTAAAATCATATTATCAGCAAAGAGGGACAATTTGAATTCCTCTTTTCCAATTAGGATGTCTTTTGTTTCTTGCTATTACCTGATTGCTCTGGCTAAAGTTTTAGTAATGTGTTGAATTAAGAGTGGTGAAAACGTGCATCCTTGTCTGGTTTCGGTTCTTACAAAAAGGCTTTCAACTTTTCTCCATTCAGTATGATGCTAAATGTGGGTTTGTTGTGTATGGTCTTTATTACCTTGAGGTATGTTCTTTCTATGCCCAGTTTGTTGAGAGCTTTTAGTATGAAGGGATGCTGAATTTTATCCAATTCTTTATTTTCATCTATTGAGATGATCATATGGTTTTTGTCTTTTCTTGTGTTGATGTAGTGCATCACATTTTTAAATTTGGAAATGTTAAACTGTCCTTGCATCTCTGGAAAGAATCCCACTTGATTGTGAGGTGTTGTATTTTTGATATACTGTTGGATTTAGTTTCCTAATATTTTGTTAAGCACTTTTGATTCTATATTCATCAGGGATATTGGCCTGTGGTTTTCTTTTTTTGTTGTGTCCTTGCCTGGTTTGGGGATAAGGTAGATGCTGGCCTCATGGAAAAAGTTAGGGAAAATTTCCTCCTCTTCAATTTTTTGGAAAAGTTTTAGGAGGACTAGAATTAGTTCTTCGTACTTTTGGTAGAATTGGCCGTGAATTCTTGTGGTCCTGGGCTTTTCTTTGTTGGGAGATTTTATATTACCTATTCAATCTCACATCTGATTATTGATCTTTTCCGGCTTCCTATTTCTTCCTGATTCAATTTTGGTAGGTTGTATGTTTTCAGGAATTTATCCATCTCTTCTAGGTTTTTCAGTTTGTCAATGTACAGTTGTTCATAGTAGTCTCTGATGATCTTTTGTATTCCTGTATCAGTTGCTGTGTCTCTTTTTTCATTTCTGATTTTGTTTATTTGGGTCTATTCTTGAATAGTCTAGCTAGTGGTTTATACATTTTGTTTACCTTTTAAAGGACAAATTTTTAATTAATTTCTGCTCTGATCTTTATTATTTATTTCTGCTAATTTTGGCTTGAGTTGTTCTTCCCTTTCTAGTTTCTTTAAGTGCTTTGTTAGATTATTAATTTGTACTCTCTACTTTTTTTTTGATGTAGGTATTCATTGTTATAAACTTCCCTTTTAGCATGGCTTTTGTTATCCCACGGGTTTTGGTATGTTGTTTCCATTTTCATTTGTTTCATGAAATGTTTTGATTTGCTCCTTAATCTTTTTTTTGTTGACCCAATGGTCACTTTAGAGCATGTTGTTTAATTTCTGTGTATTTGTAGTTTTCGAGGCATTGATTTCTTATTGTATTCCCTTGTGGCCTCAGAAGATACTGGATATAATTAAAATTTAAAAAATTTATTGAGACTTATTTTGTGGCATACTGGATAATCTATCTGGAGAATGTTCCATGTGCTGATGAAAAGAATGTTATTTTGAAGTTGTTGGATAGAATGTTCTGCAAATATCTTTTAAGTCCATTTCATACATTACGTAGTTTAATTCCAATGCTTCTTTGTTTATTTTCTGTCTAGATAATCGGTCTAATGTTGAGAGTGTGGTGTTGAAATCCTACTATTATTGTATTGCTGTCTATCTCTCTATTTAGATCTACTAATATGTGCTTTACGAATCTGGGTGCTTCAGTGTTGGTGACATACATATTTAGAATTGTTATATCACATCGCTGTATTGATCCCTTTATTGTTATATAATGAGCTTCTTTGTCTTTTTTTCTACTGTTCTTGACTTAAAGTCGTTTTATGTGATATAAATATATCTACTCTTGCTTGCTTTTGGTTTCCATTTGTAGGGAGTATCTTTTTCCATTCCTTACTTTCAGTCTATATGTGTCTTTACTAGTAAGGTGAATTTCTTGTAAGCAGTATATATTTGAATTATGTTTTTTTCAATCAATGTAACCATTCTATATCTTGTCAGTGGATAATTTAATTCAATTATGTTGAAGATTATTGATATGTGAGTCTTTGTTCTTGTCATATTGTTAATTGTTTTTTGGTTGTTTTATATAGTCTTTGTTCCTTTCTTTTTCTCTTATTGATTGTTGTGGTTTAGACGATTTCTGTAATGGCACCATTTGAGTTCTTTCTATTCCTCCTTTGTGACTGCTTTACCAATGAGTTTTATATTTTTATGTGGTTTCATGATGGGAAATGTCATCCTTTACTTTCCAGATATAGGACTTCCTTGAATACTTCCTTGAATATTTCTTTTAGGGTTGGTCTAGTGAGAATGAATTCCATCGGCATTTGTTTGTCTGGAAAAGACTCTTTTTTTCCTCTTTCATTTATGAAGGATAATTTTACTGAATACAATATTCTTGTCTGCCAGTTTATTTCTTTCACTACTTTGAATATATTATACCGTTCTCTTCCGGCTTACAAGGTTTTTGCTAAGAAATTCACCGTTAGTTTGATGGGATTTCCTTTATAGGTACTAGAGGCTTTTCTCTTGCTGTTTTAAGAATGCATTCTTTCTCTTTCATTTTAGACAATCTGACTATAATGTGTCACTCACGTAAAAGACCCTTTGTGTTGTCTCTTCTTGTGAACCACTGAGCCTCCTGTATTTTAATGTCTAATACATTATTAGACTTGGAACTTTAAATATATTATCATATTAAATAGGTGTTCTAATATTTCCTTTGTTTCTTTGCCCTCAGAGATACTGAGAATTCATATATTTGATCACTTTATGTTGTCCCAAATGTCAAGAAGGCGCTGCTCATTCTTTTTTCTTTATTTTTGTCTGATCATGGTTATTTGAAAAGATCTGTTTTCAAAATCTGAGATTCTTTCTCCTGACTCATCTAGTCTATTGTTGAGACTTTTAAATATATTTTGTATGTCCTTCAATGAATTCTTCAGTTCCAACATTTCTATTTGGTTCTTTTTTTAAAATTTATTTGTGTTATTATTATAACAAAAGTTATTGGGGTACAAGTGGTATTTGGTTACATGAGTAAGTAATTTAGCGGTGATTTGTGAGATTTGGTGCCCCTATCACCCTAGCAGTATACACTGCCCTGTATTTGTAGTCTTTTATCCCTCACCCCCTCCCACTATTCTCCTCAAGTCCCCAAAGTCCATTATATCATTCTTATGCCTTTGTGTCCTCTTAGCTTAGCTCCTATGTATCAGTGAGAATGTAAGATGTATGGTTTTCCATTCCTGAGTTACTTTACTCAGAATAATGGTCTCCAATCTCATCCAGGTCACTGCAAATGCTGTTAATTCATTCCTTTTTATGACTGAGTAGTATTCCATCATATATATACATGAGATATATATGTGATATATATGTGAGAGATATATATTATCTATCTATCTATCTATCTATCTATCTATCTATCTATCTATCTATCTATCACAGTTTCTTTATCCACTCATTGACTGATTGGCATTTGGGTTGGTTCCACGATTTTGCAATTGTGAATTGTGCTGCTATAAACATGTGTGTGTATATATCTTTTTCATGTAATAACTTCTTTTTCCCTAGGTAGATATCTAGTTGTGGGATTGCTGGATTCAATGGTAGTTCTACTTTTTTTCTTTAAGGAATCTCCACACTGTTTTCTATAGTGGTTGTTCTAGTTTACATTCCCACAAGCAGTGTAGAAGTGTCCCCTGATCACTGCATCCATGCCAACATCTACTGTTTTTTGATTTTTTTGATTGTGGTCATTCTTGCAGGAATAAGGTGGTATTGCATTGTGGTTTTGATTTGATTTTCCCTGATCATTAGTGACGTTGAGCATTTTTTCTTATGTTGGTTGGCCATTTGTATATATTCTTTTGAGAATTGTTTATTCATATCCTTAGCCCGCTTTTTGATGGGATTGTTTTTTTCTTACTGATTTGTTTGAGTTTGTTGTGGATTCGGGATATTAGTCGTTTGTCAGATGTATAGACTGTGAAGATTTTCTCCCACTCTGTGGATTGTCTGTTTACTCTGCTGACTGTTCTTTTTGCCATGCAAATGCTCTTTAGTTTAATTAGGTCCAGCAGTTTATCTTTGTTTTTATTGCATTTGCTTTGCCGTTCTTGGTCATAAAATCCTTGCCTAAGCCAATGTCTAGAAGTGTTTTCCAATGTGATCTTCTAGAATTTTTGTAGTTTCAGGTCTTAGGTTTAAGTCCTTAATCCATTTTGAGTTAATTTTTGCATAAGGTGAGAGATGAGGATCCAGTTTCATTCTCCTACATGTGGCTAGCCAATTATCCCAACACCATTTGTTGAATAGGGTGTCCTTTCCTCACTTCATGTTTTTGCTTGCTTTGTTGAAGATCAGTTGGCTGTAAGTATTTGGGTTTATTTCTGGGTTCTCTATTCTATTCCATTGATCTATGTGCCTATTTTTATACCAGTACCTTGCTGTTTTGGTGACCATGGCCTTCTAGTATAGTTTGAAATCAGGTAGTGTAATGTGTCTAGATTTGTTCTTTTTGCTTAGTCTTGCTTTGGCTATGCAGGCTCTTCTTTGTTTCCATATGAATTTTAGAATTTTTTTTCCTAATTCTGTGAAGAATGATGGTGGTACTTTGATGGGGATTGCATGGAATTTGTAGATTGTTTTTGGCAGTATGGGCATTTTCACAATATTGATTCTACCCATCCATGAGCATGGGATGTGTTTCCATTTGTTCGTGTCATCTGTGATTTGTTTCAGCAGTGTTTTTTAGTTTTCCTTGCAGAGTTTATTTGCCTCCTTGGTTAGGTGTATTCCTAAGTATTTTATTTTTTTGCAGCTATTGTAAAAGGGGTTGAGTTCTTGATTTGATTCTTCACTTGGTCATTGTTGGTGTATAGAAGAGCTACTGACTTGTGTACATTAATCTTGTATGCAGAAACTTTGCTGAATTTTTAAAATCAGTTCTAGCAGCTTTCTGGAGAAGTCTTTAGGGTTTTCAAGGCAAACAACCATATCATCCACAAACAGTGACAGTTTGACTTCCTCTTTATCGATTTGGATGCCCTTTATTTCTTTCGCTCGTCTGATTGCTTTGGCTAGGACTTGTAGTGCTATGTTGAACAGGAGAGATGAAAGTGGGCATTCTTGTCTTGTTCCAGTTTTCAGAGGGAATGCTTTCACCTTTTCCCCATTCAGTATTACTTTGGCTGTGGGTTTGTCATAGATAGCTTTTATTACATTAAGGTATGCCCCTTGTATGCTGATTTTGCTGAGTTTTAATCATGAAGCAATGCTGGGTTTTGTTGAATGCTTTTTCTGCATCTTTTGAGATGATCATGTTATTTTTGTTTTTAATTCTGTTTATGTGGTGTATCACATTTATTGACTTGTGTATGCTAAACCATCCCTGCATCCCTGTTATGAAACCCACTTGATCATGGTGGATTATCTTTTTGATATGTTGTTGGATTTGGTTAGCTAGTATTTTCTTAAGGATTTTAGCATCTATGTTCATTAGGGATATCAATCTGTAGTTTTCTTTTTTTGTTATGTCCTTTCTGGCTTTGGTATTAGACTGATGCCGGCTTCATAACATGAATTAAGGAGGGTCTCTTTTTTCTCTATCTTGTAGAATAATGTCAAAAGAATTGGTACCAATTCTTCTTTGAATGTCTGGTAGAATTCTGCTGTGAATCCTTCTGGTTCTGGACATATTTTTTGTTGGTAATTTTTAAATTACCATTTAAATTTCGGTAGTTGTTATTGGTCTGTTCAGGGCATCTAAGGCATCTAATTCTTCCTGATTTAAGCTAGGAGGGTTGTATTTTTCCCAGGAATTTATGTATGTCTTTTAGGTTTTCTAGTTTATGTGTCTAAAGATGTTCATAGTACACTTGAATGATCTTTTGTATTTCAGTGGTGTCAGTTGTAATATCTCCTGTTTTGTTTCTTAGTGAGGTTATTTGGATTTCCTCTCTTCTTGATTAATCTTGCTAATGGTCTGTCAATTTATTTATTTTTTTAAATAACCAGATTTTTGTTTCATTTATCTTTCATTTTTTTTTGTTTGTTTGTTCAATTTCATTTAGTTCTTCTCTAAACTTCGTTATTTTCTTTCTTTTGCTGGGTTTGGATTTAGTTTGTTCTTGTTTCTCTAGTTCCTTGAGCTGTGACCTTAGAATGTCAGTTTGTGTTCTTTCAGTCTTTCTGATGGAGGTGTTTAGGGCTATGAACTTTCCTCTTAGCACTACCTTTTGCTGAATCCCAGAGGTTTTGGAAGGATGTGTCATTATTGTCATTCAGTTTGAAGAACTTTTAAATTTCCATCTTGATTTCATTTTTGACCCAGTGCTCATTCAGGAGGAGGTTATTTAATTTCCATGTATTTTCATGGTTTTGAAAGTTTCTTTTAGAGTTGATTTCCAGTTTTATTCCACTGTGGTCTGAGAGAGTGCTTGATATAATTTCAATTTTCTTAAATTTATTGAGGCTCATTTTATGGCCTATCATATGGTCTATCTTGGAGAAAGTTCCATGGACTGTTGAATAGAATGTGTATTCTGTGGTCGTTGGATAAAATGTTCTTTACATATCTGTTAAGTCCATTTGCTCCAGGGTATAGTTTAAATCCATTGTTTCTTTGTTGACTTTTTGTCTTGATGACTTGTTTAGTGCTGTCAGTGGAGTATTGAAGTCCCCCACTATTATTTTATTGCTGTCTATCTCATTTCTTAGGTCTCTTACTAATTGTTTTATAAATTTGGGAGTTCCAGTGTTAGGAGCATATATGTTTAGGATTGTGATAGTTTCCTGTTAGATAAGGCTTTTTATAATTATTAATGTCCCTCTTTGTCTCTTTTAACTGCTGTTGCTTTAAAGTTTGTTTTGTCTGATATAAGAATAGCTACCCATGCTCGCTTTTGGTGTCCTTTTGCATGAAATGCCCTTTTCTACTCCTTTACTTTATGTGAGTCCTTATGTGTTGGGTGAGTCTCCTAAAGGCAGCAGATAGTTGGTTGGTGAGTTCTTATCCATTCTGTGGTTCTGTATCTTTTAAGTCAAGCATTTGGGCCATTTACATTCAATGTTTGTATTGAAATGTGAGGTATGTTGCAGTTATTATGCTCTTTGTTACCTGTGTACTTTTGTTTTCTTGTTTTTTGTTTTTGCTTTTTAACTTGTATTTTTGTTTTATATGTCCTATGTGATTTATGCTTTAAAGAAGTTCTGTTTTTCTTTTCTCTCGCTCTCTCTTTTTTTTTTTTTTTAGACAGAGTTTTGCTCTCGTTGCCTAGGTAACAAGAGTGGAGTGCAATGGCACGATCTTAGCTCACTGCAACCTCTGCCTCCTGGGTTCAAGCGATTCTCCTGACTCAGCCTCCAGAGTAGCTGGGATTACAGGCATGTGCCACCATGCTTGGCTAATTTTATATTTTTAGTAGAGATGGTGTTTCTCCATGTTGGTCAGGCTGGTCCTGAACTCCCGACCTCAGGTGAGTCAGGATTACAGGCGTGAGCCACTGTGCCTGGCCTAAGAGATTTTGTTTTGATATGTTTCCAGGATTTGTTTCAAGATTTAGATCTCCTTTTCGCAGGTCTTGTGATGGCATGGTAGTGGCAAATTCTCTTAGCATTTGTTTGTCTGAAAAAGAATGTATCTTTCCCTTCATATATGATGCTTAGTTTTACTGGATACAAAATTCTTGGCTGATAATTATTTTGTTTGAGGAGGCTGAAGATAGGGCCCCAATGCTTTCTGGCTCGTAAAGTTTCTGCTGAGAAATCTGCTGTGAATCTGATAGGTTTTCTTTTATAGGTTACCTGGTGCTTCTGTCTCACAGCTCTTAAGTTTCCTTCCTTTATCTTAACTTTCAATAAGCTGATGACAATGTGCCTAGGCAATGAGGAATAAACTCTGATTTTTTTTATTTTGCCCAAATTCCTATCTAAGGGAGTCTGAGGAATCATGCCCTACAAATCATAAATTCTTATTGGATAAGTTTTATTTAACCCTATATGTCGTGATTTACTTTCCAACCTGATTCTGGCACAGCATTACGAGACAAAGAAGATCAAAATATTTTACCCTAAAACATGTTTCTTTGCCATATTTTGAAATGGCCTTGCAAAGCTGTTCTTTGTGGGGGACAATTTGCATCTGTAAAGAATCTCTATTAACTTAGCTAGATCTTTTTCTTCTAGACCCTCCCAATCCTAAAGACATTAACTAAGATCTTCATTGGAAACATTTGTCATCTATTTTCTCTAAGGGAAGCCACTATAAGACTTCAAAAGAACTTTGTTCTCCACAGTCTTTATCTTAACCTGAACATTCCCTTTCTATGAATCCCTGGTCTTTAGACAATCTCAACCAATTGTCAACCAGAAAGTGTTTAAATTCACCTACAGCCTGGAAGCCCCTGCTTTGAGTTGTCCCACCTTTCTGGACCAAACCAAAGTATTTCTTAAATGTATTTGATTGGTGTCTCATGCCTCTCTAAAATATGTAAAACCAAGCTGCATCCTGACCACCCTGGGGACATGTTCTCAGGACTTCTTGAGGGCTGTGTTATGGGCCATGGTCATTCATATTTGGCTCAGAATAAATCTCCTTAAATTTTACAGAGTTTGACTCTTTTCATTGACAGCAATAATCTTTTTGTGATGAATTTCCCAGGTGTTCTTTGTGATGCTTGTATTTGGATGTCTAGGTCTCTAGCAAGGCCAGGGAAGTTGTCCTCAATTATTCCCCCAAGTTTTTAGAATTCTTTTCTTCCTCAGGAACACTGATTATTCTTAGGTTTGGTCATTTAACATAATCCCAGACTTCTTGGAGGCTTTGTTCATATTTTCTTATTCTTTTTTTTTTGTCTCTGTTGGAATGGGTTAATTCACAGACCTTGTCTTCAAGCTCTGAATTTCTTTCTTCTCCTGTTCAGTTCTATTGCTGAGACTTTCCAGAGCATGTTGCATTTCTAAAAGTGTGTCCAAAGTTTCCTAAATTTTTTATTGTGTTTTCTTTAAGCTATCTATTTCCTTGAATATTTCTTCCTTCACTTCTTGTTTCATTTTTTGGATTTTCTTGCACTGGGCTTCACTTTTCTCTGGTGCCTCCCTGATTAGCTTAATAACTAACCTCCTGAATTATTTTTTCAGGTAAATCAGGGATTTCTTCTTGGTTTGGATCCATTGCTGGTGAACTAGTGTATTATTTTGGCAGTGTTGAAGACCCTTGTTTTGTCATATTACCAGGGTTGGTTTTCTAGGTCCTTCTCATTTGGGTAGGCTCTGTCAGAGGGAAGGTTTAGGGCTGAAGGCTGTTGTTCAGATTCTTTTGTCCCATGCGGTGTTCTCTTGATGTAGTACTCTCTCCCCTTTCCTATGGATGTGGCTTCCTGTGAGCTGAACTGCAGTGATTGTTGTCTCTCTTCTGGGTCTAGCCACCCAGTGTGTCTACCCAGCTTCAGACTGGTACTGGGGGTTGTCTGCATAGAATCCTGTGATGTGAACCATCTATGGGTCTGTCAGCCGTGGATACCAGCACCTGTTCTGGTGGAGGTGGTGTGGGGGGGTGCAATGGACTCTGTGAGGGTTCTTAGCATTAGTGATTTAATGCTCTAGTTTTGTGCCGGTTGTCCTCCTGACAGGAGGTGGCATTTTCCAGAGAGTATCAGCTGTAGTAGTATGGAGAGGGACTGGCAGTGGGCGGAGCCCTAGAACTCCCAAGATTATATGCCCTTTTTCTTCCGCTACCAGGATGGGTAGGTAAGGACCATCAGGTGGAGGCAGGGCTATGCATGTCTGAGCTCTGACTTTCCTTGGGCAGGTCCTGCTGCGGCTGCTGTGGGGGATTGGGGTGCGATTCCCAGGTCACTGGAGTTGTGTACCTAGGAGGATTATGGCTGCCTCTGCTGAGTCAACAGACTTTCAGGGAAGTGGGAGAAAGCCAGCAGTCACAGGCCTCACCCAGCTCCCATAAAAAACTGAAGGGCCGGTCTCACTCCCACTGTGCCCTGCCCCCGCCAGTAGCCCCGAGTCTGTTTCCAGGTAGAGGGTGAGACGGACTTGAAAAGTTGCCCCAGGCTGACCGCCTCCCAGCTGCGGGGGAAAAAAAGCACTTGGTTCTTCCCCCACCTGTGGAGTGTGCACACTGGATTTGCGCCCTCCCCTGAGTTCTGGCCAGTGACTTCTCACCCCATTCAAATTGTTACAAAGTTCAGCTAGAGATTTCCTTCTCCCTGTGGAGTTTTACCCCCTGCTCCTCTGGCCACCCTCCTGATGGATCCCTGTATTGCTAGGCAGGAATGGCCTGCTAGGGAACCCAGTGAGCTCCCAGGGCCTTTCTACTGCTTTCTCTACCCCTATATTTCACTTGACTCTCTAAATTGACTCAGCTCTAGGTAAATTTGGAGCCTTCTCCCACAAACAGACCTTGAGTTTCTCCAGTGGGGGTGTGTGTTTGGGAGAGGAGGCTCTCCCTTTCCCATTTCCACAGTTGGGGCACTCACAGTATTTGGGGTGTCTTTTGGATCCTGCAGGAGCAGTCTGCTTCCTTCAGAGGGTCTGTGAATCCTCTTAGAATTGCTGGTTTATTCTTGCAGTTGATCTGGAGCTAAAATTCACTAAAATCTGGAGCTAAAATTCAGCTAAAATGTGAGCCTCCACATACTGCTCTGTCTGGAGCTGCAATCTAATACTGCCTCCCATCTGCCATGATGACCTGTTATTCTCTATTTGGTTCTTTTTTCAAATATCTTTCTTTTTGGTAAGTTTCTCATTTATATTCTGAATTGTTTTTCTTATTTCTTTGTATTGGTTTTCAGAATTCTCTTTTATCTATGTTTCTTTAAAATCAATATTTTGAATTCTTTATCTGGGATTTCAAAAATTTCTTTTTGATTAAATCTATTGGCCGGGCGTGGTGGTTCACGCCTGTAATCCCAGTGCTTTGGGAGGCTGAGGGGGGTGGATCACAAGGTCAGGAGATTGAGACCATCCTGGCTAAAACAGTGAAACCCCGTCTCTACTAAATATACAAAAAATTAGCCGAGAGTGGTGGCCCATGCCTGTAGTCCCAGCTACTCGGGAGGCTGAAGCAGGAGAGTTGCTTGAACTTGGGAGGTGGAGGTTGCAGTGAGCTGAGATCATTCCACTGCACTCCAGCCTGGGTGACAGAGTGAGACTCCATCTCAAAAAAAAAAAAAATGCTGGAAAATCTTTGTGTTGCTTTGGAGGTTTCATATTTCCTTGCCTTTTCATGTTCCTTGTGTCCTTACATTGATCTTACATTGATATCTGTGTATCTGGTGTAACAGTCACTTCTTCCTATTTTTGAGTTTACTTGGAAAGAGGAAGACTTTTTCCTGAAGTTGTAGCTATGGTGTGGTTGGGTAGGATATTTTAGCTTTTATTCTGGTTGCATACAGTAGTGCAGTCACCGTATGATTTCTTTAGCTACAAATAGCATTAGTGGCATCTGTGATTTCCTCATTGGGTTAGAGTGCAGTTATTAGTGGAGGCTATGGTGAAGTTCTTCCAGGGATCAGGATGCCCAGTGAGGCACTCTTTGGGTCCCAGCAGTTGCAGTAGTGGGGTGAGTGTGCCTATCTTTTTGCCCAGGGAAGTGTGTTCTGGCACTCATGTTGGTGGTTACTGGTAGGCTGAGTTTTGGGTCTCATGGTGGCTTGCTTGGATGCTGGTAGTGGTAGTGGTGGACCAGGTGGGTGGACGGGTTCTTAGGCTCCTGGGAACCTGGCATAGCATTGATGATGGCAGTAGTGGTGGAGGGACAATTTCATGCTGTGATGAGCTGGGCAGGCCTGTGTCTAGGCCTTTTAGTTGGTTCCTGCAGGTAGGTGCCATCAGAGGTGGTAGTGACTATGTGTTTAGGCCCAACCTCAGGTGCTCAAGAGGAGTGCTCAGGTTTCCAAAGTGCTGGGTTGGGTTGGGGAATCCCCAGCATTCCAGGCTATATGCTCTTTCTTGGAAGGGGTAGTGAAACTAGGCTGCGTGGGTTTGTGTTCAGGTCCACAATGGTGAAAGCATGCACCAGCTGTTGTGGGTGGAGATGGGGCAATTCTCAGGCCCCAGGCAGAGTGTTCAGGTGAGGGGTGGTAGCAGTTGTGCTAAGACTCTGCCACTGGAAGGGATGAAGTCTTCCTCAGTGGCCACAGCCTAGTCTGTTGGGTGGGAAACACATGTTTCTCTAATGCTGCAGTCCCAGCAGGGCTCACCCACTAGCCCTTGCAGTGGTAGCCTGTGTCTAGCTTGTGTCCCCACTCTGGCTGCAGGAACCTCCACCCTACTCATGTCCCAGTCTCCATCCTGGCTGTGCTCACTTCTCAGCACCAGCAGCTGCAGTGCATGCCTTGCCTGCTTCTTACCCTTGGCTGCAGCAGCATTCCCAGCTCACTCCTCAGTTCTAGCAGTGACAGCCCAAGTTTCCCTAATGCCTCGGATCTGGCACTACTGGGTCCTAGGACAGCATGCAGTCTGCCAAAGGCTAGGTTTGAAAATGGCTCCTTACTATAGCCAGTTAGATATCAGAAAGGGTGTGAGGACCCAGTCCCAGTGTGAGCTCCCTCCCTGGAGTAGTTCCATCCCGTGTTCTCCTGGCAGCTCCATATGTTAATTTCAGGGGTTCGGAAGGTTGAGAGGTTCTCTCGTGGCTAGGTTTGCACAATTCTACAGTGAGGATGTGGGCCACTGGAACTCTGTCACCTACCCTTTCCCAGCTCCCAGCCAATCCTGGCCAGGCAGGCTGCCTCTCTCCGTTTTTATTCCCTGTGTTTGGTGCTTTCTGTTATTTCTCTGCTGAATTCCAGTGTTTCCCCTTGGATAATGTATTCAAAGTGTGACTGTCTATACACTATTTTGGTTCTTCTAAGTGCAGGGGGTGGGCATGAAGTATTTTTAGTCAGCCACCTTGAAGTACCCTCCTCATTAAAAGGTGTTTATTGTTCTGTTCTTTCAAGTTTTTTTTTTTACAGATTAAAAAATAAAAAATTAAGGTTAAAAGCCTAAGATAAGCAGCAACAGAAATAATGACAAATGAACTGCAGAGGAGTGCTGATACCATCAAAATATCTATGTTACTTTCTCTGAAAGTTTAATAGATGTCAACAGAATGCAATACTTTTGTTTGTATCTGGCAATTATTCTTAATGTATAAAATAAGGAGCAATTATTATTATGTCAAAAGAGCTACTGCATAACAACCTGTGTTCATTAATCAACGTTATCTTCTTCTACCACTGGCATCTATCTGAATTACTTTGCCCGGAAAACATAGTAAATATGTGCTCTCTGCCTACAAGGATATATAGACAACTGACTGGGAAATCAAAAGATTTATGGTTGCTGCAAACTCCTTATTGTGATATCTCATTAATATCAGATTTGATTTGAGAGCATCATGCTTGAACTGCAAACGAACCCTGACTTCTATGATTGGAGAGACACTGGTGAGACTCACCTGTGATTAACATCTCTGCTCAAATAAGAGCAACTGCTTGAGGATGACATTTCTGAGTTGTTCAGCTTGTCGTTATTTCATCTGAAAACAGCAGTAATTCTTTGTCATACTCCCATGCCCCAAGAAAATAATTGGTGTCCTCATTATCTTTTAAGAGCCTGAAGGAATTTATCCTATTAAGACTATGGGCAAATGAGTAGTTATCCAGCTCTCTTTGACTTTGTAAAGGCTTTTCACAACTTGTTATCATACGGCCCTGTGCCAAATCTTTTTCTGTAGTTTCTGTTTCTGTAGTACTTTTTTTTAAAGATGACAACTTATTTTTCTTTTCCTTTGCTGGAAGACTCCCCGTATGTAGAGGGATTGCCACCCCGTGTAGTGTTATAAATTTAGGGTAAAACATTTGTAAGAGAATTCTCCAGCATTACATATTCCATACTTGGCCCATGTGAGATGAAACTATTACCATGATGTTATGTGTTTGTTGACATTTATTACATAGCATTTTTGTATAATTTCTTGTTTGCTTGCAAAAATGCTTCTTGAATTTCAGTCTTTATTTTACAGCAAATCATTTTTCTATGGTAGAGACCACAGCTTGCTCTACATAAAAATGAAAACCCACAAGACATTTTAATGTACACCATGAATTTAATATGAGTTTTAGGATATTTATCTCTGAAAACTAGAAAAATTCTCTTGAATGCATACTTTAAAAATGAAACCAAACTGTTATCTCAATATTATTTGAGTATTTCCAGATGCTTACAATAGAGGACCCTAAAATTAAGATTCAGAGGACATGGGTTTGTATCCTGACTTTGCCACCAGACATGTGTAGCCTTTGCACAAACTTCTGGGCTTATCTAAATTACAGGTTTGTGAAATAGTTAATTTCCACCATGTGGGGGTCTTGTAAGGGTGAAATTATAATGATATCTATCAATGAGTCTGGAAATATTAAGCATCTAATATATGTTGGTTGAATTTGAATCTATCGAGAATTACTAACACCCAAATAATTAGTATGGAAAGAGAATTCACACCTTGCCAAATAGTAGCTAAACAAGTAGTTTACCTTTACCTAACAGGATGCTTAGAGGTAGGTAGTGCTCTTCTTGGTTTGTGGAATCAACAACTTTAGGGTTGGGAAGCATCTCTGTAGATTGTCTTTCCTATTCTTCATAGTCACAAGGTAGGGACTACATCTACCATTGTTGAATCTATGATTTTGGGAGGAAGAGGAGGGCAAGAGCAGTAAGTCATGTTGGTCCTTTTGAGCGTGAAAAGAGAATAGAGGATTTTCCAGACGTTCCAGTGGACTTCTGCTTATACATCTCTAGCCAGAACTGTGTCACATGACTTCTTTCACTGCCATGGAGGTTGGAAAGGGAATGTTTAGCTTTCCCAGCCTCTTCCATGGAGTAGGGCAAGGGAAGGAAGGGTTAGAAATGAGATTGAGGTTAACTAAAAATGATACCTGCCGCAGGGGATTGTTTGAGGAAGTAAGGAGGCAATATCAGAGCATGGACTTTAGATGACCTTGATCAGCTTTGCCAGTTACCACTGGGTGACCTTGAATGATCTACTTAATGACTCTGAGCCTCAACTTCCGTATCTGTCTTAAGGGGTTCATAATAACCATCTTTCAGGGTTGCTGTAAAGACTAGAATATATATTATAGACATACTATATAAAATGCTACATATATACATATGAATATATATCTCCAGTATCTGGTACATTGCAATTAGGCAATAAATTGTAATTAGAGGCAAAATACTTTCCAAAAATTACATTCTGTTGTGATAATCACTTAGAGTGGATATAATTTATAATAAGTTAAACTTCTATTGATATTTAAATGTATAAAATTAAACAACATTAATTGGGAGGTATAGAGAAAAACTTCCTAAATAAGAGAGGAAATCCCAAGGCCCAAGGAGAAGATAGACATGATTGTAAACTGTTCTGAGGTGATATTGAAAGTTTCCAGTTTGACTTATGTGCTCTAGACAGGAATCTTTGTGATGGTTCCTTCAAGAGGTGATATTGAATCTTCATTAGCAGGTTTGATAATTGTAAAGAAATTATTTAAAAGTGATTACTGGAATCATGTATTAGTGGGGTTAGTTTAAGTTTAGTTAATTTAGGAGAGTGCCTCTTTAGAACATTCTACTGGGCTGAATTTTCTGTTTGAAGAATTAAATAATTGAAGCATTCCAATTATATAGGTTGTAAAAGACATTTGAAATAAAAGTATTAATTCTTTTACATCTTTTGAGGCAACATCTATCAATCTTTTGGAATAATGTTCATCAATAGGAGATATGGTATAGATTTGACCCCTTTTGAAATAGGTATAGGTTAACACTAAACATTTCCTGTGAATGAGGCCACTTGGCTCTTAGTAAATGAGCAGTCTCTACAAGCTAGGAGTGCCAGATAAAATATAGGATGCTCAGTCAAATCTGAATTTCAGATAACAATGGATGCTTTTTTACTATAAGAAGGCCCACAATATTGCATGGGGCTTGCTTATACTAAAATAGTGTTCATTGTTTATCTGAATTTGAAATTTAACTGGGAAGCTTGTATATTTATTTCCTCCATTTGGCAATTTTACCCCAAGCAGATTCTAAAAGCTGCTTAAGTCAGCTGTAGGAACCTAGGTGTGTCCTCCAGAGTCTAAAGAGGAAACAAGACCTGTAATGATGCATCATCGTACCATTTTGCTTTCCCTGCTTTTCTCCAATAACAAATTGGTCTTCCTTTATGCATCCAAGGGTGACAAAACCAAAACCCTGTGTGAATACGGTTACCTTGTTAGCTGACGAACAGTTCTTTGTTATAATCAATTTGATTTTTTATGGACTTGCTAGAGGAGAAAACAACCTGAAGGGATGGGTAGGGGGACACACAAAATTTCTGCTCCAGATTTTAACTGCAGTTTACTCAAAACAATCATATTAAAGAGAAATGTACAGCAAAAGACATGAAAAATCAAGTCAAAAAGCAAACAGTAAACTGGAAAAGAACTTGCAACACATTTGAAAAAAGGAAAATATCTTTCAGATGTGAGAGCTATCTTTGCTGACTGTCAGGGAAATGTAGAATGAACAATATGATGCCATGTTTTTGCTCACCTAATTGGGAAAAAATATATAATGATGGTATCCAATGGTGATGAAGATATGGGAAAATGAACACTCACATAAAATTGCTGGTGACAATTCAAATTGCTAAAATATTTTCAGAAAGAAGTATGGAATTCTATGTTAAACTATAAAATATACAAACCATTAACCTCAAATATCATCTTCTGATAGCTATCTAATAGGTAATACAGAAGTAAAATAGTATAAAAGTAAAAGCACTAGAAAATAAGGATATATGTTCAACTAGTTTTATTGTGTCATGTGATAGTGGCAAAAAACTCCCAATTAAGGGTCAAAACAAACCTTTTCTGTAAATGAACAGATAGCATATATTTTAAGCTTTTCAGGTCACATAGCCTCAGTGGGAACTTACCTCTACTATTGCAGTGTGAAATCATGTAAATGAATGAGTATGATTGTGTTTCAATAAAACTTCATTTACAAAAACAGGAGGCAGGCCATATTTGGCCCATGGGCCATAATTTACTGATCCTTTCTTTAAGTTATAATTGACATTTATCAATAGAAATATAAAAATTAGTTGCATATAACATGATCAAATTTTTGTTACAACAAATAGCAACAGCAACAACAATACAACCTATATATGTGTGTGTGTGTGTGTGTGTGTGTGTGTGTGTCTTTGAATGTGCTGGGAAAATGTGTGAAAACACATACCAACATGTTAACATTTATTATCTTGGAGATGGGTAGGGATAAAGAAAGATTGTTAATTTTTAAAAATAAAGCTTTTTATGGTTTTGCTACATGTTGTTAAAGGAAGAACAAATAAAATCTTCACAAAACAACTGGTTTTCACAATCATCAGGAAAAGATGCTATAATCACCTTGAATTCAAATATTATATTGTCAAGTGCAATGTTTAAGATTTTGACTTAACTAGGAGAATCCTTACCAAATTCAGTTATTTATGCTAAAGAGTTTCATCCTACTCATCCAGTATAATTCTCTTTCTGATATTTGCTTATGTGGCTCCAAACCAGTAAGAATATTGAGTGAACAAAAAAATAAGATAGAAGTTCAAAAAATAGCAGAAAAGCAGCAGTATTTAATGATAACAGAACTTCAAGTCCCAGGCAAGTGATGTTTTCTTCTGAACTTTTCCTGCCTCTGAAGTCAAAAAGTGTAACATAGGAAAAACTGCACCAATTTCAAGACACAGGAGCTGTGTTTTTGACAAGGCTGCACTCCAGCCAGTGTTGTGACTTGGCACAGTGCTCTCACCGGTGCTTTATATATTTATTTTCTTCAATTTATAATTGGTGTAACACTTACCTCATAGGGTTTCAGTTGATATCTAGTGAGGTAATTCATGTGAAAGCACACTATAAATACACATTTTTATTAAGAATGAGAAGCTGAAACTAGGATTGAACTCCAAAGAAGTATTTGTGAAATTAGTGTTAATTTTGGAATTTGATAATTTTTTAAAGGAATTTGTCCACTTTATACAACTTTTCAGACTTATTCGTGTAGAGCATATAATTGTTCATTAATTGCTGATATTATGGTTTTCTACCTAAAAGAACTAATAAAATCCAGAGACAAACTATCAGAACCAATATGAGTTTAACAAAGTTATTGCATAGAACAGTAACTTACCAAAATTAATAACATTTCTCTACACCAACAACAATCAATAGAAAACTCCAGAAAAGTAATATCTCATTTATAATTGCAATGAAATTATATAGTACTCAGGACTTAAAGCAACCTAGAATTTCTAAGAGCTTTATGAAAAAACTTGCTAAATTATCATTTTCAAACAGGTAAAATAATCTTCCATGTAAATGTAAATTGAACATATGTTGATACTTTAAAACTCATTAATTAATGAGAGAATCAGTAAGATGTCATGATCAATTTGAAGAGCACTTAAGAAGGCAGGGATTTATGGGCAATTAAACAGAGAATAATTAAGATGAGATTGTTATTAGTTATAAACTAATGTCCAACAGATCATAAATCTGGTTATCTTTCCATCAGACACATAGCTATTTGAATCCAGTGGACAAAATTCTAAAAGTTTCAGATAATTTCAGTAAGTTTGGGACCATTTGTTAATAGTAAACAATGAGATGAACTAAGTATATCCCATGGTAAACCTTGTGTACCCTTTGTCCCCATGTAATATTTAAAGGATGTGTCACCCATCTTTTTGCATCATTTTCAAGTTTTAAATAATTTTCCTGACTTACTTTGAAATTTTAGTAAAAAACGTAAGAGATGACTTAAATAAAAAGAGTGACATTTCATGCTCTTTAATGAGTTGACTTTATAAGATATACATTTTCTTCAATTCAGTATATAAATGCAATAAAGTATTGATCACAATTTGTCATTTTTGAGAAATTCATTAAACTTGCAGTAAAATTTGTAGAGAAAAATAAAATTCCATGCTATCTATTCCTCATGGGAAGTCATAAAGAGGGAGAGCTTGCTGTGTCAAATATTAAACATACTACGAGGCCGAAGTAATAAAAACAATGCACTATTGTTGCAAGATCAGATAAGTAGATAAAAGTGGAAGAAAATAATGCACTCAGAGATTCGTTTATATGTCAAAATGTAATAAACCTTAAAAAATTACCACAAATAAATGGAAATTTAGTTGAAGTTTTTTTTTGAAAATTGGTTCACTGTATGGAGAGAAATGAAATTGGATTTTTATGTAGTTGCACACAAAAGGTGGCTTCCAGATAGATTAAAGATATAAGTAGGAAAAGAAAAATTATAAAGCTAATAGAAGAGAATGTATGAGATAATGTTTATGCTATAGAAATAGAGAAACACTTCAAAAAAGTTCAAAAATAACCACAAAGCAATAGATTGAGAAATATTATTATATGAAAATTTAGCCTTTCCATTCAATGAAGATACCATCGACCAAATTAATAGACAACTGAATGGGAGAAGGTATTTGCAATATCTAAAAGTGGCAAGGGATTAATAATAACTAAGAACCTTCTCTAAATCAATGTCAGTCACTGTGGTAGGAAAATAGGTAAAGAATACGAACAAGGAATTTGCAGAAAAACTCTCACAACCAACACGTACTTACAGGCATGCTGAAGATAATAATCAAAGAAATGCAGGTTAAATTAAAAATATTAAGTTGCAAAGGCTAGAAAGCTGGATAATGCTGAGTGTTGTCAGGGAAGATGCCATGCAGGAAGTTTCATGTGGAGGTAGACTGGTGTAGCTGTTCTGAACAGTCTGGCATGATGCAGGCAAATTAAACATATATATATGCTGTGACCCAGCAATACCTCTCCTGAATATTTATCCCAAAGACATTTTCAGACATGTTCATAGCATGAAATACATAAAGATATTTCTTGCAGTGTTGTTTATAGTTGGTGGCAGTTTTGGTGGAGTAGATAGGCAAGACTTGGAGAATACATACCATGGGGCATTATGCAGCAATTGGAAGGAACACATGTGATATAAACATAGAAATAAGGCTGGATCTTTAAAAGATAGTGCCTAGTCCAAAAAAGTAAGAAACTGAATGAGATCTTTAAGGACTTTCGAACTTTAAAATAAATGCCAACAAAATCACGAATCACATTTGTATGCACTTTACGGTGCTTACAAGGAATAAATACAACAGAATGGTTACTTTGGAAATGGGAATAAAATGGAATAAATTAAGATTAAAACTAGAGAGCCTCATATGGATCGATAATGATAAATTGCCTCCAACTGAGGAGTATTACTGTTATAATTTATCCTTGTGTAACTGATGAACAAATAAAATAAAATAATAAAATAAAACAAAATCTAAGTGTGCTGGAAGAACCTAAGTGTTCATAGCTATTGAAGAGGTGTACCTTGCTTAATCCTTGCCTCTGTTTAAATTTACCACTATGATTGCCATCTGGAGTATGGCTGATCTGGGACGCTGCCGCGGGCCAGTTCAGGGTTTTCATATGCTTCGAGGTCAGAGACCAGCAAGAGAAATTCCAAGAAAGAAGGAACACAAGCACAATCAAAACAGTTCTGATCTCTGCTTTTGTGCATGTTGTTATGCTACACAAATTTTAGAAATTGTCTTTGTTTTCAAGCACCTTGATGTTTTTGCATTTCTTTCCTACTTATTTGGTAAACCATCTTCATGTTTACTAACAACTCATGCTTCTGTAGTTTTCCGGTTTGCAAATCACTTTGATGAAACATCCTCTTATTTCATCTTCACAACCCAACTGGAGGCCCTATCATGCTTCTTTTGCAGTTGAGGAAACAAAGGCCCAGGGAGACTAAATAACTTTCAAATGTCATATCTGGGGAGTGACTGAAGTAGTATTTAAAATCAGGTTTTCTGGCTCCAAACTTTACTCTTAAGATCCAATGCTTCAGGCTGCTTTAACAAAAAGAAACCTTCTGTCATAATTGAATTTCAAGGAAAAAAATTAATGCAATTCTCATAGAGCTTTCTGTTGCTATTTATGCAGAAACTAACCAAGAATTAATTGGTAAAGAGTCAGTAGATATGACAACCAGAGAAAGACAATTTTCTAGTGGAAGTCTGAAAAGCAATGATAAATCATGTAATTCCCTGGTCATCCACTGTTTGGAAACTATGATACATTTTTATAATAAATTTTGAATTTCGAGGAGAGCTTCAACTTGTCCAAATGCATTAGGCTATGAGTTGCAAATACTCTGCAGTGCCATTTTAGATGCAGTGTCCCCAAAAGAAACATTTATGGGATTAAACTTCTCAAAATCAGAAAAATTTTAGGCATGTATGTAGCTTAATTTTGCAAAATAACAGATATGTGAGAAAATCGATTAAAATAGAACTCATGTGCTGAAGAAAGCAACAAGAATCTACTGCAAAGTGGTCTGTGAGCTTTCTTCACTGTCACCTCTCACCTGAACCACAGTGTCCACTGTGTCCCAGTGCTCATTTGGTACACAGCAGAGTGATCTCATAAAAAATCAAAAGAGATTAATCAGAGTTATCCTGCATATCCCACATTTGCTGTCAGAATAAAGACATGGATAGTCTCTGATCTAGTTCCATACACTTTTTGAACCTTAGTTTACTAACTCCTCCCACCTCCCAGCTCCCTGACCTTCATCTAGAGCAGACAAACCTAGGTCCTTCTACCTCCTCAAACTTACTCTCTCACCAGAGGCCCTGTGCTTATGTGTTTCTGCTGACTGGAAAGTTCTTCAGTCCTTTTCACCAATGTAACTCTTATTTTTTCCTTGGATCTCAGGACTGACATCATTGCCTCAAGTTTTCTGGATCCCCAATTTATGTCACTTCCCATTGATGTAAGCTCTCAGAGAACCGGATCTCACTCCTTTGGATTACACATGCAGTTCATAATTATAGATTTATTGATACGATTATTTTCTTAACTTCTGTCTTGTTCTTCCTAGCAAATTCCATAAGAATGTGTTCCTTAGCATGCCATTTTAATTTTTTTCTTACCATTTCCTCGCATTGTACCTAGTGCCTTGTTGCTTGTTGTGGGAATTAGTCACTTATTTGGAGTCTTCAGCAAAAAAAAAAAGTATACCTTTGTACAGTTTTCTTGTGTATGGGGAATTCATTTTATGAGCCCATCTGTCACAGTGGCAGAACCCAGAAACTTACTTTCCCAGCCACCATACCTTGAAGCCAGTTGCAAGCATGTGACCTGGGCTCAGCCAATTGGATGTAAAGCCTCTGTGCAGACTTGCTTTGTGAGCTGGGCAGGTGACGAGGCAGGTGCTGTGCAGAAACCATTCTGCTCAGTGAGTGGCAGTGACAGCTAGTCTTCCAGAGCCACAGTCCAGGAGATTCCAGGAGCTGTCTTTGGTGTCTGGAGTCATCAGTACAAGCTGTGGCGTTGTGCCTCATTGTAGCACTAGTGCTGGCACAGTCATGTGTTGTATTTTGGAGGTTTGTTCCTGAAAGAATGGCCTTCAAGACGGCTTCTGGGGCTTTCCCAGAGGTTCAGACACTTATGTCTGTTTTCTTGTTTCAACATGCTACAACAGTTTCTTTTGTTTGCCACTAAAAATCTCTGAATAAATGAATAATGGAATCTCTGCTGCCAATAAATATTGGATGTTTTGATGTCTATGCTATTCTCTGAAGTTATTGCAAATAGGGACTTAAATTATAGAACTTATCTTAGTGTTGAATAGAGGCTTGTTATGGCTCACTATATTTTAACTGTAGGAAGCTACAAAAATGTTCCCAAATTTATGTAAATATATGCATTGTTTGCATAATCTATTGCTTAGAATCCTCTGACAAGAAGTTGGAAATTCTGTGTGACCAATTTCAGAATAACTCAGCTCTCAGTGTTTTCCCTTTGTTTGTACATTGCTAAGCTGAAAAGGAACATTAAGTACTTTTGTGTCAGGATTTGTAAGTATAGTTGACCCTGGACAGCATGGGTTTGAACTGTCTGGGTCTACTTAAAGACAAACTTTATTTCGCTCCTGCCAACCCTGAGACAACAAGACCAATCCCTTCTCTTCCTCCTCTTCAACCTACTCAATGTGAACATGAGGATGAAGAACTTATGATGTTCCACTGCCACTTAATGAATAGTATATTGTCTCTTCCTTATTGTTTTCTTGATAACATTTTCTTCTCTCTAGACATAGGCATGGTCAAGGACTTCATGTCTAAAACACCAAAAGCAATGGCAACAAAAGACAAAATTGACAAATGGGATCTAATTAAACTAAAGAGCTTCTGCACAGCAAAAGAAACTACCGTCAGAGTGAACAGGCAACCTACAGAATGGGCGAAAATTTTTACAATCTACTCATCTGACAAAGGGCTAATATCCAGAATCTACAAAGAACTCAAACAAATTTACAAGAAAAAAATAACCGCATCACAATATGGGTGAAGGATATGAACAGACGCTTCTCAAAAGAAGACATTTATGCAGCCAAAAGACACATGAAAAAATGCTCATCATCACTGGCCATCAGAGAAATGCAAATCAAAACCACAATGAGATATCATCTCACACCAGTTAGAATGGCGATCATTAAAAAGTCAGGAAACAACAGGTGCTGGAGAGGATGTGGAGAAATAGGAACACTTTTACACTGTTGGTGGGACTGTAAACTAGTTCAACCGTTGTGGAAGACAGTGTGGTGATTCCTCAAGGATCTAGAACTAGAAATACCATTTGACCCAGCCATCCCATTACTGGGTATATACCCAAAGGATTATAAATCATGCTGCTATAAAGATACATGCCCACGTGTGTTTATTGCTGCACTATTCACAATAGCAAAGACTTGGAACCAACCCAAATGTCCAACAATGATAGACTGGATTAAGAAAATGTGGCACATATACACCGTGGAATACTATGCAGCCATAAAAAATGATGAGTTCATGTCCTTTGTAGGGACAGGGATGAAGCTGGAAACCATCATTCTCAGCAAACTATCGCAAGGACAAAAAATCAAACACCGCATGTTCTCACTCATAGGTGGGAATTGAACAATGAGAACACTTGGACACAGGAAGGGGAACATCACACACCGGAGCCTGTCATGGGCTGGGGGGAGAGGGGAGGGAAAGCATTAGGAGATACACCTAATGTAAATGATGAGTTAATGGGTGCAGCACACCAACATGGCATATGTATACATATGTAACAAACCTACACGTTGTGCACATGTACCCTAGAACTTAAAGCATAATTAAAAAAAAAAACTAACCATCAGAAAAAAAAAAGAATGCAGTATATAATACATGCCATATACAAAATATGTGTCAGTTGACCGACAGCAGGCAATTAGGTATGTTTTTGGGGAAAAGTTAAAAATTTACACGTGGATTTTTGACTGTGCCCATTGGTGCCCTTAACCCCTGCATTGTCCAAGAGTCAACTGTACTTCATCCATTAATTTATGCAGAAAGAATTTACCTCAAATTAAACAAATAAATTGTAAAACAGATGAACGTATGCTGTGGTTATGTGGATCACACAGAAAAGATTCTGTGAATGTTGGTATCTTATAAGAGAGCAATCATAATTACATATTTTTCTGGTAGGCATCCTGGATGACAGGCCTGGAAGAGCATGAAAAATAGTTCAGCTTGCTTTTCATTAAATGTGTTAACTGGGGTAGCAGGTGTGCTGCCCTAACAGTTTAACTGGCCTTTCCTTAAACCATCTACCATTGAGCCTCATACTGCAGGAGCTTTCAAATGTTAATGCCACCAAGACAGAAAAATATGAGCTTGCTAAAAGACAATCAAGAGTGGTAGGGCCCTGAAGAACTGGAGTGTGCATGCTTAAGTTAAAGATATTCTGAATCAAAATTTAAAATGCTGCCCTGGCCAACAGAATACATGTGTGGTTAATTGGCCCAAAAGACTATTATCAGTCCAGTTTCTGCTTAGGGGAACATGAGAAACAGGGAAGTAAGTGTCTCAAGTAACTAGTTACCCAATTAGCCTTGCTGCTGGCTGATTGGAGACTCTGCATTACTAGATATTGTCCTGCTCTTCCCAATTATAAGTACATCTCTCTTATTTAACATTGCATTGAGATGAGGTGATAAAATTGTAAACCATGCATTAAAGGCACTCTTGTGTTCAGAGGTATCTGTCTTGGAAAGGAGGACAAACATTCTTGGATTCAACCAAAGAGCTCCCTCAGACAGGAAGTGGGGCACTCAGGTTGGCAGAAAAGCCTGTGCTCTCTGGACCTTTGCTTCTGGGATCTGGACTTTGAAGAGCTGAGGCCCAAGTGCCAGGGTTTTTATCAGGGAAGCTATCTGAATGTTTAAAAAGCTGAAGAATAATCTGTGTGCTTATCAGTGTTGCAGTAGAGGTATATTATTATTATTATTAATAGTGCTATTTTTACCCTTTCCATTTGGTTAGGATACTTTTGGAGATATCAGAAATGTAACTTTAAAAGGCTTACATGATGGTTCAGTAACATCATCAAAGGCCTGTGTTCTTTCTATCTTCCTGCTCTGCCATCCTTGTGTTGCTGGCTAACTTCCTTATGCCCGTAAGTTGACAACAACAGCTCCAGGTGTCCCATTCTGTCACACCAGAATCAAGAGACATAAAAGGAACCAGCTCTTTCCCCATAAGTTCCTGTCTGATTACAAGTGAACTTCTGCTCATGTTCCATCGGCCAGAATTGGGCCATAAATATGCCTTCCTGAGGCAATCTTTGGTAAAGTGATAGTGTTTCCCTGTGATTGCTCAGTAGTCAAGTTCCACCCCCTAGTGTAGTTTGGGCTCTTCAGGAAGATAATTAAAACACAGTTTAGGTTTTAGGATTTTTGTTAGCACCCTAGGGATGGTGGGAGGTAAAGTAGAATTGGAAAGGACACCTGTAATGCATGTTTGACACCCTCAGCCCAACCCTCATGGGAGCTCTGGAATGGAAATGGGTCAGCAGAGTGGGCTCACATTTGGGCCAAAGTGACAAGGCCTTCCTATTCCCACTGTGACCAGTCATTAAGTGTGAATTGCCCCTGGAAGGGTGTGACCTTGGTGATGTGATTCTCTAAGTTGAGGAAACTCTCAAAAAGGCTGACAGCTGAAGGCTGTTTGCTGACAGCAATGCAACAGTTGAAGGACAAAGTTTTCCCTTGAAGAATAATCTGGGAGGTGCATCTTCACATCCACCCATCTTCCCTGGACCACATGGAGAAGGATGAATATTAGAGCAAACCTTATGCTCTGCCAGCAAAGGAGGGGGAAGATAGATTTGGAGAGGCAAGCAAGAGTGAGTGCTGCTGGCATGCAAATGGAGGCAATATCCTAATGGGCTTGTTACCTGGTCCCTGGAGATGCATTATTGACAGCAATTACTGGCAGTTGCTTTTCTGATTTATTCATTACCTGAGGTTGTGATAACTTCCCACCCTGCCATAACACCTTTATCCAAACATTCTCTGTAATCATATTCCCAGGGAGCACTGATGTTTCTTTTCTTTTTCCTTCTTTTAAAATTTTACTTTAAGTTCTAGGGTACATGTGCAGAACGTGCAGGTTTGTTACATAGGTATACATGTGCCATGGTGGTTTGCTGCACCTATCAACCTGTCATTTTAGGTTTTAACCCTTGCATGCATTAGGTATTAGTCCTAATGCTCTCCCTCCCCTTCCCTCCCACCTCCCAACAGGCCCCGTTGTGTGATGTTCCCCTTCCTGTGTCTATGTGTTCTCATTGTTCAACTCCCACTTATGAGTGAGAACATGCAGTGTTTGGTTTTCTGTTACTGTGTTAGTTTGCTGAGAATGATGGCTTCTAGCTTTATCCATGTCTCTGCAAAGCACATGAACTCATTCTTTTTTATGGCTGCATAGTGTTCCATGGTATATATGTGCCACATTTTCTTTATCCAGTCTATCATTGATGGGCATTTGAGTTGGTTCCAAGTTTTTGCTATTGTAAATAGAGAGCACTGATGTTTCTTATGCCCTTTGTTTCCTATCATGGTTTTGAACATTTTTGTGACAGTACTCACTATATGAAAAACCCACAGCTAACATCCTACTGAATGAGAAAAAGTTGAAAGCTTTACCTCTAGGAACAGAAACAAAGCCAGGCATGGTGGCTAATGCTTGTAATTGCAGCACTTCGGGAAGCTGAAATGGAAGGATCACTTGAAGCCTGGAGTCAAGACCAGCCCGGGCAACAAAGTGATGAGACATCATCTCTACAAAAATATTTTTTAAAAAACTTGGTCTGGCATTGTGACATGCTCCTGTAGTCCCAGTTACCTGGGAGGTTGAGGTTGGAGGACCACGTGAGCTCAGAATTTGAAGCTTTGTGAGCTATGATCATGCCACTGCACTCCATCCCATATGAGAGACTAAGACCCTGTCTCGGAAAAACAAAAACAAAAACAAAAACAAAAAACAAAAAACAAAAAATTACCAGAAAGCAAAAAACAAAACAAAACTGGGAAAAGATAAGGATGCCCACTTTCACGATTTTTATTCAACATAGTTCTGGAAGTCCTAGTCAGAGCAATTATGAGGGAGAGAAATAAAGGACATTCAAGTTGGAAAGGAGGATGCCACATCATCCCTCTTTGCAGATGACATAATCTTATATATAGGAAAACCTAAAGACTCAACCAAAAACTCTTCGAACTGACAAAAGAATTCAGTAAATTTGCAAGATCTAAAATTAACATACAAAAATTAGTAGCATTGCTATACATGAACAACAAAGCAGCTGAAAAATCAAGAAGGAAACCTCATTTACAATAGCTATAAAAAATAAAATATCTATACATAATTTTAAGCAAAGAGGTGAAAACAACTATAAAGAAAACTACAAAACAGGGCTGAAAGAAATTGAAGAGGATACAAACAAAAGACATTTCATGTTTATAGATTGGAAGAATTAATATTGTTAAATGACAGTACTACCCAAAGTAATCTAGAGATTCAATGCAATCCGTATCAAAATACCAATGACATTCTTCACAGAAATAGGAAAAAAATCCTCAAGTTCATATGGAGCTGGGTGTGGTGACTCATGCCTGTAATCCCAGCACTTTGGGAGGCCAAAGCAAATGGATCATTTGAGTCCAGGAGTTTGAGACCAGCCTGAGCAACATGGCAAAACCCTGTCTGTACAAAAAATAAAAAAATTAGCTGAGCGCAGTGGTACACACCTGTAATGCTAGCTACTCAGGTGGCTGAGGCGGGAGAATCACATTGAGCCCAGGAGGCAAAGATTGCAGTGAGCCAAAATCACGCCACTGCACTTCAGGCTAGGTTACAGAGTGAGACCCTGCCTCAAAAATAAATAAACAAATAAATAAGTAAGTAAGTAAGTTGTATGGATCCACAAAAGACTCCAAATAGCCAATGTAATCCTAAGCAGAAAGAACAAATCTTGAGTTATTACACTACCAACCTCAAGACTTATTACAAAGGTGTAGTAATCAAAAGAATGTGATACTGGCACAAAAAGAGATATGTAGACCCATGGGGCAGGGTAGAAAACCCAGAAATTAATTTATATATCTACAGCCAACTGACTTTTTAAAAAGGCGTCAAGAACACTCACAGGGGAAAGGACAGCTGTGAATAAATGCAGCTGCAAAAACTGGATATCCATACGCAGAAGAATAAACCTAGACTCCTACCTCTTACCCTATACAAAATTCAATTCAATTTGGATCAAAGACCTAACTGTAAGACCTGAAACTATAAAACTACTAGAAGAAAACATGGGAAATGCTTTAGGACATTGTTCTGGAAAAAGATTTTAGGAGTCAGACCTCAAAAGCACAGACAACAAAATAAAAAACAAATGAGATAATATCAAACTAAAAAGCTTCTTCACAACAAAGGAAACAGAGGGAAAAGACAACCCACGTAATGGTAGAAAATATTTGCAAACTACCCATCCAGCAGTGGATTCAGATCCAGAATATACAAATAATCAAAACATCTCAACAGCAAAAAATAAAACTATCCAATTAAAAAATAGTCAAATGACTTGCATAGACATTCACTAGAAGAACACTTACAAACGGCTAACAAATATGGGAAAAAATGCTCATGACTAATCATCAGGGAAATGCAAATCAAAACCACAATGAGGTATCATCTCACCCCAGTTAGGATGGTTATTATAGAAAAGACAAAACAGATTGGGCATGATGGCTCATGCCTGTAATCCCAGCACTTTGGGAGGCTGAGATTGGCAGATCACTTGAGTTCAGGAGTTCGAGACCAGCCTTGCCAACATGGTGAAACCCTGTCTCTACTAAAAATACAAAAATTAGCCAGGCTGGTGGTATGTGCCTGTAATCCTAGTTACCTGGGAGGCTGAGGCAGGAGAATTGCTTGAACCCTGGAGGCAGACATTGCCATGAGCCGAGATTGGGCAACCACACTCCAGCCTGGGTGACAGAGCGAGACTCAGTCTCAAAAACAAAAACAAAAAACAAAACAAAACAAACAAAAAAACCCCAGATATTAGTGAGGATGAGGAAAAAAGGGAACCTTTATGCAATTGTTTGTGGGAATGTAAACTAGTACAACCACTCCAGAGAATAATATGGACGTTCCTCAAAAACTGCGAATGGAGCCACCATATGATCCAGCAATTGCACTACTGGGATTTATCCAAATGAAAGGAAATCAGTATATTGAAGAGACATCTGCACCTCTATGTTTATTGCAGCACTGTTCACAACAGATATGAAATCACCTTAGTTATTCAACAAATAATACAGAAAACATGGCATGTATATACAATGGGATATTATTCAGTCATAGAAAAATAATCCAATTCTGTCATTTTTAGCAACATGAATGAAACTGGAGGTAAACAACACATTTTCTCATTCATATATGCAAGTTGGAAAAAGTTGATCTCATAGAAGTAAAAAGTAGAACAGAGGATACCAGAGTCAGGGAAGGGTACAGGGCAGGGAGGGTAATATCATTTGGCTCTGTGTCCCCACCAAAATCTCATTATCTCCAATTATAATCCCCACAATTAAAGATGATGGGGCCTGGAGGGAGGTGATTGGATCATGGGGGCAGCTTCCTCCATGCTGTTCTTGTGATAGTGAGGAAATTTTCCAGAGATCTGATGGTTTAAATGTGGCATTTTCCCCTGTGTACTCTCTCTCTCTCCTGCCACCAGGTAAGACATGCCTTGGTTCCCCTTTGCTTTCCTCCATGATTGTAACTTTCCTAAGGCCTCCCCTCAGGAAAGTGAGTCAATTAAATCTCTTTTGTTTACAAATTACTCTGTCTCAGGTATTATCTTTGTAGCAGTGTGAGAATGAACTAATACAGAGAATTGGTACCAGAAGTGGGGTACAGCTACAAAGACAACCTGAAAATGTGGAAGCAACTTTGGAACTGGGTAACATGTAGTGGTCAGAACAGTTTGAAAGGCTCAGGAGAAGACAGGAAGATGTTGGAAAGTGTGAAACTTCCTAGGGACTTGTTGAATGATTTTGACAAAAATGCTCATAGTTATATGGACAATAAAGTCCAGGCTGAGGTGGTCTCAGGTGGAGAGGAGGAACTTATTGGGAACTGGAGTAAAGGTCACTCATGCTGTGCATTAGCAAAGAGACGTGGCATTTTGCCCCTGCCCTAGAGATTTGTGGAACTTTGAACTGAGAGAGATGGTTTAGGGTATCTGGCAGAAGAAATTTCTAAGCAGCAAAGCATTCAAGAGCTGACCTGGCTTATTCTGAAAGTGTTCAGTTATATGCGATCACACAGAGATGGTTTGGAATTGGAGCTTATGTTTAAAAGGGAAGCAGAGCATACAGGTTTGGAAAATTTGCAACCTGATCATGTGTTAGAAAAAATTTTTTTTTTTCTGGGGAAGAATTCAAGCTGGCTGCAGAAATTTGCATAAGTGACAAGGAACTGAATGTTAATAGCCAAGACAATGAGGAAAATGTGTCCAGGTAATGTCAGAGACCTTCACAGTAGCCTCTTCCATTACAGGCATGGAGTTATAGGAGGGAAAAATGGCTTAATTGGGCCCAGGGCCCTGCTGCTCTGTGCAGCCTTGGGACTTGGTGCCCTGCATCCCAGCTTCTCCGGCTTCAGCCACGGCTAAAAGAGGCCAAGGTACAACTTGGGTCATTGCTTCAGAGGGTGCAAGCCCCAAGCCTTGGTGGTTTCCATGTGGTGTTGGGCCTGCAGGTGCACAGAAAACAAGAGTTGAGCTTTGGGAGTCTCTGCCTAGATTTCAGAGGATGTATGAAAACACCTGGATATCCAGGCAGAAGTCTCCTGCAGGGGCAGAGTCCTAATGGAGAACTTCTGCTAGGGCAGTGTGAAAGGAAAATGTGGGATTGGAGCCCACACACAGGGTCCCCCCCAGGGCATCACCTAGTGGAGCTGTGAGAAAGGGCTACCATCCTCCAGATTCCAGAATAGTAGATCCACTGAAAGCTTGTACTGTGTGCCTGGGAAAGCTTCAGGCACTCAAGGTCAGCCCATGAAAGCATGGGCTGTACCCTGCAGAGCCACAGGGGTGGAGCTGCTCAAGCCCTTGGGAGCCCATCAGGGCATCAGTGTGCTCTGGATGTGAGATGTGGAGTCAAAGGAAATTATTTTGGGGCTTTAAGGTTTAATGACTGCCCTGCTGGACGTTGGACTTGCAGGGGGCCTTTGGCTCCTTTGTTTTGGCCAATTTCTTCTATTTGGAATGGGAACAAATACTCAATACCTGTGCCCTTATTGTATCTTGGAAGTAACTAACTTGCTTTTGATTTTTTAGGCTTATAGGTGGAAGCGTCACGCCTGTCTCAGATGAGACTTTGGACTTGGACTTTTGGGTTAATGCTGGAATGTGTTTAGACTTTGGGGATACTGTTGGGAAGACATGATTGGTTTTGAAATGTGAAAAGGACATGAGATTTGGGAGGCGTCGGGGTAGAATGATATAGTTTGACTCCATGTCCACACCCAAATCTTATATTGAATTTTAATTCCCCTGCATTGAGGGAGGGACCTGGTGGGAGGTGATGGATCATTGGGGCAGTTTCCCTCATTCTGTTCTCATGATAGTGAGGGAGTTCTCAGGAAAATGATGATTTAAAAGTGGCAGTTTCTCCTGTGCTCTCTTTCTCCTGCCACCATGTAACACATGCCTTGCTTCCCCTTCGCCTTTCACCATGATTGTAAGCTTCCTGAGGCCTCCCCGCCATACATAACTGTGAGTCAATTAAACCCTCTTTTGTTTATAAATTACATAGTCTCAGGTATTATCTTTATAGCAGTCTGAGAACGGATTAATACAGAGGGATAGGGCAAGACTTGTTAAAGGATAGAAAATTACAGCTAGATAGGAAGAATAAGTGCTAGTGTTCTATACTACTTTAGGATGACTATAGTCAACAATAATATATTATATGCTGATATAGTTTGGATATGTGTCCCCATCAAATCTCATGTCAAATTGTTATCCCAAGTATTGCAGGGTGGGCCTGGTGAGAGGTGATTTGATCATGGGGTGAAGTTCTCATGAACGTTTTAGCTCCATCTCCTCAGTGCTATTCTCCTGATAGTTAGTGAGTGAGTTATCAGAAGATCTGGTTGTTTTAAAAATGTGTAGCACCTGCCCACCCTCCTGCTCTGGCCATGTAAGGCATGCCTGCTTCCCCTTTGCCTTCTGACACAATTGTAAGTTTGCTGAGGCCCCAACAGAAGCAGATCCTGTCCTGCTTCTTGTAGAGCCTGTGGAATTGTGAACCAATTAAAGTTCTTTTCTTTATAAATTATCCAGTCTTGGGTATTTCTTTATAGAAGAGTGAGAATGGATTAATACATATACTTTCAAATAGCTAGAAGGAGGATATTTAATGTTCCCAACACAGAGAAATGATAAATATTTGAGATGATGGATATGTTAATTTCCCTGATCTGATCATGAACATTATATGTACGGAAACATCACTATGTACCCCATGAATGTGTACAATTATTATTTGTCAAAATATTTAATTCTAAAATTTAAAAAGTTTTATTGTTCTACAAATATAATTTAAAGTGATTGAATACACAATTATATATATATATATGTATGCATGATCTTATAGATTTGTCATCTTATGTATTTGCCAACAAGCTCATTAACCTTTTTTCTAATAACCAGACCTTGATTTTTTTCTCCCATTCTTATCTGTAGAATTTTCATGAAGCTCAGAAATAGAGCATAGGTTCTAAGTTGATCAGAGTATCGAATTGCTCTGGCAGCTGTATTTGGCTCAGAGATGGGCATATGATCCAATTAAAGTAAATAAGATAAATGATTCTTTTGCTGGAGAAATTTGTTCTTTGTCTCTGAACTCTAAATTAAGGAATGCATGTGCAAGAGTTTCTGCTGCCAACTGCTCTGCCCTGATGTCTGAGGTTGAAGGCCGTGTAGTAGAACACAAAGTGAGAAGATAGAGCTGAATGTTATTATTGTTTGAGTCCTGAATCCAGTGACACCTGACTTTGAAGTCAGGACCTTGCTCCTGGACCTACAGTTGTAAGTGTCAGCATCCCTTTTTGATTAAGCCAAAAGTAGTTTCTTGTTGCCTACCACCAAAAGAATCTCAAGTGTTGGAATGCTATTAACAGTTTATTTTCAAGACTGGGGAGTAATGTTCTCCACCTGACAGTTGTAAAGACCTTAGTCTTCTTTTGTTTGTCTTTCTGGGAGACCCCAAGTAGAAGTCTTGCGTGTGCCTCTTCCTCTAACTGCTCTAGCCTCTGCTTCTGTCATCTCTCCAGGACATTATTAAAATATGTCCTATTATTGTCACCTGCAGTGTCTTCTGTGTCACCAGCACTCTGCTCTATCACTTCACTGACATTGACTCACTCTTGACCTCTCAGGCTCCTTGTGGACTCTTCTTTCTACACCTGCACTACAAGCTCTTTGCCATCTTTCCTATGAATGAATCTTACATGCTCATTCCTTTATCTGGAGAATAAGAAATAAGTTTTCACCACTGCGTCCTGCTCTTTACTTTTAGTGGTGGTAGGAGAATCTATTGCAGTGTCTTAATTCATTAGTAATATCATTTCTATAGGCTTACCCACCCTCTCCACACAGAAGGCTGGTTTGGATAAATTGAAGTTCAGCCTATAACTCTATGAGAGTCTTTCTTCCCTTTCAACACACAAGCCTTGAAGCTAAATCTGGACTACTCACCAGGGATGCCGGTGGGTAAGAGTAGACCTGTTAGTAAGTGAACCAGTTGACCACTCTGAAATCTCTCCATCTCAGCAAGATTTTCTTGTTCTCTGCTTCTTTCAGTGTAGGCAGTATGGGCAGTATTTCTTAGAAGTGCATACAGAATCAACCTGATGATAATCTGAGAGCACAGTGTTATCACTCACAGGGCTTTATTAAGCATTGTCCACACCAATGTGAGGAGTGGCAACTTTAGCAATCTAATGGGAAAACAATAACACAGTGGTAGAAGCCATCTGGAATTTTCTCCCTGCACAATACATTTCTAAGTGACTTTTTTTTTATCTTCTCATGAGAACATTTAGTCTATAAAAAGTATCCATATGAAAGGACTGTTGATGCTTGTCCTTACTCCTTTTGTTCTGGTAATAGAGAGTCACAAAAATGTTATGTAGCTTTCTTTCCCAATGTGAACTGTCCAAAAAAACAAAAAGAAAAGAAAAAAGGATGAACTATGGGTTGTAGAGAATGGTCACTGGGGTGAAGACTATGTAGCCACTATAGGCTCAGGGTAAAAGAGGAAAAGGGTCATACCACTGATAAAGCATTGTCTTTATCTCCATCAGTGGAACATCAACATCACGCATCATCAAAAGACAAGGATCAGCCTCGTGCACCATGATAAGTTGCTGTCAGTCCTCAAATCACGGGAGAAAAGAGGCTTTGCTTGTCCTGAGGGACTTCTTTTCCAAAATGGTCATAAAACAACTGCTAATTTTTTTTCTAACCTCTGTCCCCTTCAAGATGTAGGACTGAGAATTTTTTTGTTTTGAATCATGATAAAATATGACAACTTCTAGTTTCTCAACCGCTGTGTCATTTATGATGTCTCATATTTTCCAATTTCTGGTCCTTTATCACAATGAACCTGACACAGAAGCCATATTGAAGCTAATGCTTTCCTTCTGAAAGCAGAAACAATAAATTGCAAATGGCTAGGAGTTTGACTGTTTTTTAAAATAATTTCTTGCTTTTGTTTCAAGAAAAAATGATATTGATTATAATTTGTTCTTACTGAAACATCTTTATTCTTTTACAAGAGAAAATCTGAGGTTTGACTTTTTATCACTAAAGTTTTGCCACAATGGCAGGGATGTTGAATGAAAGGTTGTAATTTATAAATTTAAATAATTTATTAACCTGCTTTTTCTCATGTATGGGTTTTCATAGTGTGATGATTTTTTTTTTCTTTTTGATGTGCCAGCTTTACTAAGCTACGTTCCCAGTTATTCAGTAAAACACTATTCTAGGTGTTGCTGTAAAAGGAATTTTCAGATGAAACTGAAATCCTCAATCAGTTGACTTTAAATATGGGAGATGGGAGACTATCCTGGATAATCTAGGGCCTGATTAAATCAGTTGAACAGCCGTGAGAGCAGGGCTGGAGGGGTGAGACACACACACACACACACACACACACACACACACACACACACACACAGAGAGAGAGAGAGAGAGAGAGAGAGAGATTCTGCTGTGGACAGCAGCTTCAGCCCCTGCCTGTGGTTTCCAGCCTGCCTGTGATCTTCCCTTCGTGACATCCTGCCCTACAGATTTCAGATTTGTTTAGCCAGCCTCCACAATTGTGTAATTCAATTTCTTGTAATATCTATCTATCTGTCTGTCTGTCTGTCTGTCTGTCTGTCTATCTATCTATCATCTATCTATCCATCTATCGTCTATCTATCTATCATCATCCTCTTCTCCTACTAGTTACGCTTCTGTAGTTGAACCCTAATTGTTACAAAATTTGGTACCTAGAAGTGGGATGCTGTTGTAACAAATACTTAAAAATGTGGAAGTGGCTTTATGATCATGTAGTTGGTGAAGGCTGAAAATTTTGAGGAACATGATAGAAAAAGCCTAGATTAAGTCTGCTATAGACAAGAAATCAAATTTAGGCCTTGGAGTTCAGTAAATCCTTTACCTTTTCTGAATTAAAAAAATCTAGTGTATCTATTTTCATTTGTATCTTAAAATGCTACTGGTGAGTCTATACATGTGTGCTAAAAGCCATAAAATAAGGGCATGAGTTGTCAATTTGTTCTATGAATAAATAACCCAAAGGAGCTGAAGTGAAAAACATTATTAGCTTTATTTATTTATTATTGTTAAAGCTATTTACTAATAGTTTTATTTATTTAATATTCTGCGGAGTCTTCTTGGACCCACAGAGCAATTCTTTTAGGGCACTTACTTTTAAACTCATATAATCTCAGGGTTGGAAGAGGTGTCGTAGATTATTCTCAAGTTCCACTTTGAAGCCTGGCACCTTCTTCCCTACAAATGGCACCCCCAAGAAATGATTGCAAAGCCTGTCCTTAAAGACTTGCACTTGTGGAGACCATCAGACAGAAACAAGGCACTAACTGTTGTGAAGGTCTTTTTTAAACTGAACCAAACCATGCCTCCTCACTTACAGATTTGGGAACAGAGGTACAGAAAGATGACTTAGCTTGTTCACCATCTCCTAGCCGATTAATAGCAATATTTGCTCTTTTGGCTCCTAGTTTAGGGTTGTTTCCACACACACTATCTCTTGAGTAACACACTTATCTCTAAGGTAGACTGGGTGAGTCTTTCTAGGTGTGCAAGGGTAAGCAGGATACTTATGGTGGACCTGAAACTTTTTGTTTTTAACTTTTTGTTTTGAATAATTTCAAACTACAGAGAGTTGCAAGGATATACCAAGAACTCTCATATTTTCTTTACCAAGATACACAAATTTTTACTATTTTGCCACACTTGTTTTAGCTTTCTTTCACTTTAAATACATATATAATACTCGTTTCTGAACGATTTGAGAGTTGGTTACGTTCAGCGTGTACTTTTACCCCTTGATATTTTGGTGCATGTTTCCTAAGAATAAGGATATTTCCTTATATAACCACAGAATACCATCAAATCCAGGAAATTAAACACTAACACAATCCTTTAATCTATGCCAACTGTCACAATAATATCCCTTATGACATCTTCCACTCCTACCATACAGGATTCAGTTCAGAAGATGTATTGTATGCAATTACTGTGTCTCTTTAGTTTCTGTCAATCTGAACTATTTCTTCTGTCTTTCCTTGCCATTCATAACCTTAATATTCTTGAGTACAGGCCACTTATTTTATACAACATTGATTATATTGGATATGTCTGATGTTTCTTCAAGATCAAATTGAAGCTACACATTTTTGACTCAAATACTACATAAGTGATCTTATGTCTTTCTCAGAGTAACACATCTGAAAGGACACCATGTCCAATTGTACCTTATCAATAACATTAATTTTGATCATTTGGATAAGGTGCTGTTTTCTCCACTGTATAGTTTTTTGCTTTACAGTTCACCAGATTCTTCCTTTATCTCTATTGCACCAGATTTAGTATCCATTGAATAGTTTTGCCTAAGTCAATTTTTATCATAATAGTTGCATGTGATTTCATGCTGATTTTCTAATTGTACTTTCTAGATTTATTAGCCAGCATTCTACAGGTAGAAAGATCTATCTATCTGTGATGGTTAATTTTAGCTGTCAACTTGACTAGATTAAAGAATACCTAGAGAACTGGTAAAACACCATTTCTTGGTGTGCTGTGAAGGTGTTTTTGGAGATTGGCCTGTGAATTGGTGGACTGAGTGGGGAAGATCCACCCTCGATGTGGATGGGCACCATCCAATCAGCTGGGGACTAGGATGGAAAAAAATGCAGAAGAAGGGTGAATTCTCTCTTTCTTCTGGAGCAGGACACTTTTCTTCTCCTGCCCTTAGACATCAGAACTCCAGGTTATTCAGTCTTTGGACTTTGGGACTCCTGGAGCTCTTAATCCTTTGGCTTCAGACTGAGAGTTACATCATTAGTTTCCTTGATTCTCAGGCCTTTGTGCTTAGACTGAACCATGCTACCAACCTCCCTGTTTCTTCAGCTTGCAGGTGACCTATTGTGGTACTTCTCAGCCTCTGTAATCACGTGAACCAATTCCCTGGAAAAGCCTCTCTTACTTATCTATCTGTCTACGTCCTATTAGTTCTGTCTCTCTGGAGAATCCTATTTATTATCAGTATGGACTCATGTATTCTTATTTTATTCAGTGGGTTATAATGTGTTATAGTTGTTATTGATTTTGGTTGCTCAAATTGTCTCTGGCTTGGCCAGAGGGAACCACTTCATGGTGCTTCATGTATCCTTTTGCCATGTCTTCATTATTATTATTATTATTTTTAAAATTATTATTATTATTTTGTTTTATTTTTAGCAGCTCCTTGCTTTCTGGCAGAAAATGCTTCAGGTTCATCTTGTGTGCATTTTCTGCTCCAGTCTTGGAATCTGCCATTTCACCTGTGAGTCCTTTTAATAGAGAATGACATTCATTTAAGGATCTAAGTATGAGGTATATTCATTGCTTCTGGGGTGTAATTGCTTCTGGACTTCTCAGCCCTTTCAGTGGACAGAGCTGGGGGAATAAATTAAGTGAGTTCCCTTGAAGCCAAATATTAAGTCTCATTTTTGGACCTGGCTTCTTTTAGGCTTTTTAAGCTTGTCTTAGGCTTGATGACACTTTTTTTTCATTTTGTCACACAGACCCCCAATATGGCTGATAGCATTTTCTTGCATATTTCTACTTCCTCATCCATCAGCATTTCATTGCCCGGGGCTTTCTCAGCCTTTCAGGATCCAGTGAAAGTTTCAAATTCTATCTTGAGAGTAGATCCTCAAAGACTCACATAGTTTCTCTGACAGGTTTCTTAAAGTCTGGACACAAACTGCCTATTCCCTTTGCATTTGTTTATTCTCTAAGAGCACATACATGTTGGTGGTGTTCACCTGAAAAATAGATAATTTTTTAACTGTGAACTTAACAGAGGAAGGAACATAATAAGTCCTGATCTGTGAAGTTTGTCATACTTAGGAAGAGAAGGGAGTCTAGAGTAGAAGAGTAAGTCATTGAATGCTCTTTCCTAATTAAGTGACCCAGAAATGCCATTATTCCCAATTCCCATTCTGGCATTGGAGAAGGGAAGAGGACTGAATGTGACTGAGTTGGGAAAATTGCACAGTGGCAAATAGCTGAGCTGGGAAACAACACACTTTGTAGTCTTTCCCCAGTTTATTTAGCTAAGCTGTCTAGAATTAAGACCCATGACCTCGGGGTATTGTAATAAGTTGGAGCTATAAACCAAACTATCTTTCTGTCCTCAATCTTACAGGCACCTATTTGGACCCATTTAAGCAAGAGCATCAAATACAACTCAGGGAAACTAGAACCTGGAGAGCACTACAACTATTTGGGGCCACAAATTAAGAGCCTATTATTATGGATGACAAGATAAAATGGGCTGCCTCAGGAGGTAAACAATTCTCTAGACGTGCTTCGTGCTTCGAGTAGACTGAATGGGCACGTGAGGGTTGTAAATGTGAGTTGGGCATTGGTTGAATGTGGGTAAAATTAGATGGCTAGGTGGCTTTTAAGGTTCTTTGCAGCTCTGAGATACTGTAGGGCTACTTCTCCATGTTGTATGTATACACAGATAATTTGCACCCTCACAGTGCACTTATTTTCTTTCTTAAATGAAAATAGATGGAAGAAACTGATTGTTTCTCCCACTCAACCCTGGATGCAGTTGAACCCTGCAGAGCATCATTTTTTTCCTGGTGGGGTATGATCTCTTTTATCAGGAAAAAAATTATGAGTACTTGATAATAGCATCAAAAGATGTACAGTTATCAAACTGTTTATACCCAAAGAGAGTTTATACCCAAAAAGAGTTTAAAATGAATTTTATTTTTAAAATTTATAAATTATAATTATGATTTGATGAGAGTAAAGATCAGGGGTTTGTTCAACAGGAACCAAAAACCAGTTTCAAGTAAGGAGAGAGATATATATATATATATATATATATATATATATATATATATATATATATATATATATATATCCCTTGGAACCCATTTCCACAGTATTGCCATGACTACATAAGGCAATGATTTTTTTTAATAGTTATTTATTATGAAAGACAAAGTTTTATCTTAGGAGGTTAGCCACACATATCAAATGCAGTTTATAAGATTCCACAGTACATTTCTAAATCATTGTATAACACATCAGAATTTCTACAGCAGCATGATTTCCTTAAGGACATAGATCCCGTAATTTTAGTAGGTACTCAATAAATAAATTTGATGTATTTTTATTTGTAAAAGAAAACATAAGGTTTGAAAATAGAGAAGCAATTCTTGTTTCTCCGAACTTCAGATGAGATGGCAGAGAATGGATTATTTCTGTAGAAATAAAGCTCCTAAGCCCTCATCAAGCCTTCATGGTTGGCAATGACAGGTATAACTTCTCCCAGGTTCCGGAGGCAGGTGTGTAGCTGCACATGACAGGAGAGCTTTTTCTCAGACAAATGCAGGAATACCAGAGATTCTTGTCAGTTTTTGAAAATTAATTCCTTTATTTGGAAAGACAGAACCACATCAGTTTAGCCATTTCGTGGAACTTGCAGGAGGCCTAGGTGAAGCTGCTCTTCTTTTTTGGTCTCAGAGATACACAATATAGCTCTCTAAAATACTTGGCTTCCTGCTAAGGCAGATTATAGTCAATAGTCCAGGAGGCATTGATGTAGAGGAAATCCCTTATATTTAATCTGCAAAGCTGAAGTTGGAATGTGATGATATTCAAGGGAAAGCTTCAGGTGAAAATGCGTGTCCTCTAGAAAAAGAAAATTACAATTATCCTCTGCACAATTAAAGGTAGTTTCTGTCATCACTACAAGCTACTACAAACTTGTGCTATTGAGCAAGGACTCTATAAAGACCCCAAATGATCATATGGAACTTGAAAATGTACACTTGCATGTGATTTGATCATAAATTAAAAAGGAAATGATGCATTAATGCTTTTTTTTTGTTTTTTGAGACAGAGTCTCACTCTGTTGCCTAGGCCGGAGTGCAGTCATGTGATCTTGGCTCACTGCAACCTCTGCCTCCTGGGTTCAAGCGATTCTTGTGCCTCAGCCTCCTGAGTAGCTGGGATTACAGGCATGCACCACCATGCCCAGCTAATTTTTGTATTTTTAGTAGAGACAGGGTTTTGCCATATTACCCAGGCTGGTCTCGAACTCCTGATCTTAGGTGATCACCCGCCTTGGCCTTCCAAAATGCTGGGATTACAGGTGTGCCACCGTGCCCAGCCAATACTTGGCTTTTTTTTTTTGTTTTAACCAAGAGAAATGTTAAGAAGTTGGTTTTAGAACAAGCCTTCTTTCTATAGGAATTCTGCTCATTGGAGACAGTGGAACAATGGATTTGTGAATGTATTAAAAGGTTGCAATGGATATATGCTATTTTTGCTTGCTGAGCATTTATCCTCACTTGATGAGAAAAAGTACATGAGTTTTCCTTTGGGGTAACAAATTCCATGGTCTCTGGCCAAGTGTCCAGATGGGGCTCTATAGCATGAAGAATGTGACAGTGATTCCCAAGGATATCATATTTGTTTCAGGAAAAGGGATCTGACTGAAGTGGGCCAATCAAAGTCAATTATTTGAGTCTTAAGGATGCTTTCTACAAGCGATGCTCTTTATTTTCTGCTGGACTTGAACATGGAAGGCATGGACTGACTATCTTACCTCTTCATAGAGCCTGAGAATAAGCCATTATATCAGAGAACAAGGCAGAGAGAAAGAAAGAGCCTGGTTTTGCTGATATAGTTTAAACCCTGGGCTCAAACCATCTATATATATATGGTTTTAAAATTCGTATAAATAAATATATATTCTCATATATATATTCATTTATGTGAATTTTTAATTTCTGTGATCAATACATCCTTTATTTGCCAAAATAGCATGAATAAGGTACATATATTATACAACAAAAGGTATTTAACTAATATGTTGATTGAATTAAAGGTGGCTCCTATTCTATGTCCTCTTTAAGACAATGTAGTATTTCTATGAAAATATAAAAGAAAAATTGCTCATCAGGTTACCATGACTCAGAAACTGAAAAGCTCACACAAGTAAACAATTATATTGAATGCTGGTGCAAAACAAGTTTAATAAAATGTAATGCTTTTTTTTTTTTCTCAATTCAACATGAGGGAAACATTATTTCTTACCGTTTTAGAGATCCCCACTTCTTTTGTTTGTAATTCTTATTCCAAGATCCTTTGCAAAATAATTGTCTATACTGTAGTTTAATTTCTTTAAAACTGTGGAAGGTTAAATAATTGTCTGGAGGCAACAGGATCTCATGGTGTCTTTTTCTGGGCTTACAGCTTTACTTGGAGCACATCCTGTATATGTTCCTAAAAAAAAAGTATGTGGGAATTAATTTTTTGGGAAGAATCTAAAAATGTTTAGAGCCTACCCTCACACTTTAAGTTAGCTCAATATAGAATTCTAGTTTGAAAATACTTTTCTTTCATAATTTTGGAGACATTACTCCATTATCTTCCAGCTTTTAGTCATGCTGCTGAGAAATACAGTGTCATTCTTACATCTCACCCTTGACTTATGCTCTGTCGCCTCCCTCCCTCACCATTCACGGACATTCTCTTAATCCCCTGTCTTCAACACAGCACCTTTGTCTCACTCTGCTGAGCTTAGTATCCTTGAGTCCCAAGTCTTTCTGGACTCAATTTCTCTAGAGATTAAATTTTCTCTTCTCTTGAAGTGATGGGTAAGGGGAGGGAGAACTCACCTGGCACAAGGTAGAAGAGGTATCTAGTATCTAATAAATCCTTATACAGTCCCATCCTCTGCCTCCCAAAATGCCCATGCTTCCAATTCCTGAGCACTTTCCAGGGTTCTAAAGATTTTCTCGTTCTGACTCCAATCAATATCCTTCTGTCTAGGTTTCAGCTTTTTTTAATGCATTGAGTCATTTACCACTTCTCAATTCATTCCCATCTTCTAACGTTTTATGGAAATATCTTGCTTGCTATTGTCTCCTTTCCTGTTTTCATTGTCCTTTAAGGTTTATAATGTTTTTTATTCCTTTATGTTATGCTAAAGGTATTTCAGGAAATAAATGTATGTAGTCAAACCATTTCAAGTGGAACTTCTAATTCTCAACTAAAAATAAAATTACTTTATGCATCTATTCATTCTTTACAAATTTCATTAAGGATATAGACCATGGCTGACATCTATTGCATCTTTAGTTTTCCTAACACTGAACTTTGCATTGTAAACCCAACAGTGTTTATCGATGATATATATTTATTCTGTTTGTTTATTTTTTGTGGAGGTACTTATCTTGGTAGATGATAGATTTCATTTTACAAATCCAGAACCTTATGCTTTCACTTACTATATTCTTTTCAAATACCTAATCTGAGTAAGAGACAGAGTCAGGGTGTGTGTGTGTGTGTGTGTGTGTGTGTTTGTGTGCATGCATGTACCTGATCTAGAAATACAAGATACTTACTGCTCACCTATAAGTAGCTCATTATCAACGTGGGGAGTGAGAACTTCTATTCTTAGAATGTTAAAAGCGACATGATAATTAGATAGCAATGGGATAAAAATAAAGCGCTGTTATAAGGTTGAGTTATTTGCCAAACAAGACGTAAGTGTTTGTGCTCCGAAGCTGGGCAGATCTTCCTCTGAATGAGTAGAATAGAAAACTTTCATAATAGGATTAGATTTAGTGAAGCCTTGATGGATAGACTTAAAATTATTTAATTTTTAGACTGATGATCCAAAGACTGCCATGTACTCATGAAATCTAATTTCCTAATCCACTTATTTCTTATCCTTGGCACACAGCTAGACTATATATCTCAGCCACCCTCACAGTTAGGTGGGGCCATGAAGTATTGGTAGAACATCCCGCCATCCCTGTCCTATTTATTAGAAAACCTCTCAGGTGATATTATACATTCTCTGTCTTCCCTAGCCTATGGTCAGTCCTTGCACTCTCGTTCCTGTCCAAATTGACATATGGCTATAAATCTTCATGTGCAACTCTCTTTTCTAACTAGACTTGTGGTTTCTGCCATCTCCTGACTTCCTCACCTAATGCCCCTAGGTTATGGCCTGACACAAATTGAACTGGAAGTGATAGCAAAGGATTCAGCCAAGCCAGTAGGCACTCCACGTGTGGGGCTGAAGCTGGAGATGGGAAGTGAGTTCCACTCTGTACATTTTTCTGGAGTTTGAATCCCTGAACTGGCTGACATATAAAGGATGGTCCACACTGGTTCGGCATGTATGATTTGATTGTAGTGAAATATTTGTTCCCTGAGCCAATCAATAGCTGTCCTATGGGAGGAAATCTCTTTTTCTGCAAATCTTCTTTCTTTCTTTTTTATTTTAAATTTGTTTCTATGTTTTTAATGTAACATTTACATATTAAATGTACACGTTAAAATGCTGGGTTTACCACATGTGTGGAACAGTGCCAAACTGTAGAAATGACTTGGCTGTAGGGGTTAATTCTCTTGATAAGGTTGACCGGCCGGGTGTGGTGGCTCACGCCTGTAATCCCAGCACTTTGGGAGGTCGAGACTGGTGGATCTCCTGAGGTCAGGAGTTTGAGACCAGCCTGGCCAACATGGTGAAACCCTGTCTCTACTAAAAATATAAAAAAAAAATTAGCTAGGCGGGATGGCAGCCTCCTGTAATCCCAGCTACTCGGGAGGCTGAGGCAGCAGAATCGCTTGAACCCAGGAGGTGGAGGTTGCAGTGAGCCGAGATCACGCCATTGCACTCCAACCTGGGCAATAAGAATGAAACGCTGTCTCAACAAAACAAAACAAAAAAACAAAAACAACTGACCATGCTTTGTGAACATCTGGCAACCTGAGGCAATGGTGAGGCTTTTATGAATTCAGGCAGTTGTAAAGTAAACCTGGTATGTGTGAAGGGAGTAGATTACTTAGTGGAATAAACCTTAAAGCACAGGCAATTGTGCACCACACAGCCTTTACCTGCCCAGTGTGGGTATTTGGTGATGAGGGCATGAGGAGAATAACAGGATTGAATTGAGTTCTACATAACCTGCTCTATTTTAGCCTGTCAACTGTGTATAACTCTTAATTCATTAGCTGTTTTCATATTAATTAGCTCCTGCATATTAAGTCTTCTTTCCCCCAATCATGACTCAAAGTTTAACCACTCTTCTCAATTTGTGACATTAAGAAGAGTCATATAATGAATTGCATTTTCAATCAACTGTGCACAGATTGTCTTCAATGACAGGCAAACCCAAGGGCTGTAGTTAAAGCTGCAGAAAAAATCCAAAGACCTTTTGCATATTGCATAAGCACATATGGGATTCTCTGCTTTAGCATCCTATGAGAATGAGGCTGATCAGATTGTTCTGAAGGAAACAAATTATAGAAAAGCTTTTGCCAGAATCTATTGAAATCATTTTCTGTTAGCCAGGGACTATTTTTTATTCCAGATTCTTGTAATTAATTCCATATTCAAAGCCTGTTTTCTATAGGCAGAAAGATACACTTCTTTCTCATTTTTAAAGGGTGACAGGTGGGAAAGTTTCTTAATTTATTTTCTTGGAGAAAACAATATATAGCAAGGCAGCATTACAATCTCTTTTAAGGATTTATTGAACTGTCAAACTCTGGGGGACTGAAGCTGTACAAGGAAAATGAATAAACAGCAGATTAGCATTTAGACAATATTCTTTTACTGCTTGACTATAGGAAATAATGCTGAATAAAATTAATTTGGAATTTGGCAGGAATTTAAATAGTAGAGGTAAAGCATGCAAATAATTGAGTACATCTGAGTCTTGTAGGAACATTTATTGGAGTAAATTAAGGAATACCATGATGACAAAGATTCTTTTGGACGCTCTAAATACAGTCATGCATTGTTTAATGATAGGGTTACGTTTTGAGGAAGCTGTAGGACTGGAAGTTGCTCTGGGTGAGTCAGTGAGTGAGTGTGAAGGCCTAGGACATTACTGTCCACTACTGTAGACTTTATAAACACTTTACACTTAGGCGAGACTAAATTCGTTAAAAAGTGTTTTTCTTTCTTCAATGATAAATTAACCTTAGCTTACTGGAAACTTTTTACTTTATAAACTTAACATTTAAAAAACTATTTGACCCTTTTGTAATAACCTTTATGTACCACACATAGTTGTATGTGCTACATTTTTATATGACTGGCAGTTCAGCAGGTTTGTTTACACCAGCATCACCACATGGCTATGACATCACTAAGCTATACTAGTTTTTCAGCACCATTGTAATTTTATGGGACCGCTATTTTATATGCAGTTTGTCATTGACCAAAATGTCATTATGTGGCATATGACTGTTGAAAACAATAAGAAAGTAATGAAGTTTATATCTATCCAATACTTCTCTGGAATTAAAGAAAAGAAAAAGCCCTTTTTTTTAGCATCAGGTTTTTTTTATCACTAGCAAAATTGAGGACTAAAACCCATTGTTGGTAGTAACCATTGAAACCATAATTTGTTGGTGAGTTGTCTAGGCCAGAAGTATAATGATTTCAAACCCTATGTGCCCAGTTTCTGTCAAGAATAAATAAAGAATGTCCATGTTCTAGTTATTTGGAGTCTTTGGATTGCATTAGATGAGGAAAGGACACATCATTTTTAATAGAAAGTTTTTTTTAAGAGAAGGACCCACTCACCCAATTTAATTACTGTAGTTTATTGAGCATAAAGGGTGGACATTTCAGTTATTCTCCTTACTTTCATTTTATATCCAGTTAGAACTAGGTAGCCTATTTAAAAGTATATGTTCAAAAAAATACTTATATTTAATGGAGAAACTTAAAAATAGCCTCAATTTGAAAGCCGTTTATTTTACTGCTGAAGGCTCCAAACTGTGGCATGACTTCATTAGATTACACAACTAAACAGAATTAGTTCATTGCATTCATTCTTCTTATTCTATGATATCACCTTTTGGGGCATTGTTGGGCCATCTCCATTATGTGTCTTGAAATGCCTGAGTCTATTATCATTTTCAGTCAAGAAAATAGTGGTTCACTCTTTTCATCCCAGCACACTTTATCTAGTAGAAGAATTTGGAAAGAAATGAAGTGACCTCTGCTTAATATGGTTGGGAACAACTTAAAGACCAAAGAACTGGTGTGGGGACAGTCCATCTATAAGAGGACACTAATAGGGACCAAACCACTGCCCAGAGGGTTGTTTAGATGCAATATCATATTCTAAATGGCAGTACCCCACCTTTGCATTTCTTTCTCTTCACTCTTATTAGTTTATCTGAGTGGACATCTTGATAAGTCTATTTTTGCTATGCCTTTTAAAATAAAGGATATCCTTTCTTTGAAGAAAGAGGAAGAAAAGGAAGAAGAAGGAGAAGAAGGAGAAAAGAAGAAGAAGATGAAGAAGAAGAGGAAGAAGAAGAAGAAGAAGAAAGGAGGAGGAGGAGGAAAAGGAGGAGAAAGAAGAAGAGGAAGAAAAAAATAGATTAAAAAAAGAGTAGGTTTGGGATTACAGGAATCTGGGCATCAATTGTGGGTGTGATTAATGAGGGCCATACTGTTTTACCTGACAACAGTGACCCCAACTGGTTGAGTGGAAAATTGCTTAAGAAGACATGCTTGGCCTAAGTAAGGAATGAAAACACAGAGAATCACCATGCCTGAGAGTAGTGAGAGGTGATGGACAGGAGGCGTTTTTTTTCTTCCCTTTGCCTCCTTCTTACCCCCTTCCCTTGCCAACTCTCGCTCCTCCCTTCCCTTTTCTAACTTTCCTTTCTGCTCCTGTTCCACTTCTGTTCACTAACCCAAATGGCTATTTTGTGACACAGACTTGATTTACTATAAATATTTAGTACAAAAATGAATTATGGAGGAAAAAAAAGAGACCCTCCAAATCCATTAATCTCATGACCTAATCCGATATTACAGTCTATGTCCCTTGAGTGCAATTGCATTATTTAAGCATAATAGTGATTTGAATTTATAGATTTCCTAAAGCCACGAGTAGAATTGAAGACCTATCACGTTAGTGTAGATCTCTCAGCATAAAAATTCATTTGAGGCAGTACATTTCAATGCCCAGTGGTTTTTCCTGAGTATGTTTAAACATGAGGTAACCATATATCTCTTGCTTGTACATCGGATTATTTAAATGCTGAGTGCAAAATTGGAAACATATTTGATTTCCTTAAGTCTATTCAGCAGCATAAAACTATTATAAAAACATTTGTAAGGCTAACAGACTTTTTCCTCCATAATCCCAAAGAAACTGTTGTTCAAATGTGTATTGCCAGTAGGTGCTGGCTAGGCCTCAGAGGATTTATAATGAATGATCTAAAGGTTCCCCCTCCTGGCCGGGCGCAGTGGCTCACGCCTGTAATCCCAGCACTTTGGGAGGCCGAGGCGGGTGGATCACGAGGTCAGGAGATCGAGACCATCCTGGCTAACACGGTGAAACCCCGTCTCTACTAAAAATATAAAAAATTAGGCGGGCGTGATGGCGGGCGCCTGTAGTCCCAGGTACTCGGGAGGCCGAGGCAGGAGAATGCCGTGAACCCGGGAGGCGGAGCTTGCAGTGAGCTGAGATCGCGCCCCGGCACTCCAGCCTGGGAAACAGAGCAAGACTCCGTCTCAAAAAAAAAAAAAAGATTCCCCCTCCTGTTGGTGAACAGGAAATACTTCCCTTAATGAGGGATGTTTTCGTGTTATAGTTGAAAGTCCTTCCTTCATTCACCGAATTCCTATTTCATTCCAGTTCCGTGTAGCCATTGAACATTGTGTCTTTGTCTCTCTGGCATCTAAGACCACTTATATCTTAGGAGAATCCCTAATTAGATGTTATCTTGATGGGGTCAGTGTCCACTTCTCAATATGAAAATGCAAAGGGCTAGGTCCTCTTTTTCTCTGATCCTGATAATACTGCCTAGACATAACCCAGCCTGAGTTGATTGGATGCTCCTGCCGAGGATTTTAAATCTTGAATGAGTAAACAAAAGAAAGGATGATAGCGTTTCCTTCACAGAAGTGGCAGTGATGTTGAAAATCCTGTGGTGGAAATATCCTGGCAGGTTAATACTGCTAAAAATGTTTGTGTGCTTCTGGCTTCTTGGTTTTTCAGATATATATTTTCTAAGCCTGATCCTTAAGTTTTCATCAATGCTGAGAGTCCTCAATATTTTTCCAATAATTTTATTTTTGGTTGACAGAGCTAGATTTAGTATCAGTGGTAAATAGGAATACTGGCCTCTATTCTTAACCTCCCCTTACATCCAAACCTTTTGCCTTGTGGCTTTGCAGTCCTTCCCACAGTTGCAATGTGTTCTTCCTCGTACCTTGACTTTGGGCTTAGCCATAACTTGCTTTGTCTAATGGAATGTGAGTGGAAGTGGGAGTGTGTCAGTTTTTAGTTTAGACCTTAGAAGGCATTGCATTTCTGCCTGCCTTCTCATGCTTTTGCTGTTACCTCCTTGATACCTTCTGTTCCTTTATCCTGCACCCTAGAATGAATACCTATTGAATTGCTCAAACATCAGTGAGTATCAAAGTCCAGCTGGAACCACAACTTGAATCAGCACCATTTGCCAAGCCCAGTCTAGACTAGTTGGCTGTCAAAAGAATCAATGATGTGTGAGTTCAGTTGAGTTTAGCAGAACCAAACCTCTCATGCTAACCTGTAGATTCCTGAGACATACATGACTTTGTTTTATGCTACTGAGATTTCATGTCTATGTTTTGCAGCATTACTGTGGGAACAGCTAACTGATATGTATCTGTTATACGCAATTTAAAGTATTTCAGCAGACGTTGATAATATGAAGTGTGTGTGTGATCCTATCTTTAGCTCACTGGGACTAAGTGCTGCATAGCTTTAGCAATTATGTTTTCCTATTCTTTTTCCTGTTGATGGTTGGAATGAGCATGTAACTTAGTTTTTTCCACCAATGAGATGTGTGGCGAGGCTTTCTGTGTGTGTGTGTGCGTGTGTGCATGTGTAAAACTTTTTTTTCCTTTCCTGATAAGAGGGGATACATTGGAAGAGAATTTCTCTGTTCTGTTCTTTCAGTCTTCATGTCTGAAGCTGAGGCAGTTGTCCATGTCCATTCAATAAATTAGTCTGAAGCTTTAGACAACACCTGAGTATAGCAGAGATGGAATGATCCTGAGTGCATTATGCCAATAAACCACTCAATTACCTCTAAGCTTTGTGTTATATGAGAGAATACACTTTCTTTATTTTTAAGCTGCTTGAGTTGGGTTTTCTTTACTTGCTGCTGAAAGTATCCTGACAGGTAAGTGTGTAGTGTGTATGCATGTGGGAATGCAAGGAGGATTAAATACAGTAGAAGTCAGAGTGAAAGGAAGGAAATAGTTAAGGTCATCCCTCATGAAATGGAAGGGATATGGCAGCATACGTTAGGTGGTATGTAAGCTGAGAACAGGTGGAAAACAGCCCACATCTACCTGGATTTTCCTCTGTACCTCCTGCCATACGTTTATTTGCCCTGCATGGATTGTTAAAAAGTAAAGGGAGGCACAGTAAAATTTTAAAGAGTTTATTTGAGCAAACAGTGATTCATGAATCAAGAGTAGCAGTTTCAAACCAGAAGTGGTTCAGGAGATCCACAGAGAGAATACAAGTGGGAGGCATTTATAGGACAAACTCAAAAGTAATACAAAGAAAATATTTGATTGGTTGCAGTCATACAGTTGCCTTATTTGGTGTATCCCATTGGAAAATGCCTAGTTACATAAGTATATGTTTGTTGGTTGCTTCTGACTTGTCGAGCTTAAATTCTGTTTTTCTTTAACTTAGGCATTTACAAGAAATAGTTCAAGTTAAGTTTCACTTACGTTTGCAAAGCAAGCAAGGTTAAGGTTCCTTATGAGGGCCTAACTGGCTTTGTCTGTTCAGGGATTCTTTAGGCTTGGTCTCCATTTTAAAGTGCTTTAATAGAATTAGCAGCAAATGATGGGAAATGTACCACCATTGTTGACCCTTTTTGCAGAGTCCACATCTAGAACACCATGACCCATATAATACTTGCCCTGCCTCTCACTTTTGGAAAGAAGTAAATGTCTAGTAGGTCAGGTTGGCTCCATATCTCATCTGAAATTGAGTGACATATTATTTGAACACCATAACTTTGATGATAGACTCAATCCTGTTGTCCAGCCCGTATCCCAGGCCAATTAAGTCAGAATCTCTGGGGATAGAAACCAAGCATGAATATTTTCAAAGCTTCCCAAGTAAACTTAGAACAACAACAGGCCTTTATGATTCCATGGATCAGAAATCTGGGAGAAGCTTAGCAGGTGTTCTTAGTGGGTGGTTATGGCTAAGGGTGTTTCTTGCGGTTACAGTCAAGGTATTTTTTTTTTCTTTTTTTTATGGGACGGAGTCTCCCTCTGTCGCCCAGGCTGGAGTGCAGTGGCGCGATCTCAGCTCACTGCAAGCTCTGCCTCCCAGGTTCACGCCATTCTCCTGCCTCAGCCTCCCGAGTAGCTGGGACTACAGGCGCCCACCACCACGCCCAGCTAATTTTTTTGTATTTTTAGTAGAGACGGGGTTTCACCGTGTTAGCCAGGATGGTCTTGATCCTGGCTAACACGGATCCTCATGGTCTGCCCGACTGGGCCTCCCAAAGTGCTGGGATTACAGGCATGAACTACTGCGCCCAGCAACAGTCAAGGTATTGATAAGGTGTTGGCCAAGGCTGCAGTCATCTTAAGGCTTGAATGGGGCTGGGGATTTGCTTCCAAGATAGCTCACTCACATGGCTATTGATAGGCAATCTTAGTTAGTTTCTCACTGACTGTAAGAAGGAAGCATCAGCTTCTTGCTAAGTGGTTTTTGTCTCTCTCTAGGGCTGCTTGATGGTTCTTGAAACATGGCAGCTGGCTTCCCCTGAGTAATTCAAGAGAGCAATGTAGATGCTCTGATGTCTTTCATGATGTAGCCTCTTAAGTTATATGCCAATATTTCCACAATATCTTATTTGTTATATCGGTCAGCCCTATTCAATGTGAGAGGGGACTACGAAAGTCTTAATGCCAAGAGTTTAGGATCATTGGGACTGTCTTGGCTGCTACAATGGGATACTAATGAATAAATGATTTGTCCTGATTTCAAAAGTGGATGCTTGGTAGGCTAAATAATGAAATCCCAGGCTTGTGGCTTTCTTGAGGAACTTACATTGGAATCAAACTACTCTGTAGAGCAGCCCTATCAATTTCTGAAACACCAGGTGTCTGGGCGGAGCCTTTGGTCTATCTTAAAAAACATCATTCAAAGGCACAATGTCCTTTAGTGAAGTCCAACTCTGCCTCAAACTAATTTCATTCAGATTCAGATCAGCTGGGATTAGCAGCTGATGCTTAGCAAGCAAATAAATTAGGTGTCAGCTCTATTAGTACTGGTTCTTCTGAAAGTGAGAGGACTTATTATAACTACCAATTGTATATAGCTATAAAAGAGCTCTCTAACGTTAAGAAGTATACTGAATTATATAAAAATTGGGGGTTTCCTTCTCACCTTTTGCCAGCTTTCTGAGTATGGAAAAATAAGGGTTTTCAATGCAGTCCTGCAGTCCTTAGTCCTCTCTCTTCTTCATAATTGTCACTGCTGGAGTTGTTTCCTCCAACCAAACCAAATATTATCTATATACTGATATTGCTAATTTTTAGTCCAAATCCCATACCAAGTGCTGGACTTGCACAGCCAACTTCCTATTCAACATCTATCCCCTTGTGAATGACTACTGGGAATCCCAAATTTTATTCAAAGCCAAATTCTTAATTATTTCTCTATACTTGTTTCTCTATTTTCTTTCTTAGTACCTGAAATTCCATTTTTTTCCAGTTGATCAGGCAAAAGTTTTGGAGTCATCCTTGCACCTCTTTTTCTCTCATTCTTCACATGCAATAATCCATCTACAATGTTTTAAAGAATTCTCCCTGCAAAGTCTCTCTCAAGTCAAATTATTTTTCACTACTTCTACCACTACTATGCTGGTCCAAGGTATCCTCATCTTTTGCCTAGAAGTGCAACAGTATCTTAATGTATCTCTTTTCTCTAACTCGGTCTTTAAAACTAATTTTCCATATAGCATTTTAAAATGGGAGGCAGATGACAGTTTTCTTTTTCAAAATCTTCTGATGGCTTCATATATCTACAACTGTTATTTTGTCCTGTGATGCCTAACATGATCTATTCCCCATTCCTCTTCCACTCTCATTATCTCTCTGCCCTTATCTCTTACTCTCTCCCATATGCACTCCGCTTCACTCCACTCCACTTCACTCTCAAACTGGCCTTCTTGCTATTCTTTGCACACTAAGCATACTCATTCACCCTCAGGGCCTTTGTGTTGCCTGTCCCCACTGTCTAGAACTTCCTCACTACCCCTCATACTGCTTGATTTGCTTTCTTCCTTCTTTTATATCTCAGCTTAAATATCTTTCTAATAAAGAGGAATTTTCTTCCCTCCATATATAAAGAGTATTTTATTCAACCTCATGAATTCCCCTTACTCTATTCTTTTTCCTTCAAAATATTTATTATTACTTGATGTCCATTTCCTCATTTTATTGTGACAACCGTAATAGAATGAAAAGCTTCATCATGACAGCACCATTTGCAGTTTTGGTCTTTGCTGTATTGAGAAATATTAGAACCAATCATGGAAGATAGTAGGTACTCAATAAATGTGGTTTGAATGGAATTAGATTACATTTATTCATGACATTTCCTAAAATTTCATGTTCATATATCAAGACTGTCCTCTGAATAGCAAAACCAAAGTAAAGTACCACTGTGCCAAATATTTAAGGAGCAAAGTTACAGAATAAAAGGGGATCTTTAATATGTTCACTATTTCTTAAATTATCAACCTGAATTCAATATATCTAGGATTGATGAGCAAAATTATGAATTTAAATGATCATAAGATGTAACAGTATGTTTAATTTAAAAGACATTGTAGAAAGCAGACTTGTAAAAATCTTAAAAAAGTAGACTTTTTTCTAAAAAACAGACAAAAAAATGCCAGCACAGTGATAATTCAGGAAGTTTTATTTAATAGCAGCTGGTGTCTCTCTGATATATTAGAAAATACAATTAATTTTTTACACAATATTATACCGAAGCATATTTTGCTTTCATATTCTTGGAAGAAAATCCACTAGCTTAGGGCTACCAACCTGGCAGGACAAGTCAGTTATCAGACAGAGTAATCCAACACACCAAACAACTTCTATGCATAAATGGCACAATGATATAAACGGTGGCTGTGTAAAGTAAATTTGTTTGTGGAATTAAGGGGGTAGTATAACCACCCTAAGAGTGGTAGTGCTAGGGAACCAGAATAAAATCAAAGAAAGGAACAAGAAAAAGAGGGGGATTTCCTCTTCCGCTCTCATTACCTCTCTGCCTTTATCTTTTACTCTCTCCCATATCCACTCCACTTTACTCCACTCCACTTCACTGTCACACTGGCCTCCTTGCTATTCTTCGCACACCAAGCATACTCATTCACCCTTCAGGGACTTTGTATTGCCTGCGCCTGAGAGACAGGACTAGCTGGATTTTCTAGGCTGACTAAGAATCCCTAAGCCTAGCTGGGAAGGTGACCACATCCACCTTTAAACATGGGGCTTGCAACTTAGCTCACACCCGACCAATCAGGTGGTAAAGAGAGCTCACTAAAAAGCTGATTAGGCAAAAACAGGAAGTAAAGAAATAGCCAGTCATCTATTGACTAACAGTTTAGCTGGAGGGACAATGATCGGGATATAAACCCAGGCAATCGAGCCGGCATCGGGTACACTCTTTTGGTCGCCTCCGTTTGTATGGGAGCTCTGTTTTCACTCTACTAAATCTTGCAACTGCACGCTCTTCTGGTCTGTGTTTGTCACGGCTGGAGCTGAGCTTTCGCTCGCCATCTGCCACTGCTGTTTGCCACCCTCACAGACCCGCCACCGACTTCCATCCCTCCAGATCCGGCAGGGTGTCCGCTGTGCTTCTGATCCAGCAAGGCGCCCATTGCTGCTCCCGATCGGGCTAGAGGCTTGCCATTGTTCCTGCATGGCTAAGTGCCCGGGTTCATCCTAATTGAGCTGAACACTCGTCACTAGGTTCCACGGTTCTCTTCCGTGACCCACGGCTTCTAATAGAGCTATAACACTCACTGCATGGCCCAAGATTCCATTCCTTTGAATCCCTGCGGCCAAGAATCCCAGGTCAGAGAACACAAGGCTTGCCACCATTTTGGAAGCAGCCCGCTGCCATCTTGGAAGCAGCCCACCACCATCTTGGAAGCAGCCCACCACCGTCTGGGGAGCTCTGGGAGCAAGGACCCTCCGGTAACATCCCCACTGGGGATGTAAATATATAAATTTATATATATATAAATAAATATATAAATTTAAATATGCTTTTTTGAGGACTTCTTGGGCTGTTACATATCTAATTTTTTTGTCAGAATAATGAAATATTGTTAGAAATTCTTCATTTTGTCCAGCCTACCAGTTGATAGAGCTGTGAGAATTGGTTCTTAGATTGAGAGATGGTAGAGTTTATGCCCCTCTTATGTTGATGAATTCAATTATGCTGCTGTCAACTTCTCAGTTACTGGTTTTTTTACCTCAGCCATAATATAGGTCATGTCTACACAGATAAACAAGTTTGAGAGATCGATCAGTCACCACAGCAATTAAGTAAAATAATTTAAAGCTGGAACTAGTTTGGAATTTTGGCCTGATGTATCCAGCAATTCAACAGATACTTAACTGGTTTGTTTATGTGGATACAACCATAGCAGCAGGCACTTTTTCTGCATGATCCTGTGCTACTAGTGACTTCAATAACTAAGATAAATGGGCCCAAAGAAGAATGAACAATGAAGAACTTTAAAACTGCTTTTAAGAATCAGGGATCTTAGCAAGATGGTGGATAGGAGGCAGGACCAGCTTGCAGCTCCAGCTCGGACAGACACGTAAACACTCATATTGTGAACTTTTGCTACAGAACTGCTGCAGGAATATACTAGGAAAGCTGAGAGAATCCACAGACCCTCTGAAGGAAGTGGATTGCTTCTGCAGGACCCAAGAAACAGCCCAAATACTGTGAGTGCCCAAACTGTGACAGTGGGAAAAGAGGATTGTCTGCCCCCAAACACACCCTCACTGGGGAACCTGGAGGTATAGATCATGGAAAATGGATTTGACCTTACCTGGATCTGAGTCAGTTTAGAGAGCTGAGAGAACTACAGGGGTGTAAGAAGCGGCGGGAAAAGCCCTGTGGTCTCTCTGGGTCCCCAGAGAAGCCATTTCTGACTTCTCTCACAGGGGTCCTTGAGGAGGGCTGCCAGAGTAACTGGGAAGAGACCACAGGGAGAAGGAAACCTCCAGCTAAACTTGGTAACAATTCCAACCAAAGGCGAAGTCTCCTGGCCAGAATTCGGGGGAGGGTGTGAATTCAATGCAGACTCAACAGGCTGGGAGGCGTGAAAGCCCTGCTTGCTTTCTCAGATGGAAAGCTGGTAGCCTGGGGCAAGTTCTCAGCCATACCCACTACTTGGAAACAAACTCAGGGGGAGCACAGTGGGAGTGAGACCAGCCTTTTGGGATGTATAGGAGCTGGGTGAGGCTTGTAACTGCTGGCTTTCCCCCACTTCCCTGACAACCTGCATGACACAGCAGAGGTAGCCATAATCCTCCTGGGAACATAACTCCATTGACCTGGAAACCACACTCCCATTCCCCACAGCAGCCATGGCCCCACCCCTTGGGCAGGAGTTGCCCAAGGAGAGTCTGAGCTCAGACAAGCCTAACCCTGCCCGCACTTGATGGTTCTTCCCTACCCACTCTGGTAGCTGAAGACAAAGAGCATAATCTGTTGGGAGTTCGAGGGCGCTGCCCACTTCCTGATTCTCCATATTCTACCATAGCTGATACTCTCTTGAAAGTACCACCTCCTGGCAGGAGGCCAACCAGCACAAAAATAGTGTATTAAACAACCAAAACTAAGGACACTCACAGAGTCCATTTCACTCCTTTTCCACCTCCACTGGAACAGTTGCTGGTATCCGTGGCCGAGAGACCTGAAGATGATTCACATCACAGGACTCTGCAGACAACTCCCAGTACCAGCCCAGAGCCTGGTAGCCCTGCTGGGTGGCTAGATGCAGAAAAGAAATAACAATTACTACAGTTCAGCTCTCAGGGAGTCACATCCTAGGAAAAGGGGGAGAGTACTACATCAAGGGAGCACCCCATGGTGAACAGCAGAACAAAAGAATGTAAACAGCAGGCTTGAGCCCCAGATCTCCCCTCAGACATAGCTTACCCCAATAAGAAGGAACCAGAAAAACAATTCTGGTAACATAACAAAACAAGGCTCTTTAGCACCCCCCACCATCAAAATCACACTAGCTCACCAGCAATGGATCCAAACCAAGAAGAAATCCTTGATTTAACCTGAAAAAGAATTCAGAAAGTCAATTATTAAGCTAATCAAGGAGGTACCAGAGAAAGGAGAAGTACAATTTAAGGAAATAAAAAAAAATGATAGAAGATATGAGGGTAGAAATCTTCAGTGAAATAGATGGCATAAATGAAAAACAGTCACAACTTCAGGAAATAAAGGACACACTTAGAGAAACGCAAAATGTTCTGGAAAGTCTCAGCAATAGAATCGAACAAGCAGAAGAAAGAACTTCAGAGCTCAAAGACAAGGTTTTTGATTTAACCCAATCCAACAAAGACAAAGAAAAAAGAACTTTAAAAAGTGAACAAAGCCCCGCAGAAGTTCGGGATTATGTTAAACAACCAAACCTAAGAATAATTGGCATTCTTGAGGAAGAAGAGAAATCTAAAAGTTGGGGAAACATATTTGGGACTTAATTAAACTAAAGACCTTTTGCATGGTGAAAGGAACAGTCAGTAGAGTAAACAGACAACCCAACGAGTGGGAGAAAATCTTCACAATCTGTACATCCAGCAAAGGACTAATATCCAGAATCTACAAGGAACTCAAGCAAATTATCAGGAAAAAAACAAACAATCCCATAAAAATAGACATGAATAGACATGAATAGACAATTCTCCAAGGAAGATATACAATGGCCAACAAACATATGAAAAAATGTTCAACATCACTAATGATCAGGGAAATGCATATCAAATCCACAATGTGATACCACCTTACTCCTGCAAGAATGGCCATAATAAAAAAAAATATAGATGTTGGCATGGGTATGGTAAACAGGAACACTTTTACACTGCTGGTGGGAACTAGTACTGAGGGAAGAGAGAGACCCTCTCATATTGTTTTATATTGTTTCATACTCAGTACCTGTTTTTTTTAAAAAAAAAAAAAACCAAGGACGTAAAACCCAAGACAGGCAGCTGGGCGCCAGGCCCGAAACCAGGTCTGGGCCTGCCTGGCCTAAACCCAGTAGTTAAAAATCAACTCATAACTTAGAAACCAATGTTATTCATAGATTCCAGACATTGTATAGAAGAACATTGTGAAACTCCCTGCCCTGTTCTGTTTCTCTCTGACCACCGGTGCATGCTGCCCCATCACGTACCGCATGCTTGCTCAAATCAATCACGACCCTTTCATGTGAAATCTTTAGTGTTGTGAGCACTTAAAAGGGACAGAAACTGTGCATTTGGGGAGCTTGGATTTTAAGGCAGTAGCTTGCTGATGCTCCCAGCTGAATAAAGCCCTTCCTTCTACAATTCAGTGTCTGAGAGGTTTTGTCTGCGGCTCGTCCTGCTACAGTACAAACACTGTGGAAAACAGTATGGAGATTCCTTGAAGAACTAAAAGTAGAACTACCATTTGACTCAGCAATCTCACTACTGGGTATGTACCCAGAGGAAAATAAGCCATTATACAAAAAACATACTTGCACACACATGTTTATAGCAGCACAATTTGCAATTGCAAAAATGTGGAACCAGCCCAAATGCCCATCAGTCAACGAGTGGATAAAGAAACTGTGGTATGTATATATCATGGAATACTACTCAGCCATAAAAGGAATGAATTAATGGCATTCACAGCAACTTGGATTATATTGGAGACTTAATCTAAGTGAAGTAACTCAGGAGTGGAAAGCTAAACATTGTATGGTCTCACTCATAAGTGGAAGCTAAGCTATGAGGACGCAAAGGCATAAGAATGACACAATGGACTTTGGAGACTTGGGGAAAAGATGGGAGGGGGTTAGGCATAAAAGACTACAAGTAGGGTGCAATGTATACTGCTCGGTGGTGGTTGCACCTAAATCTCACAAATCACCGCTAAAGAACTTATTCATGTAACCAAACACCACCTATTCCCCAATAACCTATGGAAATAAAATATTGATAAAAGAGCTTACTCATGTAACCAAATACCACCTGTTCCCCCAAAATCCTATGGAAATTAAAAAAAAAACTGACTTTAAAAAAAATTGTGGCAGACTGTAATGTGAGTATGAACAGCTTTTATTTTATCATGACACTTCAGATACTCTGTTTTGTTCTTTAATCATTTTAATGGAGGAGATGCATCTAGTAGGCAATCTGTTGTTCACTCTTTTTTAAAAAAATATTTTTCTTGGAAAAGATATTAACCTGAAATATGTGCATAAATTTTTTCCTTTTCCTTTCATTATTTCAGTTTTTTTTTCACTACGTTGGCATTGTTCTAAGCACTGAGGTTTTCTTTCTTTATCTCTCTCTTTGCTTTAAAAAGATGTAGAGGGTGGGTATGGTGGCTCATGCCTGTGATCCCAACACTTAGGGAAGATGAGGTGGGAAGATCACTTGAGTCCAGTAGTTTGGGACCAGCCTGGGTAACATAGTGATACCTCATCTCTATGAAAAATCAAAAAATTAGCTGAGTGTGGTGTCACACACTTTTAGTCCCAGCTACCCAGAAAGTTGGGGTGGGAGGATTGCTTGAGACTGGGAGGTTGAGGCTACAGTGAGCTGTGATTGCATCACTGCATTCCAGCCTAGGAGACAGAATGAGAGCCTGTGTCGGAAAAAAAATGTAGAAATGAATTAATCTATAAGCATATAAAGGAAGTGTGAACATTTAAATGGAAAAATATATAAAAGTTCAGCCTTAATTGTGTTTTAAACCAATATTACTAAAATGTACTTATCTACACTTCAGTCTGAAAGATTAGCAAGCTGATAGAGACATTTTAAAATTACGATTTTAGCATTATAGATTTCTGTTTTTTTAAATCAAGATGTGAATACAAAATAAAGAAAAATGATGAGTGATATTGGATTCCTATCAAATATGCTCATATTCAGACAAAGTTATATGAAATGCAAATTTCATGCCAATTAAAATTATCATATTCAGAAAACAACATATCCTGAGATTATACACTTCATATTTTAATACTTGTGCATGCAATACATTTGGAGTATATAATCATGAAATTGTCAAGTTTTTGTGCATAGAAAGAAATAATCTATTATCTAGCATGACAAATGGCCAATAACCATTCCTGTGTCTTCTAGTAAAAGCAATATTCATTCCTTTGACTTGGTAATCATCATTCAATGATTTACCATTTCTTTGTGCTTTTTGAGGCCCTTAGCAAATTGCAAACCTCGTATTTTTCAGGAGAAACAGTTGGAATAAATTAAGAGGAGCAGACCGATATGCCATGCAACAAATGAGAAAACCACATTAGGGTTTATAGGGGGCCTATCTTCAGTGTTGAAATGGTTTTTCCTTCATTCTTATGGGAGCCCCATTCTCATCTTCAAGCTTGAACCGTTCAGCTTGTTTTCTCTTGGCATTCGAATGGAAAAGTAGAGTGAGCCAGGCTTTAAATTAAATAGCAGAGTACTCTTGGGATGGGGGCCTAGTGCTATTCATAGGGAGTTGTTTTTATTCTCTGCTTTGCCCCTTCTTGGATGAGTTAGATTGGAGTGTGTACCTCAGTTCTCCATTCTATAAACAGAATGCAGTCACTCATTTACAGAGCCTTGTTAATGCCTATGCACACTTTCAAGAAAGTATTGAAGCCATCACATGAAGCTTTTCAGTATGATCCTTTTCCTTAAATCTGTGTTGAAGGTCTGGCTTGTTATAAGTACCCCTCTATTTTGAAAATGAACGATGTTTGAAAGATTATTATTGTGGAAAGAATTGGCACCAAAAATCAAGTGCCAGTCTTTCTTATTCCAAACACATTGGAACTTCTTGACAAACTGGGTCCCTGAGTGAAATCAACCTAAAGGAAAGGGAGTTTGAAACTGGCAGGAATATTTAAATGCCCACCCAATAAGTCAGAAATTATAATCACCCTGGCTGAATTTCCTTATAAATGAAAAGTCCTGCAAGTTTTGCCATGAATTAAGGGTAAATAGATTCAAAAGTCATTTATAACAATTCGTATCTAATCCCAACACATCTTTGTCAGGACTGTAGTCTAAGCCTTGGATAACAGTGGTTTATGATAACTGAACTGAATTGCTCTTGAGGCAGTTAGAAGTTAGAAAATTGGTTACTAGCCAGGTTATATTAGGCAAAAATCATGTAATCATTATGAACCTTATTTCTTCATCTTTAAGATGGGGTATGTTCTCTCATAAGATTACAATATTAAATAATTTTAATATAAAATATGTTTAGTACTGTTAGTGGCCTCTAGTAAGAATTAAAAATCAGTATTATGTTGTTAGATGGTTAATATATCTATCACCCTAAACATTAAGTGAATGAGTTAATATGAACCATTAGACACACTTGTAAATTTCAGGACATTTTATTTCTTTTCTTCTTATTTATTTATTTTTTTGAGATGGAGTTTCACTCTTGAGTGCAATGGCTTAATCTTGGCTCACCACAACCTCCGCCTCTTGGGTTCAAGTGATTCTTCTGCCTCAGCCTCCCAAGTAGCTGGAATCACAGGCATGCACCACCATACCCAGCTAATTTTTGTATTTTTAGTAGAGATGGGCTTCACCATGTTGGCCAGGCTGGTCTGGAACTCCTGACCTCAGGTGATCCGCCTTCCTTGGCCTCCCAAAGTGCTGGGATTACAAATGGGAGCCACTGTGCCTGGCCCAGATATTTTATTTCCAAAAATGTTTCATTACTTTTACTTTTTCTTGGCTCAATTGCCTTCTTTTGCCACTTTCCTTAAAAGCTATGAGTACTTAATTTTTACTGGTTCTTTTACTTAGTGAATTACTTAGTGAATTATGCCAATTATTGCTCACTAGGACAAAAGTTAAAAAGCTTATCTATGCTATGCTGTGATCAACTCCATTTCCACAAAGTGATGATGAACAAACTGATGAACTCTTCCTAATCTGGTAAGGCCACTGATGGTTGTAAGAGGGGAGATATCAGTGATTCTCAACTCTGCTGCTTGTGAGAATCACCCTGCCTGAGCTCCATACCTGAAGATTCTGGTTTAATGGATCAGGTAAGGACCTGTCCTGACTGGGTGCTAAAAGCTCTCCAAGTGCGTTTACCATGCAACCAAGATTGAGACTCACTGGGTTGTCTGTATGGAAGCTTTGGTTTTAGCAGAGTTGCTCTTAACAAGGTCTAAATTGTGAATTTATCCATGTTTTCATCAAGGGTAGTAACTAGCACTTGGGAGTTAACCTTGTTTGTTTTTTAGGTTGCTTTAGTTTAGTTCAACTCATGCACTGAAGATTTCAAGTTCAACTGTAACTTTTAAGGAAATTTTATTCCCCCTTTGCTGTCTATGTTATGGCTTATACGTGAAAGGCTCCCACTTCGAATGTGAGAGTTAATTGGACTCATTTGCAACTATTGAGTGCATTGCCCAAATTTAGACAAGCAGTATAAGTGAACTCCAGTTAGTGTGGGCATGAGTTTGGCATCCTTTTTTTTCTGTCTTTCTAATGCTACTGAAATTTTTTAGAAGTGCCTGCTATTGTATTTTTAGTCTTTGGTTAGTGATGTTTATATCAAGCACAGGTAATATCACATTTAGTAACTGATGAATCCACAGATGAAGAGAACATGTGAGCTTCCCTTAAGGGAGGCTGCTAGGTGCAGCCCACGTTACACCTTCCTGACTGTCCTGTATTGGTCCATCTGTCTCCACATCTCGTTCCTACCGCCAGGGCTCTTCGTTCCACTCTGGAACTTTGAGAAGGGCCCTTCCTCAAGGACAAACTTGAGCGCTTCCTCCTCCATAAACCTTTTCCACTTCTGGCTATCCCTGCCTCTGTGATCCCATCTTCCTTTTCATTCCTGTTTTCACCCACCCCATAATCCAGTTACTTCAAGGCTGCCGTTTATACTTTTTACGTCTGCATCTTGTCTTTGTAACTAGCTTTAAACTATTTCAGGTTTAGGGAAATTCTATTGGCTTTACGAATAAGGTCCTGTATTTCTTGATAAATGTGTGATGGTGGTGGTGAAGTAGAAATTGCTTTTGAGAAAAAGAATAGACATGGTCTGGATTTATTAGGGAAGACAACAGAGAAAGTAGAACTTGAACAGACACAGAGGATTTGGTAGAATTTATGTTGTTGGAGGAGAGATCCGTCTACAAAGTGCTATTTTTGGTCAGGCATGCATATTCTGTCTGTGTGTGTGTGGCCTGTGTGTGTTTACAAACATACACATAATATGTACATGTAGTGCCTTACTTCTTAATACATGACTTCAGAATCTTCCCTGATATATACCAGTTTTGCATATCTGATATATACCAGTGTTTCAATTTCCAGTCTGCAAGTGAGGGCAAAACATACGTCTTTGAAACTTACTTCTAAATGCCAAGTAAAGGAATGTACACATTATTCTGATTCGTATACACCCTTAACTGGAGTGAATTCTAACTGTTGTTCCTTATCATTTTTCAATAACATGATCGGGAAAGAAGGAATACTAATGTTATCTTATAACCTTAGCACTTGCTATTTAAAAATTTGTAGCCAAATGTCTTCCCATATGCATTTTGAACTAGGAATATTGTATTGGAATAGAGCATCAGTGATCTCATTCACTTAAAAGTTTGTTTGGCATTGCATGTGAAATTAAAAGCTTTTAAAGTTAACTGTGTAACAGAGATGCAACTGGAACTCTTGTCAGCAGTCCTAGCTCTGACAGCTACCTTAACTGCATAATTGGAACATGGGAGATACAAGAGGAGGGATAGTAAAATTAGCCATTAACCTGTTTTTAATTATTATGGCATTGATGTCAAGTCAATGCCACTGTCACAAAATCATCTTCTTTTGCTCATTTGGTTTGGGGGACTAGACTTTTCTGTCCAGTAAGGCATTTATTTATTCAAAATTTAAAGCTTAATTTTAGGTTGAGGGCCTTTCTGTATACCCAATTTTCTTTTTCTTCTGAGGACTACTCAGCTTTCTTACAACATACTTGACCTTGCATCTAGCCTTCCTCCTAAATTTCCCTGTGGTTTTGTATTCAGCATTAGCTGACTCCCACAGTAAATTCAGTGTGCCCAATTACTTTTCATAATGAAGCTCATGTAAATTGGAGTAGAGCAGAGGTTTTATTAATGAGACTGATCTATTATTAAGGTTGCTTCGATTATCTTTTCTGAATAGTGAGATGAAAGTCAGAAATAATATAAAGTCTCTTGTCAATAGGCTTGATAAAGAAAAGGAAGCTTGGGAAATTTATATTTCTCAATTGTTTTTTTGCTTTTGGCAAGGCAGAGTAATTTATTTCAAGTCCTATTCTAGTATTTTATAATTTCAACTAGAAAAATTCAGATCTTCTAAAGGTATATCAGTCATACATATTGAAAATTTTATTTATGTGCAATATGGAGCTGAATGGTGGTATCCTTTGGAATCCATGTATAGCAGATTTTCTTGAATACTCATGTTTTCATTTCTTATTTTCTGTTTTATCTTCTTAACCTTCTTATCTATTTTATGAATATGCTTATGATTATCATGAATGTATCTGGATTTTTAGTGTACAAAACATGATCAATGTGTCAGTACTCAGCTCACTTTTTTTTAACTTAAATAGTAGGATTATTAATGGTTAATACTTCCTGTGGTTCCACAGAAAAAAGAATAAACAGCAAGGTAATACAGTTTCAGAGTGAGGTGGGGCCCTTCTAAATGCTCCTCAACCTGCGCTAGCTACTTGCTCTGTCTACTTTATAATCGCCATTGTTTTGAGCAGGTATCTCAAAGCCTTCATCAGTGATCTTATTAATTTATATGCTTCCTGTGAATTATTTCCATGTTTTCTTGTGTTTCTGACTGTTTATAATAATTTTAAGCAGAAAGAATTAAAACACATTCAGAGATGAATCAGGCAATCCACATTAAAAAAATGACATTGCACAGAGCACTGGTATGTAGAGAGAAGTAGAGGATAATTAGAATAAAGCTCAGATGGGCTTCCTGAGTTTGTGAATGAAGGTTATATATTGGATCATGTAAAGAGACATGATTTTGTCAGCTTCAGATGGGGAGGAGGCCAGGTTAACACTGGCCTTAGATCGGAGAGGAAGGCAATTGAAGAGTGTGGAGTGCTCTGTGGCATACCAGATACCAATATTTCTATTTGCAAGTGACAGAAAATCAATTCAAACTGACTTAATTAAAAAGAAAATCTGCTGACTTACAAATTGGCTTAATTAAAACAAATTATGGGCTTACATAATTGAAATCCAGAGAAGGCATCTCTAAAGGCAAGCATATAATTGTGTCAGAAATGTCTCTTTCTTCACCTCTTGATTGTGTTTTCCTGTGTTGGTTCCATCCTCAGCTGAGCTCTCCTCAGAAGCTTCTGAGCTGTATTTGCCTTGTTTCCCAACCCTAATGGAAAGAGAGCTGCTTTTCTAACAATTTGCATTAGTTTCTGGACTAATATTTGTAAGTCCAAATTGATTCATTAGTCCTTTGTGAGCTAAACAGTGTAGTCAGAGGATGCAATGACCTGACTGCTCTGTCCATTTTTGAGCTTGGAATGGAATTGGCCCCACCCATCCAGACCACAAGGACTGAGGGAGTGGGGAAGGGAAGCTCTCCCAGAGAAACTTGGGAACTGATAACAGATGAATGGGCAATAGAGGAAATAGGCCAATAAGCTGAAAAGCAATTAAGAGGGCTGATGGCATACGGTTGCAAATAATATCAGGATGAAGAATGGTCCTTAAGGGAGTAAGGGCTTCAGGGAAAATATAAACCAGGCATTGGTGCCTTTATAGGAGAATCTAAAGAAAAAACTATTCAGAAAATTATAATGCTAATACCTGGTTAATGGTTATTAAGAGAATGAATAGCTAAAGCAAAGAACATATTTTCATGCAAAGGTCTTAAATAATTAGAAAAATATGAGGAGGATTGATCAAACTAAAGGATTCTCAAAGTTTTTGAGGAGAAACTTTTAGGTCCAAATTATTTGTTCTTAGCAAGAGTGGGTGTATTTGTGAAAACAGAAAACATCCTCACAAGACAACATTTGTTTTTCAGTCTCTGCTTATTTATATGCCATTCAATAAAATTGTAATGCAGGCACAAGTGGCTTCATTTTGCTGGTAAAATACTGCATGTTTGTCCAGAATAACTTAATTTGTCATGGAGAGAAAAAACATGTTGTTACCAAGTCCCATTAACTTGAACTATAGACAAAAGCTTGTCACTCTGGAACTATAGACAAAAACCTTGTCACAAGGGATTGACTTGGTTAACATGTCAAAATTAAACATTGTTTGTGAATTTATTCTTGTTTTCTTTGATTATTTTTTAAATAGTAAAAATGAAATTTCATACCAAGGTATAGAAAGACAAATAAGGTACAACTTTGGATTTTTGATAATTTTTGTTTCTAAGGAATAATTTTGCCAGACAATTTGACATGTGTGTCAGAAAACTCAATGCAACAGAATCCAATTCAGAAATTATTTATTAAAGATAGGTACTGCAGAGTATAAAACAAACAGAACTTTTCCTGCTTTCAAGCAATTTTCAATCTAGCACAGAAAAAAGTGCTGTATAATCAAGTACGACATAATTATAATGCATCATAAGTTCTATAAGAGCAGTATAAGTCAAATATTATAGAGGTTCAGAGAGGGAGGTGATCATTTGGTTGGGGGAAGAAAAGAGAGGAAGGACTGTGAAGGAAGTGACACTGACATTTATGCCTTACATTTTTTTTTAACAGATCTAATTACTTAGCAAAATGCTCTTCTATTAGAATAAATAATGGAGAGGCAAATCCTAGATTATATTCCAAGAATAGGATGAAGACCATGAAGAGAAGAGGTGGGAACTGAGGCTGGAGAGGAAGACTGAAACCACATGAGAATATAAACAATGATTCACATCTGGATTCCAGAAGATCTGGTGACAGATTTAGTGTGAGGATTGTAGGAGAAGGTAATAAAAAATGCCTGAGGTGTTGAGCGTGGAGGAATGGGAGATAGCTGATGCTAGAAATAAGAAAGTCAATGGGAGTTGTCAATTACTGTGAGAAGGTGAAGATATAATAGGTTTGGGATAAATTAATTTTGAGTGCTCAGGAAATAACCAAGTAATGTTTAGGGTAGAGAAAACATTTAACTGCAATATTCTGCCTGGAGGTAATGGTTGAAGCCTTGAGAAGAATGGATGAAATTAGAGAATGAGAGAAAGTTTGAGGATAGGGACTGGAAGACTTGGAGAAAAGAAGAATAAGGTGGTAGTCTGTAGATGAATGGAGTTCAGTTTTTCTTGTAATTTATCTCTGATCTTGTTACCAATTTCTTCTACATGTGTCTTCTGTCAGAATTTACTGTTGTTCTCTCCCATACCAATGTTGGCTTCGGTTTGTCTTAGAAGAGGTTTGCTGTTTAATCAGATCTTGGGTAAGAAGAATCAGGTTCTTATCTTGGCAGTCAGATTCCTGGTGACTTGATTTATTTTTTGGCTTGTGTTTCAGAACTTTTATCCACTGTGACCTCAGATACATACCTTCTTAACCTGTAACTTGAGGTATCAGTTAGGTATTCATCAGAAAACAGATGAAAAATTCAAAAGGGTAAGTGAAAAAAAAGAGAAAAGGTTTAATAAAGGGGCAATTTTCAATGGTAATGGTAGGGTTAAAGAAACTGACAAAGGATGGTGAAGCAGGAAGCTATTGCTCCTCTTGAACTTAAAGGAATGAAGGAAGTGATAGTTATTGGAAGATGGGGAGAATTGTAGCTGCAAGAGGAGATCCAGAGTGACAAATTACCCTTGAGAGAAAAATATAGCCACTGCCACACTTCTACTCAGCAGGGAGGGATGCAGCAGTAAATTCCCTGACCTCTCCCTTTTCCCACCCTCCATCTCCTGCCAGTACCAATGAGGAAGCCAGAGGGTAAGGGAACCCAGGTGGTGTCATTAGTAGAGGTCAGCTTGCTGAGGAAAAAAGCAGAGAGACATGTTATTTTACACCTGCCTATACTACTTAGACACTAGCTTCTTGCTTTTTATGATCTCTAATAGATAAAAATGAATGTTTCAAAGGCACTGAGGAGATGTCAAAAGCTTCTTCTTTTTCCATTCCCCTTTTGCTTTTTCTCCTACATCTTAAGCTGTGGAGTATTAAAGAATTTGAAGAAAAATAAAAGCAGAAGGCAAAAAAGACAGGAAGATGTGTAGAATGGGAGACTTCTTTTTATGTCTCTGCACAAAAAAAATGGACATTATATATCATTAAGAATTTGGCTACTAAATACACTTAAGAATTTGGCTCAGAAGTTCCATATTCCTCAACCTGACTATGGGAAACTTTTCTTTTAAAGGCAGTAGTAAGCACCACACTGTCACTGTGACAGACACCCTTGGCTGCTTACCCAACCTCCTTCCCATACTTCCTTCTGCTATTAGACTCTCATTTCGTTCACGCATTGGTGGTCAAGGGCTTTAGGAAAGGGGTAAATCTTTATTAAGAAGCTAATTTAGGTGTAGCAGTCTAAATACTATTTTTTTTCATGAGTTTCATAATTATAATTTGGGTTCCGAAGCTGAGGACAAAAAGCATTCAAGGATCATATGTTTTAAAGAGTGTAGATCATCTGTGAAGAGTTTCAAATAATTGATACTAAAAACAGATCTGGTGATTTTTAGTTCATCAACCACATCATGAGTACATGAGAAGTAAGGAGACTCTAAGTGAGAAGATTTTATTGGAGAGCGTTACTGGAGTTCTGTGTCTCTGCTCACTTTTCGCTGAGTGAACAGACAACTTGAGCAAACCATTCATAGGGTGTGGGTGAGCTACGGAAGTCCCTAAAGTCCTGGTACAGCCAAGGGATCCACAGAGAGTACAGGAAGATGATTCCTGGGAGAACCTAACATGGTCCCATTGATTTGGGAAGCCAGAGAGTTCTTAAGGCATGTCTCGGAGCTACCCAGTAAAGTGAGTGGAGAGCGTCTCAGTGGATACATATTGTTTTCTGCTGATATCTCTTTTTCTCATTTATCTATTTATCTATCTATCTATCTATCTATCTATCTATCTATCTATCTATATCTATTTATCTATCTATCTATCTATCTATCTATCTATCTATCTAATCTCTCTGTCTGTCTTTACATTACTTTGTTGACACCATTGATCATCAGTAGTGGGAGACTCTGGCACTAATATCCATAAGTATACCTGATTTAGTTCTGGGAAATACTTTTGTAAAGACAGAATATAATGCAGAAAACATAAAGGAAAATTCTGATAGCCCTGGATACACAAAGACTTAAAATTCTGCTGGACAATATTAATAATGAATCTGAAAAAAATTGCAGCATAAAAATCCAAAGGATTAACATCTAATAAATCTCCCTCCAGATGTTCAAGAGAGGCAAAGTTGATTCATAAAAGAAGAAATGTGAGAAGCCAATAAATATGTGCAAATACGCTTAAAACTGAGAGTAAGCACTTGCTCTGCTGGTGGGGGTACAAATTGGTAAAATCAATTTAGCAATATGTCTCACAATATTTCCCTTTTGATTCAGTATGCCCCATAGTAACATTCTCTTCAAAACAATGATGAACAGAGACATCTGTGAAGGAATATTCATAATAGTGTTATTTATATTTGTGAAAAATTGGAAACAACTTATATCTCCACAAAAATAAGCAAATCCATATATTTTTGTGGTGAAATACTATGCAACTATTAACAATCATATTTTAATGACCTGGCAGTATTGTGATATGAGGTTGTTAAAAAAAAATAAAAGGATACACACAGGGCAAAAAGAGCACTAGCCATAAACTAGACTTTATTGAAATGGAAACATTATACTTATTCTTATTGAAATAAAAAACTATTAGTAAAATATGAAAGGCAAACCACAGACTGGGAGAAAATATCTACAATATGTATATCTGACCATTGCTGCAACTCAATGATGAAAAGAAAACTAACCCAATAAAAAATGAGCAAAAGGCTTCAATATTTCTTAAAAGAAGAGATAAGTATGGCTAATAAGCACATGAAAAGGGAGTTTATATCAGTGGTCACCAGAGAAATGCAAAATATAGCCACAATAAGACACCACTATATACCCATTGGAGTGGCTAAAGTAAATTAAAAAAAAAGAGGATAATATCAAATATTGGCAAGTTGTAGAACTACTGGAAGTCTCATATACTACTAGAGGGAATGTAAAATTGTACAACTCTTTTGTGAAACTATTTGACAGCTGCTTATAAAGTTAAATATAATACCTACCCTATAACACAGCAATTCCATCCTAAGAGTTACTCAAGAGAGAAACAAAACTACATGCCTACAAAAGACTTATACAAGAATATTAATAGCAACTTTACTCATACTAACCAAAAATTGTCAGCAATGTAGCTGTTCATCAACAGGCAAATATGTAAACAAATTGTAGTATTGTTCATAATATAGAATGTTATTCAGCAGTAAAAAGGAAAGAAATACAAAATCAATAAACCAATGATTCTCAAAAATATTATGTCAAGCTAAAAGAAGTCCGACAGAAAGAGGACATAAATATGATTTTATATATGTTAAGTTCAAGGACCAACAAAATAAACCTATAGTAATAGAAATCAGAATAGTGGTTGTCTCTGAGTGAGAGTGGCAATAGAGTGCAAAAGAGCATATGGAAATTTTGGAGTAATGGAATCATTCTCTTTATTGAAGTAAAGATTACATGGGCTTATAAAATTGTCACAACTCACGGAGTGGTACACTTAAGACAAATGCGGTTTATTGTTTATAAATTATAATTCAGTTAAAAAATGACATGAAACTGTATAATCTGGATAGGTGAGGTCGATGGGCAAGAAATGCTTAAATTTTCCTTTAACTGAGATCCAGCAGAAAGAGCTAACCCACTAGTTGATTTGGCAGGTGCTTCTCTGCAATAGAGATGGAAATGTAGACTAATGATTCTTTGCTTTTTTCATTTGACTAATGATTCTTCTGTCTCAGTGGTATCCAATCCATCTAGTTCCCCTTGCTCTGATTGTATGTTCACCAGGAACATTCTCATTGCAGTAATTGTTTCCCTATGAAGATGTTCTTGTTGGAGAAAGAAGGTGCTGATCAGTAGACATGTACTAGGCTGTTAGGTTCCTAGCTATAAGTTCATATATAGGTGCTCTGTTTAATATATTGACTAGCATCAATGGACCCTCTAGTTGACCTTTCTGATCCTGCAATATTGAGAAGGTGACTCTGGCACAGGACCCCACCTGCCATGGATGTCCACAGGACTATGGATGTCCACAGGACTCTTTAAAAAAAGCCAGTTCTTTCCCTGCTCAACAGGGAATGGTTTTAATTGCAGTGTACACATGACTTATATATTCAGTCTCTTTGGACAGGTTTGGCATGTCATACATTAGAATCAGGCCCATCCGTGTTGTGATGCTGGTTTTAAATTCCAGCAGGGTCCAGAGATGGTGAGGGGCTGTAGGCATGAAGAAGACTGCCTTCCAATTTGAGCTTTATTACATTTTAACATTAAGTCCCCATTTCGGTCATGGTGGGTTAAAGGCATAATGTTTCTGTTGTTTGCTGATATTCTCACTATAACTGCTGCTCACTGCATTCATGGAAATAAAGGAGATGCTGTTAAAGAGATGATGGTTAGTGGAAAGATGGTGCCATTACTTTGATTGGGAAAATGAGAAGAGGGGAAAGAATAACACAAAAACTACTTCAGAGAGTCAGAAGGACACTCTTTTCCATTTATTTTCCAGACTGTATTTTTTTTTCTTAAATTGCCTTAAGAAGAATCAAAGGAGAAGTTAGTTTATTATTGCTTCAGATAACCTGGGAATTTACCATGAAATGAACAAAAAATAATAATAGTATGAACATCAATAAAAGCTCTGTTTGGAAAAAATTGCTTTGTGTAGAAAGGAAATTCTGTAATTTATCCTAAACTGCATTCACTAGATTCATAGCACGACGTAATCCTATTATGTACCATCTTGTGTGACTAAAATTATGGGATCTTTTTCTTTTTCCTTAAAGATGAATCATGCTATTCAGACAGTATTTTATTCTTAGAGCTCATAGGTTGTATACAAAAAATGTAAAATATTTACAAATATACACATATGTAATTTCACCTATAGTTATAGGGTAAAAGAGCATTTCAATAGTATTTTAAAGATGCTCTGGGCAGCTAGCAAGATGGTCGAATGGAAACAGCTCTGGTCCTGCAGCTCCCAGCAAGACCAACACAGAAGGTAGGTGATTTCTGCATTTTCAACTGAGGTACCTGGCTCATCTTACTGGGACTGGTTAGACAGTGGGTGCAGTCCACAGAGGGTGAGCCAAAACAGGGTGGGTCATCACCTCACCCAGGAAGCACAAGGGGTCAGGGAACTCCCTCCTCTAGCCTAGGGAAGCCAGGAGGTACTGTGCATGAGGGATCATGTTATCTGGCCCAGATACTATGCTTTTCCCATGGTCTTTGCAACCCGCAGACTAGGAGATTCCCCTGGGCACCTACACCACCAGGGCCCTGGGTTTTAAGCACAAAACTGGGCAGCTATTTGGGCAGACACCAAGCTAACTGCAGGAGTTTTTTTTTCGTACCCCAGTGGCGCCTGGAATGTCAACGAGACAGAACTGTTCACTCCCCTGGAAAGGGGGCTGAAGCCAGGGAGTCAAGTGGTCTTGCTGAGTGGATCCCACCCCCAGGAAGCCCATTAAGTGAAGATCCACTGGCTTGAAATTCTTGCTGCCAGCATAGTAGTCTGAAGTCTACCTGGTATCCTCGAGCTTGGTGGTGGGAGGGGCATCCACCATTACTGAGGCTTGACTAGGCGGTTTTCCCCTCACAGTGTAAACAAAGCTGCCGGGAAGTTCGAACTGGGCAGATCCCACTGCAGCTCTGCAAAGCTGCTGTAGCCAGACTGCCTCTCTAGATTCCTCCTCTCTGGGCAGGGCATGTCTGAAAGAAAGGCAGCAGCCCCACTCAGGGGCTTATAGATAAAACCCCCATCTCCATGGGACAGAGCACCTGGGGGAAGGGACGGCTGTAGGCACAGCTTCAGCAGGCTTAAAGGTCCCTGCTGACTGGCTCTGAAGAGAGCAGTTGATCTCCCAGCACAATGCTCAAGCTCTGCTAAGGGACAGACTGTTTCCTCAAGTGGGGCCCTGGCCCCTGTCCCTCCTGACTTGGAGACACCTCCCAGCAGGGGTCAGTCGACACCTCATACAGGAGAGCTCCAGCTGGCATCTGGCAGGTGCCCCTCTGGGACGAAGCTTCCAGAGGAAGAAGCAGGCAGCAATCTTTGCTGTTCTGCAGCCTCTGCTGGTGATACCCAGGCAAACAGGGTCTGGAGTGGACCTCTAGCAAACTCCAGCAGACCTGCAGAAGAGGAAAACTAACTGTTAGAAGGAAAACTAACAAACAGAAAGCAAAAACATCAACATCAGCAAAAAGGACACCCATGCAAAAACCCCATCTGAAGGTCAAAAATATCAAAGATCAAAGGTAGATAAATCCACAAAGATGAGGAAAAACCAGAACAAAAATGCTAAAATTCCGAAAACCAGAATGCCTCTTCTCCTCCAAAGGATCACAATTCCTCGCCAGCAAGGGAACAAAACTGGACGGAGAATGAGTTTGACGAATTGACAGAAGTAGGCTTCAGAAGGTGGGTAATAACAAACTCCTCCAAGCTAAAGGAGCATGTTCTAATCCAATGCAAGGAAGCTAAGAACCTTGACAAAAGGTTACAGGAACTGCTAACTAGAATAACCAGTATCAAGAAGGACATAAATGACCTGATGGAGCTGAAAAACACAGCACGAGAACTTCATGAAGCATACACAAGTATCAATAGCCGAATCAATCAAGTGGAAGAAAGGATATCAGAGATTGAAGATCAACTTAATGAAGTAAAGCCTGAAGACAAGATTAGAGAAAAATAATGAAAAGGAAAGAACAAAGCCTCCAAGAAATATGGGACTATGTGAAAAGACCGAATCTACGTTTGATTGGTGTTCCTGAAAGTGACAGGGATAATGGAACCAAGTTGGAAAACACTCTTCAGGATATTATCCAGGAGAACTTCCCCAACCTAGCAAGGTAGGCCAACATTCAACTTCAGGAAATACAGAGAACACCACAAAGATACTCCTCGAGAAGAGCAACCCTAAGAGATGTGATCATCAGATTCACTAAGGTTGAAATGAAGGAAAAAATGTTAAGGGCAGCCAGAGAGAAAGGTCGGGTTACCCACAAAGGGAAGACCATCAGACTAACAGTGGATCTCTCTGCAGAAACCATACAAGCCAGAAGAGAGTGGGGGCCAATATTCAACATTCTTAAATAAAAGAATTTTCAACCAGAATTTCATATCCAGCCAAACTAAGCTGCATAAGCAAAGGAGAAATAAAATCCTTTGCAGACAAGCAAATGCTGAGGGATTTTTGTCACCACCAGGCCTGCCTTACAAGAGCTCCTGAAAAAAGCACTAAATATGAAAAGGAAAAACTGGTACCAGCCACTGCAAAAACATACCAAAATGTAAAGACCATCGACACTATGAAGAAACTGCATCAAATAATGTGCAAAATAACTAGCTAGCATCATAATGACAGGATCAAATTCACACATAACAATATTAACTTTAACTGTAAATGGGTTACATGTCCCAATTAAAAGACATGGACTGGCAAATTTGATAAAATTCCAGACCCATCAGTGTGCTGTATTCAGGAGACCCATCTCAAGTGCAAAGACAAATATAGGCTCAAAATAAAGGAATGGAGGAATATTTACCAAGCAAATGGAAAGAAAAAAAAAGCAGGGGTTGCAATCCTCTTCTCTGGTAAAAGAGACTTTAAACCAACAAAGATAAAAAAAGACAAAAAAGGGCATTACATAATGGTAAAGAGATCAATGCAACAAGAAGAGCTAACTATCCTAAATATATATGCACCCAATACAGGAGCACCCAGTTTCATAAAGCAAGTTCTTGGAGACCTACAAAGATACTTAGACTCCCACACAATAATAGTGGGAGACTTTAACACCCCACTGTCAATATTAGACAGATCAACGAGAGAGGAAATTAACAAGGATATTCAGGACTTGAACTCAGCTCTGGACCAAGCAGACCTAATAGACATCTACAGAATTCTCTACCCCAAATCAACAGAATATATATTTTTCTCAGCACCACATTGCACTTATTCTAAAATTTACCACATAATTGGAAGTAAAACACTCCTCAGCAAATGCAGAAGAACGGAAATCACAACAAACAGTCTCTCAGACCACAGTGCAATCAAATTAGAACTCAGGATTAAGAAACTCACTCAAAACTGCACAACTACATGGAAGCTGAACAACCTGCTCCTGAATGACTACTGGGTAAATAACAAATTAAGGCAGAAATAAGTAAGTTCTTTGAAACCAATGAGAACAAAGACACAATGTACCAGAATCTCTGGGACACAGCTAAGGCAGTGTTTAGAGGGAAATTTATAGCACTAAATGCCCACGTGAGAAAGTGGGAAAGATCTAAAACTGACACCCTAACATCACAATTAAAAGAACTAGAGAAGCAAGAGCAAACAAATTCAAAAGCTATCAGAAGACAAGAAAAAACTAAAATCAGAGCAGAATTGAAGGTGATAGAGACACGAAAAACCCTTAAAAAAAATCAATGAATCCAGGAGTTTGTTTTATGAAAAGATTAACAGAAAAGACTGCTAGCAAGACTAATAAAAAAGAAAAGAGAGATGAATCAATAGACACAATAAAAAGTGATAAGGGGAATATCACCACTGATCCCACAGAAATACAAACTACCATCAGAGAATACCATAAACACCTCTATGCAAATAAACTAGAAAATCTAGAAGAAAGGGATAAATTCCTGGACGCATACACCCTCCCAAGACTAAACCAGGAAGAAGTTGAATCCCTGCATAGACCAATAACATGTTCTGAAATTGAGGGAGTAATTAATAGCCTACCAACCAAAAAAAGCCCAGGATCAGATGGATTCACAGCCGAATTCTACCAGAGGTTCGAAGAGGAGCTGCTACTATTCCTTCTGAAACTATTCCGAACAATAGGAAAAGAGGGACTCCTCCTTAACTCATTTTATGAGGCCAGCATCATCCTGATACCAAAATCTGGCAGAGACAAAACAACAACAAAAAAAGAAAACTTCAGGCCAATATCCCTGACAAACATCAATGCAAAAACGCTCAATAAAATACTGGCAAATCAAATCCAGCAGCACATCGAAAAGCTTATCCACCATGATCAAGTTGGCTTAATCCCTGGGATGCAAGGCTGATTCTTAGATATTAGATAAAGATTATTTTCAACAGATTTTTTTCCAAAATGATTGCTGTATTTTCATAATAGTAATTATTTCTCTTGTACTATGACATTTTTATTTTTGAAATTTTTTATATTGAGTTATCCTTAACTTGGGGTAGTAAGTCTATGAGTTACTTTTCATAAAGGGGAAGTGAGCGTTTTCCACAAACATAGGTGAAAAAACACATTTCGTGAGTGAAAAATTTGACTCTTAGGTATACAGTTTGTGGGTTACAATCTTTCCCTTTACTACACTATAAACATTATTTTATTGTAGCCAGCTCTCTAGATTTTTTTTTAAAAGAAAAGTGCAAGGTCAGTCTGTTTTTTATTTCTTTTATATAGCATGTTGTTTTTAACATTTTCATTTTTTATTTGAAACATTTTAAATTTATTCTTAAAATTAACACAATATTGAACATGTTTATATATCATTATTTTTACTCATCTTTTTTTAAACATTGTAAGTCATTCATCTGTCCCAATTTTGTCATCAACTCAGAGAAGATTTCTTCTCTTATTTTTGTAATTACTACCACCCCATTTGTTTACATTTTTTTTCTTCTGGACTTCCAATTATACAAACCTTTGATCTTTTTATTATTTTCTGTATTTTTCCTTTTATCATTTTATTCCCTTATGATTTTCTTTAAATCTTTAAAGAAAACCTTGAACTTGTCTCCTACTATACTAATTGGTTATTTTATAATAGCCAGTTCTATATTTTCTTTCATTTTCTTAAATTGCTTTCATACAATTTAAAATTTTCCATTAGATTTTTCCATTTATGTGCAGTTTTACATGACCTCACATATATGTAGATTTTTATTATGACTACCTGATCTAGTTTCATGGACAAAATATTCTTTTGATACCTGTCAAAAACTCAAATTAAAATATTTAAAAAATATTGATACTAATTTAGTAGTTTCCTAAATTTCTTAGCCAGGAAATCATTATTTCTGATTGTGCCAAGTGAAATTTCATTTAAACTGCATCATATTCTTAGTGATTTTAAGGTTCTTTTCTTTTTTTAAGTTTTTTTTTCTTTTATTATTATACTTTAAGTTTTAGGGTACATGTGCACATTGTGCAGGTTAGTTACATATGTATACATGTGCCATGCTGGTGTGCTGCACCCACTAACTTGTCATCTAGCATTAGGTGTATCTCCCAATGCTATCCCTCCCCTCTCCCCCCACCCCACAACAGTCCCCAGAGTGTGATGTTCCCCTTCCTGTGTCCATGTGATCTCATTGTTCAATTCCCACCTATAAGTGAGAATATGCAGTGTTTGGTTTTTTGATCTTGCGATAGTTTACTGAGAATGATGATTTCCAATTTCATCCATGTCCCTACAAAGGACATGAACTCATCATTTTTTATGGCTGCATAGTATTCCATGGTGTATATGTGCCACATTTTCTTAATCCAGTCTATCATTGTTAGACATTTGGGTTGGTTCCAAGTCTTTGCTATTGTGAATAATGCCTCAATAAACATACGTGTGCATGTGTCTTTATAGCAGCATGATTTATAGTCCTTTGGGTATATACCCAGTAATGGGATGGCTGGGTCAAATGGTATTTCTAGTTCTAGATCTCTGAGGAATCACCACACTGACTTCCACAATGGTTGAACTAGTTTACAGTCCCACCAACAGTGTAAAAGTGTTTCTGTTTCTCCACATCCTCTCCAGCACCTGTTGTTTCCTGACTTTTTAATGATTGCCATTCTAACTGGTGTGAGATGGTATCTCATTGTGGTTTTGATTTGCATTTCTCTGATGGCCAGTGATGATGAGCATGTTTTCATGTGTTTTTTGGCTGCATAAATGTCTTCTTTTGAGAAGTGTCTGTTCATGTCCTTCGCCCACTTTTTGATGGGGTTGTTTGTTTTTTTCTTGTAAATTTGTATGAGTTCATTGTAGATTCTGGATATTAGCCCTTTGTCAGATGAGTAGGTTGCAAAAATTTTCTCCCATTTTGTAGGTTGCCTGTTCACTCTGATGGTAGTTTCTTTTGCTGTGCAGAAGCTCTTTAGTTTAATTAGATCCCATTTGTCAATTTTGTCTTTTGTTGCCATTGCTTTTGGTGTTTTAGACATGAAGCCCTTGCCCATGCCTATGTCCTGAATGGTAATGCCTAGGTTTTCTTCTAGGGTTTTTATGGTTTTAGGTCTAACACGTAAGTCTTTAATCCATCTTGAATTGATTTTTGTATAAGGTGTAAGGAAGGGATCCAGTTTCAGCTTTCTACATATGGCCAGCCAATTTTCCCAGCACCATTTATTAAATAGGGAATCCTTTCCCCATTGCTTGTTTTTCTCAGGTTTGTCAAAGATCAGATAGTTGTAGATATGCGGTGTGATTTCTGAGGGCTCTGTTCTGTTCCATTGATCTATATCTCTGTTTTGGTACCAGTACCATGCTGTTTTGGTTACTGTAGCCTTGTAGTATAGTTTGAAGTCAGGTAGTGTGATGCCTCCAGCTTTGTTCTTTTGGCTTAGGATTGACTTGGTGATGTGGGCTCTTTTTTGGTTCCATATGAACTTTAAAGTAGTTTTTTCCAATTCTGTGAAGAAAGGCATTGATAGCTTGATAGGGATGGCATTGAATCTGTAAATTACCTTGGGCAGTATGGCCATTTTCACGATACTGATTCTTCCTACCCATGAGCATGGAATGTTCTTCCATTTGTTTGTATCCTCTTTTATTTCCTTGAGCAGTGGTTTGTAGTTCTCCTTGAAGAGGTCCTTCACATCCCTTGTAAGTTGGATTCCTAGGTATTTTATTCTCTTTGAAGCAATTGTGAATGGGAGTTCACTCATGATTTGGCTCTCTGTTTGTCTGTTGTTGGTGTATAAGAATGCTTGTGATTTGGCCGGGCACGGTGGCTCACGCTTGTAATCCCAGCACTTTGGGAGGCTGAGGCGGGTGGATCACGAGGTCACGAGATCGAGACCATCCTGGCTAACACAGTGAAACCCCGTCTCTACTAAAAAGCACACAAAAAAATTAGCCGGGCGTGGTGGCGGGCGCCTGTAGTCCCAGCTACGCGGGAGGCTGAGGCAGGAGAATGGCGTGAACCCGGGAGGCGGAGCTTGCAGTGAGCCGAGACCGCGCCACTGCACTCCAGCCTGGGCGACAGAGCGAGACTCCATCTCAAAAAAAAAAAAAAAAAAGAATGCTTGTGATTTTTGTACATTGATTTTGTATCCTGAGACTTTGCTAAAGTTGCTTATCAGCTTAAGGAGATTTTGGGCTGAGACAATGGGGATTTCTAGATATACAATCATGTCATCTGCAAACAGGGACAATTTGACTTTCTCTTTTCCTAATTGAATACCCTTTATTTCCTTCTCCTGCCTAATTGCCCTGGCCAGAACTTCCAACACTATGTTGAATAGGAGCGGTGAGAGAGGGCATCCCTGTCTTGTGCCAGTTTTCAAAGGGAATGCTTCCAGTTTTTGCCCATTCAGTATGATATTGGCTGTGGGTTTGTCATAGATAGCTCTTATTATTTTGAGATACGTCCCATCAATACCTAATTTATTGAGAGTTTTTAGCATGAATGGTTGTTGAATTTTGTCAAAGGCCTTTTCTGCATCTATTGAGATAATCATGTGGTTTTTGTCTTTGGCTCTGTTTATATGCTGGATTACATTTATTGATTTGTGTATATTGAACCAGCCTTGCATCCCAGAGATGAAGCCCACTTGTTCATGGTGGATAACCTTTTTGATGTGCTGCTGGATTCATTTTGCCAGTATTTTATTGAGGATTTTTGCATCAATGTTCATCAAGGATATTGGTCTAAAATTCTCTTTTTTGGTTGTGTCTCTGCCCGGCTTTGGTATCAGAATGATGCTGGCCTCATAAAATGAGTTAGGGAGGATTCCCTCTTTTTCTATTGATTGGAACAGTTTCAGAAGGAATGGTACCAGTTCCTCCTTGTACCTCTGGTAGAATTTGGCTGTGAATCCATGTGGTCCTGGGCTCTTTTTGGTTGGTAAGCTATTGATTATTGCCACAATTTCAGCTCCTGTTATTGGTCTATTCAGAGATTCAACTTCTTCCTGGTTTAGTCTTGGGAGAGTGTATGTGTCAAGGAATTTATTCATTTCTTCTAGATTTTCTAGTTTATTTGCGTAGAGGTGTTTGTAGTATTCTCTGATGGTAGTTTGTATTTCTGTGGGATCGGTGGTGATATCCCCTTTATCATTTTTTTATTGCCTCTATTTGATTCTTCTCTTTTTTTCTTTATTAGTCTTGCTAACAGTCTATCTATTTTGTTGATCCTTTCAAAAAACCAGCTCCTGGATTCATTAATTTTTTGAAGGGTTTTTTGTGTCTCTATTTCCTTCAGTTCTGCTCTGATTTTAGTTATTTCTTGCCTTCTGCTAGCTTTTGAATGTGTTTGCTCTTGCCTTTCTAGTTCTTTTAATTGTGATGTTAGGGTGTCAATTTTGGATCTTTCCTGCTTTCTCTTGTGGGCATTTAGTGCTATAAATTTCCCTCTACACACTGCTTTGAATGCATCCCAGAGATTCTGGTATGTTGTGTCTTTGTTTTCGTTGGTTTCAAAGAACATCTTTATTTCTGCCTTCATTTTGTTATGTACTCAGTAGTCATTCAGGAGCAGGCTGTTCAGTTTCCATGTAGTTGAGTGGTTTCGAGTGAGATTCTTAATCCTGAGTTGTAGTTTGATTGCACTGTGGTCTGAGAGATAGTTTGTTATAATTTCTGTTCTTTTACATTTGCTGAGGAAAGCTTTACTTCCAAGTATGTAGTCAATTTTGGAATAGGTGTGGTGTGGTGCTGAAAAAAATGTATATTCTGTTGATTTGGGGTGGTGAGTTCTGTAGATGTCTATTAGGTCCGCTTGGTGCAGAGGTGAGTTCAATTCCTGGATATCCTTGTTGACTTTCTGTCTCGTTGATCTGTCTAATGTTGACAGTGGGGTGTTAAAGTCTCCCATTATTAATGTGTGGGAGTCTAAGTCTCCTTGTAGGTCACTCAGGACTTGCTTTATGAATCTGGGTGCTCCTGTGTTGGGTGCATATATATTTAGGATAGTTAGCTCTTCTTGTTGAATTGGTCCCTTTACCATTATGTAATGGCCTTCTTTGTCTCTTTTGATCTTTGTTGGTTTAAAGTCTGTTTTATCAGAGACTAGGATTGCAACTCCTGCCTTTTTTTGTTTTCCATTTGCTTGGTAGATTTTCCTCCATCCTTTTATTTTGAGCCTATGTGCGTCTCTGCCCGTGAGATGGGTTTCCTGAATACAGCACACTGATGGGTCTTGACTCTTTATCCAATTTGCCAGTCTGTGTCTTTTAATTGGAGCATTTAGTCCATTTACATTTAAAGTTAATATTGTTATGTGTGAATTTGATCCTGTCATTATGATGTTAGCTGGTGATTTTGCTCGTTAGTTGATGCAGTTTCTTCCTAGTCTCGATGGTCTTTACATTTTGGCATGATTTTGCAGCGGCTGGTACCGGTTGTTCCTTTCCATGTTTAGCGCTTCCTTCAGGAGCTCTTTTAGGGCAGGCCTAGTGGTGACAAAATCTCTCAGCATTTGCTTGTCTGTAAAGTATTTTATTTCTCCTTCACTTATGAAGCTTAGTTTGGCTGGATATGAAATTCTGGGTTGAAAATTCTTTTCTTTAAGAATGTTGAATATTGGCCCCCACTCTCTTCTGGCTTGTAGGGTTTCTGCCGAGAGATCAGCTGTTAGTCTGATGGGCTTCCCTTTGAGGTAACCCGACCTTTCTCTCTGGCTGCCCTTAACATTTTTTCCTTCATTTCAACTTTGGTGAATCTGACAATTATGTGTCTTGGAGTTGGTCTTCTCAAGCAGTATCTTTGTGGCGTTCTCTGTATTTCCTGAATCTGAACGTTGGCCTGCCTTGCTAGATTGGGGAAGTTCTCCTGGATAATATCCTGCAGAGTGTTTTCCAACTTGGTTCCATTCTCCCCATCACTTTCAGGTACACCAATCAGACGTAGATTTGGTCTTTTCACATAGTCCCATATTTCTTGGAGGCTTTGCTCATTTCTTTTTATTCTTTTTTCTCTAAACTTCCCTTCTCGCTTCATTTCATTCATTTCATCTTCCATGGCTGATACCCTTTCTTCCAGTTGATCGCATCGGCTCCTGAGGCTTCTGCATTCTTCACGTAGTTCTTGAGCCTTGGTTTTCAGCTCCATCAGCTCCTTTAAGCACTTCTCTGTATTGGTTATTCTAGTTATACATTCTTCTAAATTTTTTTCAAAGTTTTCAACTTCTTTGCCTTTGGTTTGAATGTCCTCCTGTAGCTCAGAGTAATTTGATCGTCTGAAGCCTTCTTCTCACAGCTCATCAAAGTCATTCTCCGTCCAGCTTTGTTCCATTACTGGTGAGGAGCTGCGTTCCTTTGGAGGAGGAGAGGTGCTCTGCTTTTTAGAGTTTCCAGTTCTTCTGTTCTGTTTTTTCCCCATCTTTGTGGTTTTATCTACTTTTGATCTTTGATGATGGTGATGTACAAATGGGTTTTTGGTGTGGATGTCCTTTCGGTTTGTTAGTTTTCCTTCTAACAGACAGGACCCTCAGCTGCAGGTCTGTTGGAGTACCCTGCCGTGTGAGGTGTCAGTGTGCCCCTCTTGGGGGGTGCCTCCCAGTTAGGCTGCTTGGGGGTCAGGGGTCAGGCAACCACTTGAGGAGGCAGTCTGCCCCTTCTCAGATCTCCAGCTGCTACTGGGAGAACCACTGCTCTCTTCAAAGCTGTCAGACAGGGACATTTAAGTCTGCAGAGGTTACTGCTTTCTTTTTATTTGTCTGTGCCCTGCCCCCAGATGTGGAGCCTACAGAGGCAGGCAGGCCTCCTTGAGCTGTGGTGGGCTCCACCCAGTTAGAGCTTCCCTGCTGCTTTGTTTACCTAAGCAAGCCTGGGCAATGGCGGGCGCCCCTCCCCCAGCCTCACTGCTGCCTTGCAGTTTGATCTCAGACTGCTGTGCTAGCAATCAGCGAGACTCCGTGGGCGGAGGACCCTCCGAGCCAGGTGCCGGATATAATCTCGTGGTGCGACGTTTTTTAAGCCCGTCGGAAAAGCGCAGTATTCGGGTGGGAGTGGCCTGATTTTCCAGGTGACAACCGTCACCCCTTTGTTTGACTAGGAAAGGGAACTCCCTGACCCCTTGAGCTTCCCGAGTGAGGCAGTTCTTCACCCTGCTTTGGCTTGCGCATGGTGCGCTGCACCCACTGTCCTGCACCCACTATCTGGCACTCCCTAGTGAGATGAACCCGGTACCTCATATGGAAATGCAGAAATCACCCGTCTTCTGCGTCGCCCACGCTGGGAGCTGTATAGCTGTATACCGGAGCTGTTCCTATTCGGCCATCTTGGCTCCTCCCCCCTAAGATTCTTTACTTATCCTTACAGAAGGAGGTTTACTTTTGTCTACATTGGCAGATAAAGTGAGTTTGGTAAGACATCCCTGTCCATTTCTGAATACGTAATGCCTTGATGGAAAATAAAGGTAAAATTTCATGTTAACTGTCCATTACTTTTCCAGGTCAGAAGTCCAGAAGCCAAAATGTGTGTAGGGGTGGTGTGATGAAGGGAGATGAGACACTGGAGTCAATGTAGTAAGAAATAGTTGCAGTAAAGATCCTTTTCTTTCTTTAGAAGAGTTTCTCTCCATATTTTGTGTGGCAACCAGTAGTTAGGAACATATAGTGAAGTATATGCCAGAAGATTATGTGGTTTAGACACCCTTCTCAGATTAGTCCTGAAGCCAAGAAAATCTTCCACAGCTTCTGACAAGTGTTGTCGCTTCATTCAGTTCACCAGCTTTCTCTCTCATTGTGGGGCAGTAGTGGGATACTCCTGCCACTCTCTTGGCTTTTCAGTCTTTCTTCACAAGTATATTTGAGAAGACATTATTTATCCCTTTATTCCATATTCCTATCTGTGATACATCTCATAGAAATATGGGTTGAAAGCCCAGAAATTTTTGACGTGTAGGTGTCATCCTTCTGTGGCTTCCATTCCTTATGCTTGATTTTCCAATTTTTAAATTCTGTTTCTCACTTTATGAGTAATTAGGATTGAGGGATTCAGGAGGTGCAGTCATATTATCTCTTACCTGGAAGTTATAATGCATTATCATTTTTAGTTAATTTTCCTGTTTAGTCAATTTTATGGTGTTGTTACAGTGTGACGGATCCATATAGCCTAGTTTCTTTATTTTAGAAACTTAGATTCTACAGTGGTGAAAAAAGACATGTTCCCAGATATGTAATTATTGTGGTTTTTAAATGGTTTAAAAGATTTTTAAAGTTTTGCATGTTTCTTGGGATGACTCTATCTGCTTAAATTGGAAAATCTAAAACAATAGCAGCAACAAAAATCCAATCAGTTCTGAGCTGTGTTAGAATATATTTGGCTGCTAATTTCCCAAGTGTCTAAAATAATGTAAATTTAGAAATAGTTGGAAGTGAGAAAAATATTGTTATTAAGTAATACTTCATATATGTAACTATAATTGAATCATTATTTTTTATTTGTGAATTTATTTCTATAAAAAATCTTACAAAGTCATCAACATTAAATAATGTTTGGTGATAGGTTTAACAAATTTACTTTATTGAAAAGAACAAAATAATGTGAAGTTGACAATGTTTGGTCATGGTGCATGCAGGGATAGCTTGATTTTTCTTCCTGAACAATCTGATGGGAGCATTTCCAACTTAAAGTGTTTTCCTTCTCATAGCCACATGGTTGTAGACAATTTACACATAGGGATCCTGGATTTGTTAGTTGAGAAATATGAAGTTCCTCAGTTTCAAACCAATAAGGCAGTTATTCTTTAAAAGAACTATTCTTTGAGCATGGGTAAAAAGAGTGACAGAGTTTCTGGGTATTTTTGTGTGAGGTGTCATTGCATGAATTGCCCAGATCCCTGTCATGCTCATGGTGGCTTATCTGAGAATCAGGAAGGCAGGACATCATATTCTTTAATAACCAAGAGCTTCCCTTGTTTGAGCTGAGGGCAGCATTCAGCAGTTCTGGGATATTCACTAAATGGAAGTCCTGTCTCTTCTACTTATTTCTTTGTTTGTATACTTTATGAAGTGTTATAAAACATGCTTAAGTTGATTGTAGATAAATGAGATTGCCAAAAAGAAAGTGGCCAAAAAATGTATCTACCTAGTAATATCTACTGATATGTTTTATATATATATATATATATATATATATATATATATATATATATATTTATATATATATATTTATATATATATGTTTATGTACAGCTGTACACATATTTGCATATGCTTCTTTTGATCACAGTGGGATCATACTAAAATACTGTTTTTGTCTGTTTTAACTCACTAATATATGACATTCAACTAAATTTTGTTTACTTTGCAGAGGCAGTCATTTATTCATGAAACATACTTAATTAGCATGTACTATATATCAAACACCATGCTAGATACTGGAAGACATAGCTAAAGAAGATGCAGCTCCTGCCTGAAGTATTTTACAGTCAAGGAGGAGGAAAAACAATTAGACTAATAGCCATAATTGATATGTTAAGAGCTAGAATAGAGGCAGAATATAGGTAGGATATTTCTTCAAACCAGAGTACTTGTATTCCCAGAGGTTTGTGAAAAATTTCCATGAGGGCACTTGGACACTAAGATTATTTTAAGGCAATTCAGTTGCAATTTCTCAATGCTCATTTGTATTTTTTCTTTCAGTTGAGCTGCGCTAGACTGGTAAAAATGTAGTCAAGGCACATGGGTAGGGGGAGGCTTAAAGCATAGTCTCTGATCTTCTGTACCTTTCTTGATAGCCTTTTCCTTCACTTTAGAGAAAGGAAAACCTCTCACCCACTGCAATTCTATAATGTTGCATTGGCCTGGATGCAAAGACCACTAGATTGCCAAACAAAGGGACAATTTGAAATCATCCTATTGATGTTGAGAAAGTGAGTAATGGTAATGCCTGAGAACCAAATCCTTTGGCAAGTCAGGTGGTTCCCAGTTCATTGCTTTAAACATCACTGGAGCAGGACCCAAAGGAGTTGTTCACTGAGAGGGGATTAAGAATAAGGTGTGGTTGAATATAATCAAGTGATGTTGGCAGATTATTCAAAAATTCAAATAATTGTATGACATGGTTATAACAAAACACCATCCTACCCCATCCATAGTATTTATTTAGATGAACAAATTTTCCCAGTCCTGTATCTATACAAATGAAAACTAGATATAGTATTGATGTTTAGCTCTGTTTCAGTCTAGGAATAAGTAATATTTACCAATGGACATGTGAACAATTAATAACCATAATCAAGAAGTATTTTTAAAACATTTAGAATCTTAAATTTATATAGTAGAGATGGATAGAGTGATCCATGAAAGATGTTTAACTATATAATTTTTACATTTCGCTAAAAATTTGCTGGTGATGTTGAATGGAAAATCAAGTCAAAAATAAAGAAGAATGATGCAAACCTTCCAATTGTAAAAACATGTAGTTGTTCATTTATTCTTCAAATAGATGGTGATTATTAAATTGCTATGGCATTTAGATTATATTGGATGTTTTTAAAGAATAATGCAATTATATATGTGAAGTGTCAATACTTATAATACACAGAACATAACATCTTTTATAATTACTCAGTTTTTTAAATGAAAAATTTTAGATGTCTTTGTAAAAATGTGTGAGGGCATACTAAGTTTTTCTAAATTATCTTAGAGTGTGTGCTTAAAAAGTATGGTATAGTACAGTTGCCACATGAATAGTTTTTAAGGTAGGAAAAAAGTGGAGGTGAACTCTGAATATGTGAATACCTAGTTCTATGACCTCCAGCAAGTTGCTTAATCTTTTTAAGCCTTAGGTTTTTCATCAATAAAATAAGTTTACAGTACCTACTCATAAGATTTCCATGAAATTAAAGGTTTAACAAGAATGGGTATGCTCCACAACAGTGGGATTCAAAGAGAATCACACATTGTAAAATATTTTAAAAATATATAAAAAGTTAAATCTGTTTAGATGCCACATTCAATTATTTTTTATTTTCAAATTTTTGGTGGAGTTGGCAGCAGTACAAAGGGGGAAGATTCTTGTTCCTGGGAGTCATTTAAGAATCCCAAAGGAATAATATAGTTCTGAAAACTTGGACTTGGGTCTTCGGGATATCAAGGCTGCCACTGAAGTCTTCAAGTTTCAAGCCTACAATAGAATGAAGTATTTCTTCTACTCCTCTTTTTTGCCAAGCATATAATCAAGGCTCTTTTGATTTGGTTTTCAAAGTTCTGACCCTTACTGTTTTGATCCCATGACATCCACATATATCACCCTCCCCTGACAGACAGCCTACCCCCACTCAAACCTGCTGTGTTAGAGGAGAGCATTGGTCCCTGCCGCTTGCTAAAAGGCTATTCTTATCTTCTTTTTCCATCTCAGAGAAGCCACACAAGGGATCAGGTCATGTTCTTCTTTATCCGTTGCTTCTCACAGAAAATCTAGCTTAATACCCTTCTATGAATCTACACTCCCCCAGGAGCTTGAGATTTTCTTCAGGGCTCTAGATTTGGACACAAAAGTTTGGCCATCCTATCTCTAAGGGGATGTGCACAAGAGAATTATCGTAGCAGTCTTGCATCTGCCATTCTTAGAAGGGCCTTCTTGCAAAGTTGGCACTTGGCTGGTGTTTAGGAAGTTGGATTTTTGGAGTGTTCACTTTTTCTAACTAATGAAAGTGGCTTACTGTGCCTAATGTGTTTGTGCAAACAGTATGGTTTACTCTGGGCACTTGCTTTACTTCTTCTGAGAGTCTGGGATTTTGGCAGAGGCAGAAGGTGAAACCAGTTCCCAGTAAAACTTTGGGCACTGAGTCCCTAATGAACTTCCTTGGTAGATAACATTTTATATGTGTTGTCACAATTCAGTGCTGGAGGAATTAAATGTATTCTGTATGATTCCACTGGGTAAGGACCCTTGAAAATTTGTACCTTGCTTTTGTTTGGAATACAACTCTATGCTGAGTCCTCTGAGGTTTCCTAGTCAGGCACCAAAACTTGAAGTGGTCTTAGGGCCTGCCTACACAGGGAGGAATATGAAAAATTATCTTTTAATATTTCCTAGACTTTCTAGACCAGTAAAAACAGTATAACTAAGACAAAATTAGTATCTTAATGAATTATAGAAATTAAAATAAAATGCCAATAATAATTAAACCCAAAGAAAATTCTCCATAGAAGATGACCCTTGGTAGGTCTCAAAGTCGTGAAGTTTAGTTGTTACGGTATAGTTTAGACAAATTTCTTAGAAGCGGGAACTCTTGAGTCTAGTTTATATCTTCTAGAGATGATCTTTTCTTTACGATAATTGAATTCTAAGACCATATCCACGAAGTTATAGTTGAACCTGAAATCCTCCTTTTTCTAGAGAGCCTAGCTGGATGGAAAGATAATACAAGATGTACTTTTTTATTTTCTTGATTTTTCTCTTTGCTATTTCTCTTGATACAGTTATTTGCTGTTTAAATATTTTGCTAAAAACTGTGTGTGGGTGTGCATGCATGTACCCCACGACTCAGGAATGAGCACAGTTACAGAAATCCAATGAATAATCCGAGAACTTAAAATAAATTAAAAAGTCCAATAAGTAAATAAAAAAATAAATAATGGAAATATTATAAAAACAGTCTCTAGCATTGTTGAATCTGTTTTATGCTTTGCTAACAAGCATAGCAGACTTTTCAAAAATAATACCAAATAGAGCTGAAAGCAGATGATTGAATATATGGGAATCTTATTAAATTGCATTTTATTTCTTAATCTCGATGGATGAACTGTTGCTCCATCTTGATTTTTCACCGGTGAATGTCAATACAAAACATTTAATTTTAAGCTGGCAAAATCTGGACAAAATAAACGTCACTACCCTTAGATAGCAACCCAAGTTTTTTTTGTTTTTCTCAGATAACTATTTCTCAAAAATCCTGTATTTGTATTTCAAAACAACAGAAATAAAACATATCAAACAAATAAACTTATAGACACCCTGGCACAAAACATTATTGTTTAGGTATCAGTCATAGAGCTCTTCCAAAATGGTAGAAGACTCTTGGCATTCACAGTCAATGGCTCATCAATAAATCAGCTTGTGGGAAAGTTTAGACTGCCTTTGAAATAAAAGAAGAAAAAGAGAGATAAGGTTTGATGTACCTTATTTTAAAATCTACGATATGGTCATGTTGGATATAACAGCAACAACAAACCTCACCACATTTATCCCACAGAAATCATCATTTTATTGATTGACATCCCTTTGCATATTCTATCTACCAACTCTTGCAACTGAATCTCCGTTTAGTGCTAACAAACTGTCAAGCTTTGCTCTCCTTCAGGACTGGGAGTGTGTGACACTGGCCTTCTAGGGACAAGTCAGAAATGCCTCTCTCATATGCCTCATGTAGTTCTTGCAGAATTAGTTTTTTTTTCTACCAGTGCATATGTGCTCCTGCTCCCTCTTCCTTACCCTTTCATTTTCATCTGAACTTTGTAGACATGATTTTAACAGAGGGTCTCCATTCTATGAAAAAGTAAATGAGAAACTACTTATGCTGACACTTGTCAAAGAATATGTAAAAAGAAATATTACACTTACTGACATGCTATATAATTTTTTTATAGAATTTTTCCCTTGGGTCAGTTTATTTGTTTTATTTGTGGAATGGAAGTAGTTTCTGCTAAGTTTTCTCTTACGTAGGCTTTTTGGCTTTGTAAATAATAAAAGGGCCTTATTTTTAGTTGCTAATTTTAGAATCTCATCCTGTTAGCCAATTTAAAGGACTGGAATCATTCCCTCTAGCTGTTATTATTTTTTATTCTCGTTTTTATAAAAATTATCTAGAGGGCTGCCAGGGGCCACCAGAGGTATACAGCTGTGATCCACCCCACCGACTGTTGTCTCTTTTCAGTGAGGTCTCACTCACTCCCCACAGCCCTCCAAAGGTTCTCTCCTTGCCCCACAGAGGAGAATGAACTGCGACAGGGATGGTGCCCCTCTCATAGGAGCTTCTGTGTTTTTCTTGTATTATGTCTCAACATCTGTGAGAATTTTCCTAGTAAGGAGCTGTCTCATCTCCTTAGTGTTAACCCTGTATCTCCGTCTTGGATTTTAATCTCCCAAGGAGGTTTCCTTCCTCCTGAATTAGTGTCATTAGTTTTTAGTGACCCAATTTTGCCTCTCTTCTTTCAAAAATATGGTCTGCTGATTTGTTAGTCACCTTCTTGTGACTCTGCCACTCTCTCCATAGCTGTCATCATCTTTATCTATTTACTGCTAAATTTCTCGAATAAATGATTTCTATTAAATCCTCTGTTAAATGCCTCTATTTTCTTATCATTCACTGTTTTCTTGTTTGTAAATGTCTTAATTTTTGTTGTTTAATGAATGTCTTCTATTATTTTTCCAATGACTGAATTCTATAGCCCTACCTTTCCATTATTCTGACACTATTTTGTACTTTCTTGGAAATTTCAGTATCTTATGCTCATTTTCCTCTTTGAAATACGACTCCTTCTCTTTGGATTAGATTTCTCCTACTGCTCCTATATTTCAGTCATTCTTCTATGCTTCAGGACTCTGTTTTCCTTTGTTATATACTAACCCTTCAGAGAACTTCCTTATAGTCTTGATTTTGAGTGTTGTTTCTATGTTGATTTTAACTCCTAACAACCTATCCTTAGCCCTGTCCTCTACCCTGAATGGCAGGTCTAATGCATCCAGCACAGATACATACATGGTAAGCATGACCCTAGTACAAATTAGGTGACTTATAAAGATAAATACAGCATGGATTTTTATATAAATATTTGTTAGAAAGGCAAATTTTAGTGCCTAATCTGAGAAATTTTAGTAAAAGAATTACATTATAAATTACATTAAAGGTCAACTTCATCTGGGAACTTTGTCAGAGAATAGGACAAAGGGCCACCCACTTTGACTTGAGTCAGAAATTTCTAAGTTACAATGAAATAGCTTCAAGTTCATCTTGTATTAGTTCCAGGATGGGTAAGGATATCAGAGGGAGTAGTACTCCAATTATTTTTTTTTAGAGTCTGGCTTTGTCGCCCAGGCTGGAGTGCAGTGGCGTGATCTTAGCTCACTGCAGCCTCTACCTCCCGGGTTCAAGAGATTCTCCTGCCTCAGCTTCCTGAGTAGGTGAGATTACAGGCATGCACCACCATGCCCGGCTAATTTTTTTTTTTTTTTGTATTTTAAGTAGAGACAGGGTTTCACTACGTTGGTTATGCTGGTCTCGAACTCCTGACCTAGTGATCCACCCACCTCAGCCTCCCAAAGTGCTGGGATTACAGGCGTGAGCCACTGCGCCTGGTCTCCAATTTTTTTTAAAGAAGGCATTTTTAAAATTTCCATCAAAGAAATCAGATTTCAAAATGTCTTCCCAGAAATGTGAAGATAGGGGTGCTATCTTTTGATGTTTACATTTCAAAGAGATATCTCCAAGTACTAAGAATACTAATTTTTTATAGTGATATTGACTCTAAAGAGTTAATGTTTATATTGTGTTAAATGTGAAAAGTCATACAAGTAATGGCAAGAATGTATACTTTAAAAATACTAGCGAGTTTTAAACTTTAAGGTTTTTCCTTGGTTTTAGGCATTCTGGGGTTTTACTATGATGTTTCTAGGTGTTAATTTATTTTTATTTATCGTGCTAATGTTTCTTTAGCCTGAGGACTCATGTGTTGGGGGAGTCGTTTTCCCATGAGCTTTATACTTATTAAATGTGAGCCCATCTTTAGTGTGACTTGCTTTCTTCTGTGAAAACGCCTTGTGGCCTGCATTTTGGAAGCTTCTCTCCAGAATGGCCCTTCATTTGCTCTGCCAAGCACCCCAGGGATAGCATCAGTTTTACCTTAATTTTTCAGTTTAGAATTTTCTGTACCTCTGAGGAACTGTACATTTGGCCTCTAGATCCGTGTGAGGTACAGGGCTGGGCTTTCAATTTCCCACCAGAGTGTGTCTTTTTCTTTCCCAGAGAGAAGCTCATTATTTCCTTGCCTGCTTTGTTAGAATTTTTTTAGTGCCCCTTTCATGGTAGTAATAGTTCTTGGTGTGTTCTGGCTTACAGCCATGGTGTCAGCTGCAACAGCTGCAACATTCCTCTTCACATCCTTATCTCTTCATTCTTCCCCTAGAAGCATGGATGTTAACCCTCAGCCCCTAGTGACCACTGGATTTAATCTCTATCTCTATCCCTCACACTGGGAGTTTAGGATCTCCCTGAGTATTTTGGTAAAGGGAATATCAGGGAGAGACAGTATCATGCAATGGAGGTTTATTATTTCACTCTTTAAAATAACAGATCTCTTTAACCACAAGGGACAGGTGATCATTCTGTTGATCTAAACTAGTGTAGGAACCCAAATGTTGAATATGAATTTTTTATGTGGGCAGCAAGACATCAAAGCACAAGACAGTTATTCATGAGCTTCTCTAACTTCCTTCCTTTCTCACTTTCAGGCTGAAAGAAGTACAGGCCCGGAAGAGAAGAATTAATAGTCTAAGCATTCAAAATCTAATCTATTTTAGTAGTTCCATAAACTATAAACATACCAAAAGACAACCCTATGCCAGTTTCCTTGGTAGGAATAAAATCTGACTTAGAAAAAACAGGAACAATTAGAAAAAGTATGCATTCCATAGGTGGAGTGATAAACATAGGGGTTTGGTTCATAAGTAGCACTACAGCATTACTGTTGAAGTCATTGGCTCAGGAACAAGATGCCTAGATTTAAATTTTTATCCCACATTTCAAAAATGGTATGACTTTAGGTAATTAACTTCTCTGTGCCTTAGCAACTCATCCATAAAAGGGAGATTATAATATGACCTGCCCAAGAGTAGTTGTGAGAATTAAGTTATTGGATGAGAAGTACTAGGAATACCTGATACAAAGCAGGCATATGTAGTATTAGCTATTATCTTGATGACAATAAGGGGGTTGATGATGTTCTAAAGCAGGAATTGTAAATGTAAAGGCATTCAACTTCAAATGCTTTTAAAACACAGTGGAGGCAAACCAAACACCTCTGTGGACTTGTATTAGTCAATGTTTATGACCTGACTAGTTTATGACTTCCATTAAGCATAGACATACACAATTAATGTAGAGCCATTATAGAGGATGATTGTTCAATTAAAGTAAAATAAGACAAAGCAAACAAATATAGGAGTAATGGCACCCTTAAAATAGCATGTCTATGAATCAATAGATATTTATTGAGTATTTAACATGTACCTATTATTTATTTGAGTTAATTATTCATAGAGCTAATGAAACAAAAATGGTCAATTCAGTTGCTCATGTGAGTTACTTCATTCCTTTTTGGGGTCCCAAACTGGTCACAACCACATGCTACTTGGAGGGTTTGTCCATGGTTCTTACCATAAGTTGGGGAAATAGAAGTAGAAACAAATTCTTTTCCCAACCCAGAATCCTCTCCATAAAGATAGAAGAGAAAGAAGACACTTTCATGATTGAACAAGCACTAAAGCAGAATGTGATGCACATCACAGGCAAAAGATTGCAAAGGCAGAAAAAAAACTTCACTCTTTTATATAGTCAAGTAAATACAACCTGTTACATATGTGTTTTAAAGATAAACAATAACTTATTCTAAAGTAGGAGGACTTGAAAGCATCATTTTTTTATACATAGTTCATCCTCAGTTTACCTGGTAATTGGGGTGACCACCTGTGTTAGCTAATTAATTGACTTTACCCAGGGGAAAAACAAACTTCCCATCTCTTTATGGCAGAAGGTAGTTTTGCAACTGGAGCAAGGAACTAACAATAGTTAAGCTCTTACCCTCCCACAGAAATGGGAAGATAGGGGTGCTATCTTTTGATGTTTACATTTCAAAGAGATATCTCCAAGGTCCTTGAAAAGACATTCCTTGGTTATAGAACTGACAAATGGCCTATCTAGTTTTTATAGGATTTTTATGCATTTCCAAGAGAGGAGAAAGTAATTACAATTACAAATGTGAATTAAATGCTCAGAGAAAAAGGAGGGAAGGAAAATCTCCTTTTTTTGAAATACGAAGACTTAATTTTCTTATTTTTAGTTTGTATTTGTTCTTACACATACACCTGACATGGATCACCTGAACATGGTTAATCTCCATTTCACGGATGAGTTTCTGAGGCACAGATAAGTAAATTACCTAATCAACAGTTGATGGTTCAAATTAAGGTTTTATACATTTTTAAAGTTGGCAATTCATGGTGTATCTCAGAAAAGAAATGAGTATACTCCAGATAACCTTTCATATTAGTTAGCATTCTTTCCTTATTACAAGAACCTTGGGGAGAAACTCTTGACTGCTTTAATTTAAAAAGAATTGCTTATTAATTTTTTCAATATGCAGACCATTTACTATGTTAAATCAGCCTGATGTTAGAAATGTTTAATTGTTAACCACAATGGGATTGGTAGTATGTCATTCTAGTAGGAAGTTTTTCAAATATTCTCACCAAATGTGAATTTTAGATCAACTAAATAATCTGGAGGAAAATAAAAAGGAAAAGAAAAAGGCAGAGGAAGTAGATCTTGTGATAAATTCTCTTTATGTGCTTGATAGGAGCCTGAGGCTGCAGATGAGGAATAAAGGATTTCGATACTGGTAGCAATGATGGTGGTAGGAAGTGAGTGGTGGTGATGAGGAGGATTTCTGGGGGACTTAACACTTGACATTCTTTTTGCCCTTATTTCGTATTTTCAGTTCTGAGAGATTATCTGCTTTTAGTTTCTGCTAAGACGCAATGAGGTTGTTGAGTTCAGTTGACTGATTTATGGAATCAAAGTTCAAATAAAGCTCCCTGATTACTCTCTTTTTTTAGTCTGACATTTTATTACATGGGCAGTAACCTTGCTCTGTGTGCTGTTTTAATTCATGGCCTTATCTCACAGAAACCTTTGCTGTGGACAAAGTGAAAACATTTATTTGGAATAAACAGTTTTCTCTTCTGCTCCAGTTTTTTTTAAAATATATATATAGCTTTTATGACATTTTAAAGGCATTATTCTTTACAGACATCAGGCAGTTCAATTCAAAAGTGGCCTTAGTGACTCACAGACATGCTTTGCATCATTGCTGAGCTTCGGGTAGTGCAGCCTCCTGGCTTAGCAGATGTTCTTGCATCTTGAATAGGTCTGGTCAGAGAATTGGGAACTCCGGATCTATTTTTATAGCTTAAAACATTTGATGACCTTCTGAGGAGTATCCTTCTGCAAAAAATGTAAAGATTAGTGATTCCAAAGTGTAAAACTGAAAACTTGAATTAAACGTTATTTAATTTAGATTAGAAGTGTGTTAGAGAACATAATTATTTATCTTGTGGCCAAGTGAGAGAGAAAGAAGAGCAGCAGCAGCTTTTTTAGTTTTGAAGTTGGAATGGAGCATGCAGCTTGGATCCAAAGACACAATATGATGCCTCCTACTTTTTCCCTTGTTTCTAAGTCTAGGTCTTGTGACCCTCTTCCTTGGAAAGCTAGGTTTATTCCATGTGGAAAAACAAATGAGGAGTTGGAGTTGAAATTGTTTACTTTGACTTTGTTTCTTTTAGGGGGAGTTATGGAGGTGGAGGGGAAGACTCTTGAGAAGCCTAAGGAGTGAGAAGACAAGTGCCTTTCTTACTATAAAAATAATTAAAAGCAGAACACTTGTAGAGGAAACTGAACACACAATCGAAAACGCTTGAGACTTGCAGGGTTTGTATGACATACTACCTTTCTCGTTGAAAGATATTCCATCAAATTTAGGTTGAATAAAAATTGGTTAGGATTTGAGTTAATAAGTTTACCTGTTCTTTGGTCATTTCTTATTTCTGTCACCATTATTAATTGTCCTTCAATAGCCACAATGTCAAAGGCACGCCTCTGTTTCTTGCTGACCTCCGTGCAAAGAATGGCAAATTTACTTATATGTCTTACTCCTTATGTGCAGAATTTATTTGAAGAATTGTATATTTCAAAGAGAAAAGTGGCACTAAATATGTACCTTGGTTTTTATGGTTGACAAATGTAAAAAACAGTATTTGTAATCCTTTGAGAATCAGCAGTGGTCAAGCTATGATGCAAGGCAGTATAAATTAGTTTTTCAGCCCTATGGCAGACATGAAAACAGTGCTCCTTGTTACTGTCTTTTTCTTCTGATTTTTTTAAAATTATACTTTAAGTTCTAGGGTACGTGTGCACAACGTGCAGGTTTGTTACATATGTACACATATGCCATGTTGCTGTGCTGCATCCATTAACTCATCATTTACATTAAGTGTATCTCCTAATGGTATCCCTCCCCACTCCCCCCACCCCATGACAGGCCCCGGTGTGTGACGTTCCCCTTCCTGTGTCCGTGTGTCCTCATTGTTCAATTCCCACCTATGAGTGAGAACATGTGGTGTTTGGTTTTTTGTCCTTGAGATAGTTTGCTGAGAATGATGGTTTCCAGCTTTATCCATGTCCCTACAAAGGACATGAACTCATCCTTTTTTATGGCTGCATAGTATTCCATGGGGGTATATGTGCCATATTTTCTTAATCCAATCTATCATTAATGGACATTTGGGTTGGTTCCAAGTCTTTGCTATTGTGAATAGTGCCACAATAAACATACGTGTGCATGTGTCTTTATAGCAGCAGGATTTATAATCCTTTGGGTATATAACCAGTAATGGGACAGCTGGGTCAAATGGTATTTCTAGTTCTAGATCCTTGAGGAATTGCCACACTGTCCTCCACAATGGTTGGACTAGTTTACAGTCCCACCAACAGTGTAAAAGTGTTCCTATTTCTCCACATACTCTCCAGCACCTGTTGTTTCCTGACTTTTTAATGATTGCCATTCTAACTGGTATGAGATGGTATATCATTATAGTTTTGATTTGCGTTTCTCTGATGGCCAGTGATGATGAGCATTTTTTCATGTGTCTGTTGGCCGCATAAATGTCTTCTTTTGAGAAGTGTCTGTTCATATCCTTTGCCCACTTTTTGATGGGGGTTGTTTGTTTTTTCTTGTAAATTTGTTTGAGTTCTTTGTAGATTCTGGATATTAGCTGTTTGTCAGATAAGTAGATTGCAAACATTTTCTCCCATTCTGTAGGTTGCCTGTTCACTCAGATGGTAGTTTCTTTTGCTATGCAGAAGCTCTTTAGTTTAATTAGATCCCATTTGTCAATTTTGGCTTTTGTTGCCATTGGTGTTTTAGACATGAAGTCCTTGCCCATGCCTATGTCCTGAATGGTATTGCCTAGGTTTTCTTCTAGGGTTTTTATGGTCTTAGGTCTAACACTTAAGTCTTTAATCCATCTTGAATTAATTTTTATATAAGGTGTAAGGAAGGGACCCAGTTTCAGCTTTCTATATATGGCTAGCCAGATTTCCCAGCACCATTTATTAAATAGGGAATCCTTTCCCCATTTCTTGTTTTTGTCAGGTTTGTCAAAGATCAGATGGTTGTAGATGTGTGGTATTATTTCTGAGGGCTCTATTCTGTTCCATTGGTCTATATCTCTGTTTGGGTACTGTTTTTTTTTTAAACAAAAACAAAAACAAAACACACACATCCCAATGTCCAATTCTGGGTCATGTTGATGACTTCAAGATTGGAGACTGGGGATATGGGGAAAAGTAGCCAGATCAAAGAAGATAGGAAGCTGGCTAATCCAAAATGAACACCTAGTTATGTGCAAATTTATTTTTCCATTTCCAGAAAATAATAGTCCATTCACCCGCTTAGTCGTATTTTTATTCCCTAAATATTAAATCACACATAGACAGTTGTAGAAATAATAGATGAATCAGCTAGCCACCTAACTAGTGTAAACTCAAGGATTTGACAACATTTCTCCTGCCTAGAATACTGGAACAACCTAAGGCTAATATTGAGTTTTTTTTCCTAAGAGTTTCCTGTTGCAAAAATGCAAATGCACTTCAGACACGCAATTTCCTTGGAGCATCACAAATTTAGAACTTGTTCTAAATAAATTTATTAGGCAATGCCCTGGAAAACTCATTTTGATGGAATGGAGACAGAAACAATTTGAGGCCACCGTGGGTATCTAGAACAGAGGCTGACGGGTATCTAGAACAGATGGCTAAGTTTGTAGGACTGTAACCATCCAATGGATTCACTTTGCTCACTGCCTAGACAGAGCTGATTTATCAAGACAGGGGAATTGCAATAGAGAAAGAGTAATTCACACAGAACCTGCTGTGTGGGAGATCAGAGTTTTATTATTACTCAAATCAGTCTCTCTGAACATTCAGGGATCAGTGTTTTTAAGGACAACTTGGTGGGTGGGTGGAAGCCAGTGAGCTAGAAGTGCTGATTGGTTAGGTAGAAGATGAAATCATAAAAACTTGAAGCTCTCGTGCTGAATCAGTTCCTGGGTGGGGCAACAAGATCAGATGAGCCATTTTATCGGTCTGGTCAGTGCCAGCTCATCCATCAAGTGCAGAGTCTGCAAAATATCTCAAGCACTGAATTTAGGAGCAGTTTAGGGAGGATCAGAATCTTGTGGCCTCCAGCTGCATGACTCCTAAACCATAGTTTCTAACTTGTGGTTAATTTCTTGTCCTACAAAGGCAGCCTAGTCTCCAAGCAAGAAGGAGGTTTGTTTTGGAAAAGGGCTGTTATGGTCTTTGTTTTAAACTATAAACTATAAACTAAATTCCTCCCAAAGTTAGTTCAGCCTACACCCGGGAATAAACAAGGACAGCTTGGAGGTTAGAAGCAAGATGGAGTCAGTTAGGTTGGATCTCTTTCACTGTCTCAGTCATAATTTTGCAAAGGTGATTTCAGGACAGAAATGACTGGAGATATAACTGACCTTTTCCACTATTTTATAAAGGACTACTTTTGTCCTCACAACTTTAACATATGCCAAATATTTAGCCATGCCAACATGAGTTTTCATGCTGATATTTGTTACTTTGGCACATCAAAGCAATGTGGTAATGTTATATAGATAGGGAAAGAAAAGTTCTTATTAGTTTAGCCTGTTATACAGGTTAGCAAAGAAATGATTGGCAAGGGGGAGCTTTTGTATACTATCTGTCCCATAATCCTGTGGAGTGCTACATTGAAAAAAATTGATTCATATTTCCTTCTACAAAATAATAAATAAAAAGTACTAGGTGAGGAGTGGGATGTACGCCTCATATTTTATTTAGTACTTAGATAGCATTTTTGATGTGTTCTGCAGTGAGCAGGTCTATACAAACCTACTCCTGAAGGCGGAGGAAACTGAGAGGCTGAAGAAAGAAGCTGACCAATTCAGTTTCTCAGAAATAAACATTTAATAGGATTTTATGAGCAGAAGCCACTTCTTGGCAGCCATGGGACAAGATGCTGGATCCGCATGCAGTTACCCCCACCCCCACCAAACCTAGGGCTTATATGCCATAGGAAATTTGCCTAAGGGTGGGATTTATGGTAATTATGTGTTTATGATATCATCAAGGTTGTTTTGACCCAAGGGGCGTATTTACAGTATGTATGTGAAAGTAGAAGTCTTAGAGGCATTCCCAGAACAGGGGTTAATCAGAAGTCAACATGGTGGATTAGAATCCAAGATGAAGTCGCTTTTGCCCCTGCAATATGCAATTCAAACAAATTAATGGATAAATATTTTAAGTGAGCTCATAAAACAAGAAAACATTTTAATGAGTATTTAAATCCAATAAGTCCCAAACTTTTGATGTCATGACACACACAGAAAATTATAATATTTGGGGTAACTGGAGTAAAGGGAATAGACATTTAGGGGTCAAACTGAGTTGATAAACGTCTCAGCCCCTAAAACCCATTTCAGTGTCAGCTGCAGAAACTCTGCCTCAACAGTTGAGTAGAATAATATTGCTATATTTCAATCACACAATTTATAATGGTTTCCAATATTGTATCAAGTGACAATGATGCTTAGAAATTAAATAATAAATCTATTTCCATAAGATCAGAACTGTGAAACTAGAACAAAGCTAATATATTGTTTAGTTTATAAACTTTACCTTTAAAATTGTGCTTAAACAGGTTATCAGAATGAATGATTACCTTCTTTATGTACAAACAAATGTCCTAATCCCTTCTGTATGGCTAGTGAGTAAAACGATCTCTTTCAGACTATTGCATTACTACCTGGAAATAGGTGCCTCAAACTTAATATGTCTAAAATTGAACTCCATCATCTCTGCCAATCCTGCGACTCCTGTGTTTTCAGTTTCTGTAAATAGCTCCACAATCTTTCCATTTAACCTAGTCACTCATCTGGCTACATGCTTTTAGTTTTTGCACCCCTATATAGAATTTGTAATATAACAGGTCCTATTGATATTCTACTTATTAAATTACAAAAACAAATACTTTAAAAAATAATAAATTTAAACTTTTCAGAGTGCGTAAAGTAAAAAAGGGAAAGTTTCTGGCTTGTCCCTTTGTTCCCTGTAAGATTGTGAGGGGCCATATGAAATGTGTCTCAGAACTGCATGCCGCACGGAAGGGAGCTTAGGTGTACCCAGTATGGGCTGAAGTGAGGCATGTTCACCTTGCACCTGGGCAAGGCTGGTCAAAGTCTACGGAACTGGCCAAGGCAGCAGTGTTTGTAAGAAGTGGGGATGAGGCCACTGAAGGTAGCAAAAGAGGTGTCTGATAATATATCCTTATATAATTTTATCTGCATTCTGTACATATACAATCATGCACTTCTTTTAAACAAAATACTGAATTACATCTTTGTTCTACATCTTAAAAAATAACAAAAATATGGCTGGCAACTTTTCATGTCAATATTTATAGAATTATCTCATTCTTTTAAAGTTTTTTTTGGAGGGGATCTATTGCATTGATGTATAACAATGTTGAAACTGCCTTTTCAAAAATCATAACTGAGAAAAGTATTACAATGAAAGAGAGCTGACTTAACCTACTCCATCTTGCTTCTAACCTCCAAGCTGTCCTTGTTCATGTCTGGATGTAGACTGAACTAACTTTGGGAGGAATTTAGTTTATACTTTAACTTTGAAACAAAGATGATAACAATCCTTTTCAAAAACAAACCCCCTTCCTGCCTGGGGACTATACTGCCTTTGTAGAACTAATAAATTAGTCACAAGATTAGAAATTATGGTTTAGGAGTCATGCAGCTGGAGGCTGTAAGATTCTGACCCTCTCCAATAGCTCCTGGGAATAGCATCAGTATTGTAAAACCTAAGATCAGTGCTTGAGACAACCAATCAGCAAACGTGACTCACTGGCACCTACCCACCAAATTATGCTTAAAAACCCCTGATCCCTGAGTTTTCAGGGAGACTGATTTGAGTAATAATAAAACTCCGGTCTCCCATACAGGTGGCTCTGTGTGAATTACTCTTTCTCCACTGCAATCCCCTGTCTTGATAAATTGGCTCTGTCTGGGCAGTGGGCAAGGTGAACCCAATATGGTAAAATAGAATTTTTCTGCTGATGGAAACTGGTTTCCAATTTATTTTATTTTATTTTTTTGTTATTGCAAACATCAATACAATAAACATCCTTAAACATATATTTTTGCTTTTGTGTTATTTATTAGATTTCTAAAATATCTGTCAGTACATTTTTATATTTTTTTATATAGTCTTGTATATCGTCTTACAAATAAACCAACAAAATGAGGACCTGATATGAGAACACTCACTATGGATACTGTAGAAAATCAAATGCCTCCAATGACTGTTTTTGGTAAAAGAGCCCAGCAGTCTCTAGGTCTTCAAATTTGCCCTCTAAAGTCTCTTGTGGGTGTATCTGGTAAAAGCTAGTCATAAGTTTGTATACTAGGAGAAAGGATGCTGGGAAATATAAATTTTGGATTCAACCTGGAAAAAGTGGTAAAACTATCAAAATGGAGAATGTCCAAAAGTCTTTGGATAACCACAAATGACAGATTTCCATCACACCCAGTCTGCCATTTTGTGTAAAGCTTCATTTTTTTCTTTAAAAATTTCAAATATTCTGATATTTGTGTATTCATTCATTCAGTACACATTTATTGAGAGTCTATTATGTGCCAATCACTGTGGTTTTTAGTGGAAATACAATGGTGGTCCTGACTTCCTGGAGTTTTAGTTTAGTAGAGGAGACAGACATTAATTACCACAGAAATAAATTTAGCATCACAAATGTGATCATTGTGAAAAAGGGGAGGAAGTAGTGTGCTGAGAGGATATATCAGGGATAATTGATCCACTAAGAAAGGTCATCTAAGAATTTGCTCATGAAGTGGTGCTTGAATTGAGATTTGGAGGATGATTAAGCATTGATTCAATTCAGGCATTGAGGGAAGAGTGTTACAGGCAGCGCAGATAACATTTTCAAAGTCTGGGAGCAGGAGTGCACCTGCTAAATATAAGGATTTGAAAAAACATTATGGTGATTGAAGTATACAGAGCGAGAGAAAATGTAGTTCTGAATGCTCCTGGAAAGTTAGGTAGAGGCCAGACCATGAAAGGCCTGTGGCTAAGATTAGCATTTTGGTCTTTGGCAAGTCTCAGCCTCAGGATTTAGTGTGGAAAATAGCTTGGAAGATTTGAGTTACCTTGGATGTACAAATTTGGAGGCGATCACAGTTATTCAGAGAGGAAATACCCAGTGCTCAACCCAAAGAAATGTTTGACATATGTTGGCTGAATAAATGAAGGAACTAAATGACAAAGGCAATACTGTACATTTTCTAAGCAATAGTAAAGAAAAGATAAAGGTAGCTGGAGGGAATTCTGTGAAATTTGATGAACAAATCCAATATAGAGTGGAGAATAAAGAAGCTATTTGATACAGATTAGCCAGGCATGAGATTTCTACTAACTGAAAATACCAAGTTATAACACAGAGAACATCTAGGCTGCATATAATTATTGTGTTTAGTTCAGGTTATTCATTTTGAGAATTTAACATTTTCATTGTCTGGCTGATGAGATTTCCTAGTAATAACATGTAAACAGCTCAGTAGAAATCTATTAATTTAGATCTTCAGGTTGTGTAGAAGCTTCCTTAAGAAACACTCAGAGCCTACCAAATGTACTGTTAACTATGCTGGTTAACAAAGTCGTTTGTAGAAAGGAAATAATCTGTCATGCCTTGAGTTTACATGTTAATGGCCACTGAGGAGTCAGAAAGGAATTTAGTAGTGTAACCTGTAAATGTTTTTGTATGTCCCCAAAATCTCAAAATGCTATGAATGTCAGTATAAATAATAACCTTGAATCAAAAGCTACCATAACAGCTACCAGCACGTAAATGCAACATTTATAAACATAGCAAAGAAAATATCTCTCACAAACTCCAAGTTCTCTTCATCAGCCACACAAACAAATTCAACACAAACCAAATGTTGTTACCTAATTTATTTGTAATTCTTCCTTGAAATACTATGCAGGGAGCCTTATGCTAGAGCCTAGAGGCAATTGACAAGATACAGCAAGTCTTATAGCTGAAAAAAATTCTGTTCTATAAATTCTTGTTCATTTTCTCTTTTTTCGTTTTTTAGTAAACTTTAATCCTTTTGCCCTTAAATTTTTCTTGTCAAAAGTAACATCATCCTCCATTTTAACATCCCATTTTGTCCTTGTTTACTTACAAAAAAATGACTCTTAAGTCATAGTTTCTCATTCCCGTTGAGTGGGCTAGATCCTCCTTGACGGAAAGAAAGGGTTAAGTCAGCACTCAAAGCAACAAACTCCCTTGGTTTTCAGCAAGTCATGTCAGAATGAGTTCCTTTAAGTTAGTGATAGAGAGGAGAAGTCACATGGGTTTAGGATTTATCTGCATTTGATCACAGACATATTTGTGAAAGAGCATATATCTTCATTACTCAAAATTCCCCTAACTTACTGGGTTCTGCAACCCAGCCTGTTTCCTAGGCCCTCCACCACAATTTAGCTAAACCTCATATTTTCCCACTTATTTCTATTTACCTCATTTGCATGATAATATAATTAATGGAAGAGAGTAGTCTGTAAGCGGAACAGTAGGGAATAGGCTTGTTTATAAGCTTTACTCATATTCATTAATATGTCTTTCTCCTGTCCTTCCAGTCACCTTGGAAATCTCCCACCTCATCTTCCTTAAAGTTGGGCAAATTAATTACCACAAATAGGTTGTGACTGGAGGTGATTTGAGCTGCTTTTGGGCCAAGGCATTGAATTTTCCAAGCAAGAGACTTCAGCTGTCTTTTTCCCTGCCACGTTAATCATGAAGACACAAGATCAAAGCAGCCTAATTGCTGAGCTGCCAGAGGGATGACACAGCCTTGAAAGTCACAGGGATTGATGGAACACTTTCTGTGGGACATAAACATTTACTATATTATATCACTGAGATTGTGTGGAATTATTCATTCCTGCAGCATAACCTTATCCATCCTCACCATTACACTGAAACATCTAACCTAATTAAACACGACATTCTTGACTCACCTAGTTCTTTTAATTTACTTATTTTTAAAAATTTTGTGGTCACATAGTAAGTGTATATATTTATAGGGTACATGATATGTTTTGATACAGGTGTGTAATTTGAAATAAACACATCACAGAAAATGAAATGTCCATCCCCTCAAGCATTTATCCTTTGAGTTACAAACAATCCGATTACATTGTTATTTTAAAATATACAATTAAATTATTATTGACTATAGTCACCCTATTGTGCTATGAAATAATAAGTCTTATTCATTATTTGTATTTTTTTGGTATCCATTAACCATCCTCACTTTCCCCCATCCATCCCCATACCATTCCCAGCCTCCAACCATTCTTCTACTCTCTATGTCCATGAGTTCAATTGATTTGCATTTTAGATCCCACAAATAAGTGAGAACATTAGATGTTTTTACTTTTGTGTCTGGCTTATTTCACTTAAAATAATGATCTCCAGTTCCATTCATGTTGTTGAAAATGACTGGATCTCATTCTTTTTATGGCTGAATAGTACTCCATTTTATATGTGTACCACATTTTCTTTATCCACTCATCTGTTGATGGACACTTAGGTTGCTTTCAAATCTTAACTATTGTAAACAGTGCTGCAACAAACAGGAGTGCAGAGATCTCTTCAATATACCGATTTCTGTTCTTTTGGGTATATGCCCACCAGTGGGATTGCTAAATCATATTATAGCTCCATTTTTAGCTTTTGGAGGAACCTCCAAACTGTTCTCCATAGTGGTTGTACTAATTTACATTCCCACCAAGTGTTCAAGGGTTCTTTTTTCCCCACATCCTCAACAGCTTTTGTTATTACCTGTCTTTTGGATATAAGCCATTTTAACTAGGGTGAGATGATATTTCATTGTAGTTTTGATTTGCATTTCTCTGATGATCAATGATGTTGAGGTCTGATGAGTTTTGGCGCTGGTCCCCACCAAAATCTCATCTCGAATTGTAATCCCCACGTGTTGGGGGAGGGGCCTGGTGGAAGGTGATTGAATCATGGAAGCTGACTTCTCCCTTGCTGTTCTTGTGAGAGTGAGTGAGTTCTCATGCGAGCTGTTGTTTGAAAGTGTGTGGCACGTCCCCCTTCACTCTCTCTCCTGCTCTGCCATGGTAAAGACAAGGTTACTTCCTCTTCACCTTCCACCGTGATTGTAAGTTTGCTGAAGCCTCCCAGCCATGCTTACTGTATAACCTGCAGAACTGTGAGTCAATTAAAGCGCTTTTCTTCATAAATTACTCAGTCTCACGTAGTTCTTTATAGCAGAGTGAGAACAGACTAATACAAGTTACCTTTCATATGTCTGTTTGCCATTTTTATGTCTACTTTTGAGAAATGTCTACTTGAGTCTTTTGCCCATTTGCTAATTGGATTATGAGACTATTTCCTGTGGAGTTGTTTGAGCTCCTTAAATATTCTGGTTATTAATACGTTGTCAAAGGAATAGTTTGCAAATACTATCTCCCATTCTGTGGGTGTTTTCACTTTGTTTCTTATATCTTTTGCTGTGCAGGAGCTTTTAAACTTGATGTGATCTTATTTGTCCATGTTTGCTTTGGTTGCCTGTGCTTGTGAGGTATTGCCCAAGAAATCTTTGTTCAGATTAATGTCTTGGAGAGTTTCCCCAATGTTTTATTGCAGTCATTTAATAATTTGAAGTCTTAGATGTAAGTCTGTAGTCAATTTTGATTTGATTTTTGTATATATAGAGAGATAGGGGTTGTTTTGATCTGATTTATTTATTTACTTATTTATTATTATTATTATTTTTTAAGATGGAGTCTTGCTCTGTCACCCAGACTGGAGTGCAGTGGCATGTTCTTGGCTCACTGCAACCTCTGCCTCCTGGGTTCAAGTGATTCTCCTGCCTCAGCCTCCCAAGTAGCTGGGATTACAAACGTGTGCCAACACGCCTGGCTAATTTGTGTATTTTTGCTAGAGATGGGTTTCATTATGTTGGCCAGGCTGATCTCGAACTCCCAACCTCAGGTGATCTGCCTGCCTCGGCCTCCCAAAGTGCTGGAATTACAGGCAGGAGCTACTGCACCTGGCCCTAGTTTCATTCTTTTGCATATGGATATCCACTTTCCCCAAGATCATTTATTGATGAAACTGTCTTTCCCCTAGAATATGTTCTTGGCATCTTTGTCAAAAATGAGTTCACTATAGATGTGTGGATTTGTTTCTGCGTTCTCTATTTTGTTCCATTGGTCTATGTGTCTCTTTTTATACCAGTACCATGCTGTTTTCATTACTATATCTCTGGGTTCTGTAACCCAGCCTGTTTCCTAGGCCTTCAAATATAATTTGAAGTGAGGTAATGTGTCCTTTCATTTTGTTCTTTTTGCTTAGGATAGCTTTAGCTATACCAGGTCTTTTGTGGTTCCATATAAATTTTATAATTTCTTCTATTTCTGTGAAACATGTCATTGGTATTTTAATAAGGATTGCATTGAATTTGTAGATTGCTTTGGATAGTATGGACATTGTAACAATATTGATTTTGCCAATCCATGAACATAAATTAATTTTTCAATTTTTTTTGTTGTTCTCTTCAATTTATAGTTTTCATTATGAAAACTTTCACTTCTTTGGTTAGTTCCTAGGTATTTAACTTTATGTGTGGCTATTGTAAATGAGATTTTTAAAAATTTCTTTTTCACATTGTTCACTCTTGGTGTACAGAAATGCTCCTGATTTTTGTATGTTGATCTTGTATCCTGCAACTTTAGTGAATGTTTATCAGTTCTAATAGTTTTCTTGAGCAATCTTTAGGTTTTTCCAAAGATAAGATCATATCATCAGCAAACAAAAATAATTTGACATATTCTTTTCCAATTTGGATGACTTTTTTTTGTTTGTTTTTTGTCTGATTGCTCTAACTAGGACTTCCAGTAATATGTTGAATAATGGTGGTGACAGTAGGCATCCTTATCATGTCCGAGATCTTACAAAAAAGGCTGTCAGTTTTTCCCCATTCCATATGATGCTAGATGTGGGTCTGTCATATATGGCTTTTATTATGATGAGCTATGTTCCTTCTATACAGTTTTTTGAGAGTTTTTATTATGAAGGGGCGTTGAATTTTATCAAATGCTTTTTCAGCATCAATTGAAATGATCATATAATTTTGTCTTTCATTCTATTGATATGATGTGTCATGTTGATTGGTTTGCATATGTTGAACCATTCTTGCATCTCCTTTGTTGAGAATTTTTGCATGAATATTCATCAAAGATATTGGCCTGTAGTTTCCATTTCTTTTTCTTTCTTTCTTTCTTCTTCTTTTTTTTGATGTATCTTTGTCAAGGTTTGGTATCAGGGTAAAACTGGCCTCACAGAATGAGTTTGGAAGTATTCTTTACTCCTTTATTTTTTGGAATAGTTTAAATAGGACTGATATTAGTTATTTAAGTGTTTGGTAGAATTTAGCAGTGAAGTCATCAGGTCCTGGGCTTTTCTTTACTGGGATAGTTTTTATTATGGCTTTGATCTGGTTACTTGTTATTGGTCTGTTCAGGCTTTGGATTTCTTCCTGCTTCAATCTTGGTAGGTGGTGTATATCTAGAAACTTGTCCATTTCTTCTAGATTTTCCAATTTATTGGCATATAGCTGCTTATAGTAGCCATTAACAATTCTTTGAATTGCTGCAGTACCAGTTATCATATTTCCTGTTTCATTTCTAATTTTATTTATTTTGATTCTCTTAGTCTGGCTAAAGATTTGTCAATTTTGTTTTTTTTAAAAAAACTTTTTGCTTCATTAATCTTTTGTATTGTATTTTTATTTCAATTTTATTTATTTCTGCTCTTATTTTTATTATTTATTTTCTTCTACTAATTTTGGGTTTGGTTTGCTTTTATTTGAAATATTTCTTCTTTTTTGATGTAGGCACTTGTAACTGGATACTTCCCTCTGAGCACTGCTTTTGCCGTATCCCACAGGTTTTGGGATGTGTTTGCATTATCACTTGTTTCAATACAATTTTTCAATTTCCTTCTTAATTTGTTCATTGACACACTGGTGATTCAGGAGCATATTGTTTAATGGTCATGTATTTGTATGGTTTCCAAAATTCTTCTTATTATTGAATTCTGGTTTTATTCCATTGTGGTCAGAGAAGATGCTTGATATTATTATTTTTTTGAATGTTGTTAAGACTTGTTTCATGACCTTACATATGGTCTATTCTTGAGAATGATTCATGTGCTGAGGAAAAGAATGTGTATTCTGTAGCCCTTGGATGAAATGTTGTGCAAATATCTATTAGATCCATTTGTTCTGTAGTGTAGATTAAGTCTGATGTTTCTTTGTTGATTTCTGTCTATAAGACCTGTCCAATGCTGAAAGTGAGGTGTTAAAGTCTCCAGTTATTATTGTATTGGGGCCCATCTCTCTCTTTAACTCTAATAATATTTCCTTTATATATCTGGATGCTCCAGTGTTGAGTGATATATGTTGAAAATTGTTATATCGTCTTCCTGAATTGACCCCTTTATCATTATATAGTGACCTTCTTTGTCTCTTCTTATAGCTTTTGTCTTGAAATCTATGTCTAAGTATAGCAACTCCTGCTCTTTTTGGGTTTTCATTCGCATGGATTATCTTTTTCCATCCTTTTCTTTTCAGTCTATGTGCATCTTCATAGGTGAAGTGTGTTTCTTGTAGGCAACAGATGAATGGGTCTTGTTTTTTTTTTTTAAATCTATTCAGCCAGGCTATGTCTTTTGATAGTAGATTTTAGTTCATTTACATTAAATGTTATTATTGATAAGTAAGGACTTAACTCCTGTTATTTTCTTATTTG